>NC_000009.12:43755044-44120453 GCF_000001405.40 Homo sapiens | reverse complement strand
CCAAAATGCTGTATCCACACAAAGGTTCAACTCTGTTAATTGAGGACATACAGCACAAAGAAGTTTCTGAGAATGCTTCTGTCTAGTTTTTACTTGAAGATATTTCCTTTCTCACCATAGGCCTGAAAGCGCTTGAAACGTCAGCTTGCAGATACTACAGAAAGAGTGTTTCAAACCTGCTCTATGAAAGGGAATGTTCAGTTCTGTGACTTGAATGCAAACATCACAAAGCAGTTCCTGAGAATGCTTTCTCCCTAGATTTTATATGTAATCCCGTTTCCAACGAAATCCGCAAAGCTATCCAAATATCCACTTTCAGATTCCACAAAAAGAGTGTTTCAAAACTGCTCTGTAAAAAGAAAGGTTCATCTCTCTTAGTTGAATACACACATCACAAACAAGTTTCTGAGAATGCTTCTGTCTAGTTTTTATGGGAAGATATTACCTTTTTCATCATAGGCCTCAAAGCGCTGCAAATGTCCACTTCCAAATATTACAAAAAGAGTGTTTCAAACCTGCTGTATGAAGGGAAGTGTTCAACTCTATGAGTTGAATGCAAACATCACAGAGAAGTTTCTGAGAATGCTTCTGTCTTGATTTTATATGAAGATATTCCCGTTTCCAACGAAACCTTCAAAGCTATTCAAATATCCACTTGCAGATTCTACAAAAAGAGTGTTTCCAAAATGTTGTATCAAAAGAAAGGTTCAACTCTGTTAGTTGAGGACACACATCGCAAATAAGTTTCTGAGAATGCTTCTGTCTAGTTTTTACTTGAAGATATTTCCTTTCTCACCATAGGCCTGAAAGCGCTTGAAACGTCCGCTTGCAGATACTACAGAAAGAGTGTTTCAAACATGCTCTATGAAAGGGAATGTTCAGTTCTGTGACTTGAATGCAAACATCACAAAGAAGTTCCTGAGAATGCTTCTCTCTAGATTTTATATGTAATCCCGTTTCCAACGAAATCCTCAAAGCTATCCAAATATCCACTTTCAGATTCCACAAAAGAGTGTTTCAAAACTGCTCTGTAAAAAGAAAGGTTCATCTCTGTTAGTTGAATACACACATCACAAACAAGTTTCTGAGAATGCTTCTGTCTAGTTTTTATGGGAAGATATTTCCTTTTTCAACATAGGCCTCAAAGCGCTCCAAAAGTCCACTTCCAGGTAGTGCAGAAAGAGTGTCTCAAAGCTGGTATATAACACGGAACATTCTACTCTGTGACTTGAATGAAAACATCACAAAGCAGTTTCTGAGAATGCTTCCGTCTAGATTTTATATGAAGATATTCCCGTTTCCAACGAAACCTTCAAAGCTATCCGAATATCCACCTGCAGATTCTACAAAAAGAGTGTTTCCAAAATGCTATATCAAAACAAAGGTTCAACTCTGTTAGTTGAGAACACACATCGCAAATAAGTTTCTGAGAATGCTTCTGTCTAGTTTTTACTTGAAGATATTTCCTTTCTCACCATAGGCCTGAAAGCGCTTGAAACGTCAGCTTGCAGATACTACAGAAAGAGTGTTTCAAACCTGCTCTATGAAAGGGAATGTTCAGTTCTGTGACTTGAATGCAAACATCACAAAGAAGTTCCTGAGAATGCTTCTCTCTAGGTTTTATATGTAATCCCGTTTCCAACGAAATCCTCAAAGCTATCCAAATATCCACTTTCAGATTCCACAAAAAGAGTGTTTCAAAACTGCTCTGTAAAAAGAAAGGTTCATCTCTGTTAGTTGAATACACACATCACAAACAAGTTTCTGAGAATGCTTCTGTCTAGTTTTTATGGGAAGATATTTCCTTTTTCAACATAGGCCTCAAAGCGCTCCAAATGTCCACTTCCAGGTAGTGCAGAAAGAGTGTTTCAAACCTGCTCTATAAAAGGGAACATTCAACTACTGTGACTTGAATGCAAACATCACAAAGCACTTTCTGAGAATGCTTCTGTCTTGATTTTATATGAAGATATTCCCGTTTCCAACGAAACCTTCAAAGCTATCCAAATATCCACTTGCAGATTCTACAAAAAGAGTGTTTCCAAAGTGCTGTATCCAAACAAAGGTTCAACTCTTTTAGTTGGGAACACACATCGCAAATAAGTTTCTGAGAATGCTTCTGTCTAGTTTTTATTTGAAGATATTTCCTTTTTCACCACAGGCCTGAAAGCGCTTCAAACGTCCGCTTGCAGATACTACAGAAAGAGTGTTTCAAACCTGCTCTATGAAAGGGAATGTTCAGTTCTGTGACTTGAACGCAAACATCACAAAGAAGTTCCTGAGAATGCTTCTCTCTAGATTTTATATGTAATCCCGTTTCAACGAAATCCTCAAAGCTATCCAAATATCCACTTTCAGATTCCACAAAAAGAGTGTTTCAAAACTGCTCTGTAAAAAGAAAGGTTCATCTCTGTTAGTTGAATACACACATCACAAACAAGTTTCTGAGAATGCTTCTGTCTAGTTTTTATGGGAAGATATTTCCTTTTTCAACATAGGCCTCAAAGCGCTCCAAACGTCCACTTCCAGGTAGTGCAGAAAGAGTGTCTCAAACCTGGTATATAACAGGGAACATTCTACTCTGTGACTTGAATGAAAACATCACAAAGCAGTTTCTGAGAATGCTTCCGTCTAGATTTTATATGAAGATATTCCCGTTTCCAACGAAACCTTCAAAGCTATCCGAATATCCACCTGCAGATTCTACAAAAAGAGTGTTTCCAAAATGCCGTATCAAAACAAAGGTTCAACTCTGTTAGTTGAGAACACACATGGCAAATAAGTTTCTGAGAATGCTTCTGTCTAGTTTTTACTTGAAGATATTTCCTTTCTCACCATAGGCCTGAAAGCGCTTGAAACGTCAGCTTGCAGATACTACAGAAAGAGTGTTTCAAACCTGCTCTATGAAAGGGAATGTTCAGTCCTGTGACTTGAAGGCAAACATCACAAAGAAGTTCCTGAGAATGCTTCTGTCTAGATTTTATATGAAGATATCCCGTGTCTAACGAAATCCTCAAAGGTATCAAAATATCCACTTGCAGATTCTACAAAAAGAGTGCTTCAAAACTGCTCTGTCAAAATGAAGGTTCAACTCTGTTACTTGAGTACACACATCACAAGAAAGATTCTGAGAATGCTTCTGTCTGGTTTTTAGGAGAAGATATCTCCTTTTTCACCATAAGCTTCAAAGCGCTGCCAATGTCCACTTCCAAATATTACAAAAAGAGTATTTCAAACCAGCTCTATGAAAGGAAGTGTTCAACTCTATGAGTTGAATGCAAACAGAACAGAGAAGTTTCTGAGAATGCTTCTCCCTAGATTTTATATGTAATCCCGTTTATAACGAAATCCGCAAAGCTATCCAAATATCCACTTTCACATTCCACAAAAAGAGTGTTTCAAAACTGCTCTGTAAAAAGGAAGGTTCAACTCTGTTACTTGAGTACACACATCACAAGGAAGTTTCTGAGAATGCTTCTGTCTGGTTTTTAGGAGAAGATATTTCCTTTTTCAACATAGGCCTCAAAGCGCTGCAAATGTCCACTTCCAAATATTACAAAAAGAGTGTTTCAAACCTGCTGTATGAAGGGAAGTGTTCAACTCTATGAGTTGAATGCAAACATCACAGAGAAGTTTCTGAGAATGCTTCTGTCTTGATTTTATATGAAGATATTCCCGTTTCCAACGAAACCTTCAAAGCTATTCAAATATCCACTTGCAGATTCTACAAAAAGAGTGTTTCCAAAATGTTGTATCAAAAGAAAGGTTCAACTCTGTTAGTTGAGGACACACATCGCAAATAAGTTTCTGAGAATGCTTCTGTCTAGTTTTTATTTGAAGATATTTCCTTTCTCACCATAGGCCTGAAAGCGTTTGAAATGTCCGTTTGCAGATACTACAGAAAGAGTGTTTCAAACCTGCTCTATGAAAGGGAATGTTCAGTTCTGTGACGTGAATGCAAACATCACAAAGAAGTTCCTGAGAATGCTTCTCTCTAGCATTTTATATGTAATCCCGTTTCCAACGAAATCCTCAAAGCTATCCAAATATCCACTTTCAGATTCCACAAAAAGAGTGTTTCAAAACTGCTCTGTAAAAAGAAAGGTTCATCTCTGTTAGTTGAATACACACATCACAAACAAGTTTCTGAGAATGCTTCTGTCTAGTTTTTATGGGAAGATATTTCCTTTTTCACCATAGGCCTCAAAGCGCTGCAAATGTCCACTTCCAGGTAGTGCAGAAAGAGTGTCTCAAACCTGGTATATAACAGGGAACATTCTACTGTGTGACTTGAATGAAAACATCACAAAGCAGTTTCTGAGAATGCTTCCGTCTAGATTTTATATGAAGATATTCCCGTTTCCAACGAAACCTTCAAAGCTATCCGAATATCCACCTGCAGATTCTACAAAAAGAGTGTTTCCAAAATGCCATATCAAAACAAAGGTTCAACTCTGTTAGTTGAGAACACACATCGCAAATAAGTTTCTGAGAATGCTTCTGTCTAGTTTTTATTTGAAGATATTTCCTTTCTCACCACAGGCCTGAAAGCGCTTAAAACGTCCGCTTGGAGATACTACAGAAAGAGTGTTTCAAAACCTGCTCTATGAAAGGGAATGTTCAGTTCTGTGACTTGAATGCAAACATCACAAAGAAGTTCCTGAGAATGCTTCTGTCTAGATTTTATATGAAGATATCCCGTGTCCAACGAAATCCTCAAAGGTATCAAAATATCCACTTGCAGATTCTACAAAAAGAGTGCTTCAAAACTGCTCTGTCAAAATGAAGGTTCAACTCTGTTACTTGAGTACACACATCACAAGGAAGTTTCTGAGAATGCTTCCTGTCTAGTTTTTATGGGAAGATATTTCCTTTTTCATCATAGGCCTCAAAGCGCTGCAAATGTCCACTTCCAAATATTACAAAAAGAGTGTTTCAAACCTGCTGTATGAAGGGAAGTGTTCAACTCTATGAGTTGAATGCAAACATCACAGAGAAGTTTCTGAGAATGCTTCTGTCTTGATTTCATATGAAGATATTCCCGTTTCCAACGAAACCTTCAAAGCTATCCAAATATCCACTTGCAGATTCTACAAAAAGAGTGTTTCCAAAATGTTGTATCAAAAGAAAGGTTCAACTCTGTTAGTTGAGGACACACATCGCAAATAAGTTTCTGAGAATGCTTCTGTCTAGTTTTTATTTGAAGATATTTCCTTTCTCACCACAGGCCTGAAAGCGCTTAAAACGTCCGCTTGCAGATACTACAGAAAGAGTGTTTCAAACATGCTCTATGAAAGGGAATGTTCAGTTCTGTGACTTGAATGCAAACATCACAAAGAAGTTCCTGAGAATGCTTCTCTCTAGATTTTATATGTAATCCCGTTTCCAACGAAATCCTCAAAGCTATCCAAATATCCACTTTCAGATTCCACAAAAAGAGTGTTTCAAAACTGCTCTGTAAAAAGAAAGGTTCATCTCTGTTAGTTGAATACACACATCACAAACAAGTTTCTGAGAATGCTTCTGTCTAGTTTTTATGGGAAGATATTACCTTTTTCATCATAGGCCTCAAAGCGCTGCAAATGTCCACTTCCAAATATTACAAAAAGAGTGTTTCAAACCTGCTGTATGAAGGGAAGTGTTCAACTCTATGAGTTGAATGCAAACATCACAGAGAAGTTTCTGAGAATGCTTCTGTCTTGATTTTATATGAAGATATTCCCGTTTCCAACGAAACCTTCAAAGCTATTCAAATATCCACTTGCAGATTCTACAAAAAGAGTGTTTCCAAAATGTTGTATCAAAAGAAAGGTTCAACTCTGTTAGTTGAGGACACACATCGCAAATAAGTTTCTGAGAATGCTTCTGTCTAGTTTTTACTTGAAGATATTTCCTTTCTCACCATAGGCCTGAAAGCGTTTGAAATGTCCGTTTGCAGATACTACAGAAAGAGTGTTTCAAACATGCTCTATGAAAGGGAATGTTCAGTTCTGTGACGTGAATGCAAACATCACAAAGAAGTTCCTGAGAATGCTTCTCCCTAGATTTTATATGTAATCCCATTTCCAACGAAATCCTCAAAGCTATCCAAATATCCACTTTCAGATTCCACAAAAAGAGTGTTTCAAAACTGCTCTGTAAAAAGAAAGGTTCATCTCTGTTAGTTGAATACACACATCACAAACAAGTTTCTGAGAATGCTTCTGTCTAGTTTTTATGGGAAGATATTTCCTTTTTCATCATAGGCCTCAAAGCGCTGCAAATGTCCACTTCCAAATATTACAAAAAGAGTGTTTCAAACCTGCTGTATGAAGGGAAGTGTTCAACTCTATGAGTTGAATGCAAACATCACAGAGAAGTTTCTGAGAATGCTTCTGTCTTGATTTTATATGAAGATATTCCCGTTTCCAACGAAACCTTCAAAGCTATCCAAATATCCACTTGCAGATTCTACAAAAAGAGTGGTTCCAAAATGTTGTATCAAAAGAAAGGTTCAACTCTGTTAGTTGAGGACACACATCGCAAATAAGTTTCTGAGAATGCTTCTGTCTAGTTTTTATTTGAAGATATTTCCTTTCTCACCATAGGCCTGAAAGCGTTTGAAATGTCCGTTTGCAGATACTACAGAAAGAGTGTTTCAAACATGCTCTATGAAAGGGAATGTTCAGTTCTGTGACGTGAATGCAAACATAACAAAGAAGTTCCTGAGAATGCTTCTCCCTAGATTTTATATGTAATCCCGTTTCCAACGAAATCCGCAAAGCTATCCAAATATCCACTTTCAGATTCCACAAAAAGAGTGTTTCAAAACTGCTCTGTAAAAAGAAAGGTTCATCTCTGTTAGTTGAATACACACGTCACAAACAAGTTTCTGAGAACGCTTCTGTCTAGTTTTTATGGGAAGATATTACCTTTTTCATCATAGGCCTCAAAGCGCTGCAAATGTCCACTTCCAAATATTACAAAAAGAGTGTTTCAAACCTGCTGTATGAGGGGAAGTGTTCAACTCTATGAGTTGAATGCAAACATCACAGAGAAGTTTCTGAGAATGCTTCTGTCTTGATTTTATATGAAGATATTCCCGTTTCCAACGAAACCTTCAAAGCTATTCAAATATCCACTTGCAGAATCTACAAAAAGAGTGTTTCCAAAATGTTGTATCAAAAGAAAGGTTCAACTCTGTTAGTTGAGGACACACATCGCAAATAAGTTTCTGAGAATGCTTCTGTCTAGTTTTTATTTGAAGATATTCCCGTTTCCAACGAAACCTTCAAAGCTATTCAAATATCCACTTGCAGATTCTACAAAAAGAGTGTTTCCAAAATGTTGTATCAAAAGAAAGGTTCAACTCTGTTAGTTGAGGACACACATCGCAAATAAGTTTCTGAGAATGCTTCTGTCTAGTTTTTATTTGAAGATATTTCCTTCCTCACCATAGGCCTGAAAGCGTTTGAAATGTCCGTTTGCAGATACTACAGAAAGAGTGTTTCAAACATGCTCTATGAAAGGGAATGTTCAGTTTTGTGACGTGAATGCAAACATCACAAAGAAGTTCCTGAGAATGCTTCTCTCTAGATTTTATATGTAATCCCGTTTCCAACGAAATCCTCAAAGCTATCCAAATATGCACTTTCAGATTCCACAAAAAGAGTGTTTCAAAACTGCTCTGTAAAAAGAAAGGTTCATCTCTGTTAGTTGAATACACACATCACAACCAAGTTTCTGAGAATGCTTCTGTCTAGTTTTTATGGGAAGATATTTCCTTTTTCATCATAGGCCTCAAAGCGCTCCAAATGTCCACTTCCAGATAGTGCAGAAAGAGTGTCTCAAACCTGGTATATAAAAGAGAACATTCTACTCTGTGACTTGAATGAAAACATCACAAAGCAGTTTCTGAGAATGCTTCCGTCTAGATTTTCTATGAAGGTATTCCCGTTTCCAACGAAACCTTCAAAGCTATCCGAATATCCACCAGCAGATTCTACAAAAAGAGTGTTTCCAAAATGCCGTATCAAAACAAAGGTTCAACTCTGTTAGTTGAGAACACACATGTTAAATAAGTTTCTGAGAATGCTTCTGTCTAGTTTTTATTTGAAGATATTTCCTTTCTCACCATAGGCCGGAAAGCGTTTGAAATGTCCGTTTGCAGATACTACAGAAAGAGTGTTTCAAACATGCTCTATGAAAGGGAATGTTCAGTTCTGTGACGTGAATGCAAACATCACAAAGAAGTTCCTGAGAATGCTTCTCTCTAGATTTTATATGTAATCCCGTTTCCAACGAAATCCTCAAAGCTATCCAAATATCCACTTTCAGATTCCACAAAAAGAGTGTTTCAAAACTGCTCTGTAAAAAGAAAGGTTCATCTCTGTTAGTTGAATACACACATCACAAACAAGTTTCTGAGAATGCTTCTGTCTAGTTTTTATGGGAAGATATTTCCTTTTTCATCATAGGCCTCAAAGCGCTGCAAATGTCCACTTCCAGGTAGTGCAGAAAGAGGGTCTGAAACCTGGTATATAACAGGGAAGATTCTACTCTGTGACTTGAATGAAAACATCACAAAGCAGTTTCTGAGAATGCTTCCGTCAAGATTTTATATGAAGATATTCCCGTTTCCAACGAAACCTTCAAAGCTATCCGAATATCCACCTGCAGATTCTACAAAAAGAGTGTTTCCAAAATGCCGTATCAAAACAAAGGTTCAACTCTGTTAGTTGAGAACACACATGGCAAATAAGTTTCTGAGAATGCTTCTGTCTAGTTTTTACTTGAAGATATTTCCTTTCTCACCATAGGCCTGAAAGCGCTTGAAACGTCAGCTTGCAGATACTACAGAAAGAGTGTTTCAAACCTGCTCTATGAAAGGGAATGTTCAGTCCTGTGACTTGAAGGCAAACATCACAAAGAAGTTCCTGAGAATGCTTCTCTCTAGGTTTTATATGTAATCCCGTTTCCAACGAAATCCTCAAAGCTATCCAAATATCCACTTTCAGATTCCACAAAAAGAGTGTTTCAAAACTGCTCTGTAAAAAGAAAGGTTCATCTCTGTTAGTTGAATACACACATCACAAACAAGTTTCTGAGAATGCTTCTGTCTAGTTTTTATGGGAAGATATTTCGTTTTTCAACATAGGCCTCAAAGCGCTCCAAATGTCCACTTCCAGGTAGTGCAGAAAGAGTGTTTCAAACCTGCTCTATAAAAGGGAATATTAAACTCTGTGACTTGAATGCAAACATCACAAAGCACTTTCTGCGAATGCTTCCGTCTAGATTTTATATGAAGATATTCCCGTTTCCAAGGAAATCTTCCTAGCTATCTAAATATCAACTTGCAGATTCTACTAAAGGAATGTTTCCAAAATGCTGTATCCACACAAAGGTTTAACTCTGTTAATTGAGGACATACAGCACAAAGAAGTTTCTGAGAATGCTTCTGTCTAGATTTTATATGAAGATATCCCGTGTCCAACGAAATCCTCAAAGGTATCAAAATATCCACTTGCAGATTCTACAAAAAGAGTGCTTCAAAACTGCTCTGTCAAAAGGAAGGTTCAACTCTGTTACTTGAGTACACACATCACAAGGAAGTTTCTGAGAATGCTTCTGTCTGGTTTTTAGGAGAAGATATTTCCTTTTTCAACATAGGCCTCAAAGCGCTGCAAATGTCCACTTCCAAATATTACAAAAAGAGTGTTTCAAACCTGCTGTATGAAGGGAAGTGTTCAACTCTATGAGTTGAATGCAAACATCACAGAGAAGTTTCTGAGAATGCTTCTGTCTTGATTTCATATGAAGATATTCCCGTTTCCAACGAAACCTTCAAAGCTATCCAAATATCCACTTGCAGATTCTACAAAAAGAGTGTTTCCAAAATGTTGTATCAAAAGAAAGGTTCAACTCTGTTAGTTGAGGACACACATCGCAAATAAGTTTCTGAGAATGCTTCTGTCTAGTTTTTATTTGAAGATATTTCCTTTCTCACCACAGGCCTGAAAGCGCTTAAAACGTCCGCTTGCAGATACTACAGAAAGAGTGTTTCAAACCTGCTCTATGAAAGGGAATGTTCAGTTCTGTGACTTGAATGCAAACATCACAAAGAAGTTCCTGAGAATGCTTCTCCCTAGATTTTATATGTAATCCCGTTTCCAACGAAATCCGCAAAGCTATCCAAATATCCACTTTCAGATTCCACAAAAAGAGTGTTTCAAAACTGCTCTGTAAAAAGAAAGGTTCATCTCTGTTAGTTGAATACACACATCACAAACAAGTTTCTGAGAATGCTTCTGTCTAGTTTTTATGGGAAGATATTACCTTTTTCATCATAGGCCTCAAAGCGCTGCAAATGTCCACTTCCAAATATTACAAAAAGAGTGTTTCAAACCTGCTGTATGAAGGGAAGTGTTCAACTCTATGAGTTGAATGCAAACATCACAGAGAAGTTTCTGAGAATGCTTCTGTCTTGATTTTATTTGAAGATATTCCCGTTTCCAACGAAACCTTCAAAGCTATTCAAATATCCACTTGCAGATTCTACAAAAAGAATGTTTCCAAAATGTTGTATCAAAACAAAGGTTCAACTCTGTTAGTTGAGGACACACATCGCAAATAAGTTTCTGAGAATGCTTCTGTCTAGTTTTTACTTGAAGATATTTCCTTTCTCACCATAGGCCTGAAAGCGTTTGAAATGTCCGTTTGCAGATACTACAGAAAGAGTGTTTCAAACATGCTCTATGAAAGGGAATGTTCAGTTCTGTGACGTGAATGCAAACATCACAAAGAAGTTCCTGAGAGTGCTTCTCTCTAGATTTTATATGTAATCCCGTTTCCAACGAAATCCTCAAAGCTATCCAAATATCCACTTTCAGATTCCACAAAAAGAGTGTTTCAAAACTGCTCTGTAAAAAGAAAGGTTCATCTCTGTTAGTTGAATACACACATCACAAACAAGTTTCTGAGAATGCTTCTGTCTAGTTTTTATGGGAAGATATTTCCTTTTTCATCATAGGCCTCAAAGCGCTGCAAATGTCCACTTCCAGGTAGTGCAGAAAGAGTGTCTCAAACCTGGTATATAACAGGGAACATTCTACTCTGTGACTTGAATGAAAACATCACAAAGCAGTTTCTGAGAATGCTTCCGTCTAGATTTTATATGAAGATATTCCCGTTTCCAACGAAACCTTCAAAGCTATCCGAATATCCACCTGCAGATTCTACAAAAAGAGTGTTTCCAAAATGCCATATCAAAACAAAGGTTCAACTCTGTTAGTTGAGAACACACATCGCAAATAAGTTTCTGAGAATGCTTTCTGTCTAGTTTTTATTTGAAGATATTTCCCTTTTCACCACAGGCCTGAAAGCGCTTGAAACGTCCGCTTGCAGATACTACAGAAAGAGTGTTTCAAAGCTGCTCAATGAAAGGGAATGTTCAGTTCTTTGACTTGAATGCAAACATCACAAAGAAGTTCCTGAGAATGCTTCTCTCTAGGTTTTATATGTAATCCCGTTTCCAACGAAATCCTCAAAGCTATCCAAATATCCACTTTCAGATTCCACAAAAAGAGTGTTTCAAAACTGCTCTGTAAAAAGAAAGGTTCATCTCTGTTAGTTGAATACACACATCACAAACAAGTTTCTGAGAATGCTTCTGTCTAGTTTTTATGGGAAGATATTTCCTTTTTCAACATAGGCCTCAAAGCGCTCCAAACGTCCACTTCCAGGTAGTGCAGAAAGAGTGTCTCAAACCTGGTATATAACAGGGAACATTCTACTCTGTGACTTGAATGAAAACATCACAAAGCAGTTTCTGAGAATGCTTCCGTCTAGATTTTATATGAAGATATTCCCGTTTCCAACGAAACCTTCAAAGCTATCCGAATATCCACCTGCAGATTCTACAAAAAGAGTGTTTCCAAAATGCCATATCAAAACAAAGGTTCAACTCTGTTAGTTGAGAACACACATCGCAAATAAGTTTCTGAGAATGCTTCTGTCTAGTTTTTACTTGAAGATATTTCTTTTCTCACCATAGGCCTGAAAGCGCTTGAAACGTCAGCTTGCAGACACTACAGAAAGAGTGTTTCAAACCTGCTCTATGAAAGGGAATGTTCAGTTCTGTGACTTGAATGCAAACATCACAAAGAAGTTCCTGAGAATGCTTCTCTCTAGGTTTTATATGTAATCCCGTTTCCAACGAAATCCTCAAAGCTATCCAAATATCCACTTTCAGATTCCACAAAAAGAGTGTTTCAAAACTGCTCTGTAAAAAGAAAGGTTCATCTCTGTTAGTTGAATACACACATCACAAACAAGTTTCTGAGAATGCTTCTGTCTAGTTTTTATGGGAAGATATTTCCTTTTTCAACATAGGCCTCAAAGCGCTCCAAACGTCCACTTCCAGGTAGTGCAGAAAGAGTGTCTCAAACCTGGTATATAACAGGGAACATTCTACTCTGTGACTTGAATGAAAACATCACAAAGCAGTTTCTGAGAATGCTTCCGTCTAGTATTTTATATGAAGATATTCCCGTTTCCAACGAAACCTTCAAAGCTATCCGAATATCCACCTGCAGATTCTACAAAAAGAGTGTTTCCAAAATGCCGTATCAAAACATAGGTTCAACTCTGTTAGTTGAGAACACACATGGCAAATTAGTTTCTGAGAATGCTTCTGTCTAGTTTTTACATGAAGATATTTCCTTCCGCACCATAGGCCTGAAAGCGCTTGAAACGTCCGCTTGCAGATACTACAGAAAGAGTGTTTCAAACATGCTCTATGAAAGGGAATGTTCAGTTCTGTGACTGGAATGCAAACATCACAAAGAAGTTCCCTGAGAATGCTTCTCTCTAGATTTTATATGTAATCCCGTTTCCAACGAAATCCTCAAAGCTATCCAAATATCCACTTTCAGATTCCACAAAAAGAGTGTTTCCAAACTGCTCTGTAAAAAGAAAGGTTCATCTCTGTTAGTTGAATACACACATCACAAACAAGTTTCTGAGAATGCTTCTGTCTAGTTTTTATGGGAAGATATTTCCTTTTTCAACATAGGCCTCAAAGCGCTCCAAATGTCCACTTCCAGGTAGTGCAGAAAGAGTGTTTCAAACCTGCTCTATAAAAGGGAATATTCAACTCTGTGACTTGAATGCAAACATCACAAAGCACTTTCTGAGAATGCTTCCGTCTAGATTTTATATGAAGATATTCCCGTTTCCAAGGAAATCTTCCTAGCTATCTAAATATCAACTTGCAGATTCTACTAAAGGAATGTTTCCAAAATGCTGTATCCACACAAAGGTTCAACTCTGTAAATTGAGGACATACAGCACAAAGAAGTTTCTGAGAATGCTTCTGTCTAGATTTTATATGAAGATATCCCGTGTCCAACGAAATCCTCAAAGGTATCAAAATATCCACTTGCAGATTCTACAAAAAGAGTGCTTCAAAACTGCTCTGTCAAAAGGAAGGTTCAACTCTGTTACTTGAGTACACACATCACAAGGAAGTTTCTGAGAATGCTTCTGTCTGGTTTTTAGGAGAAGATATTTCCTTTTTCAACATAGGCCTCAAAGCGCTGCAAATGTCCACTTCCAAATATTAGAAAAAGAGTGTTTCAAACCTGCTGTATGAAGGGAAGTGTTCAACTCTATGAGTTGAATGCAAACATCACAGAGAAGTTTCTGAGAATGCTTCTGTCTTGATTTCATATGAAGATATTCCCGTTTCCAACGAAACCTTCAAAGTTATCCAAATATCCACTTGCAGATTCTACAAAAAGAGTGTTTCCAAAATGTTGTATCAAAAGAAAGGTTCAACTCTGTTAGTTGAGGACACACATCGCAAATAAGTTTCTGAGAATGCTTCTGTCTAGTTTTTATTTGAAGATATTTCCTTTCTCACCACAGGCCTGAAAGCGCTTAAAACGTCCGCTTGCAGATACTACAGAAAGAGTGTTTCAAACCTGCTCTATGAAAGGGAATGTTCAGTTCTGTGACTTGAATGCAAACATCACAAAGAAGTTCCTGAGAATGCTTCTCCCTAGATTTTATATGTAATCCCGTTTCCAACGAAATCTGCAAAGCTATCCAAATATCCACTTTCAGATTCCACAAAAAGAGTGTTTCAAAACTGCTCTGTAAAAAGAAAGGTTCATCTCTGTTAGTTGAATACACACATCACAAACAAGTTTCTGAGAATGCTTCTGTCTAGTTTTTATGGGAAGATATTACCTTTTTCATCATAGGCCTCAAAGCGCTGCAAATGTCCACTTCCAAATATTACAAAAAGAGTGTTTCAAACCTGCTGTATGAAGGGAAGTGTTCAACTCTATGAGTTGAATGCAAACATCACAGAGAAATTTCTGAGAATGCTTCTGTCTTGATTTTATATGAAGATATTCCCGTTTCCAACGAAACCTTCAAAGCTATTCAAATATCCACTTGCTGATTCTACAAAAAGAGTGTTTCCAAAATGTTGTATCAAAAGAAAGGTTCAACTCTGTTAGTTGAGGACACACATCGCAAATAAGTTTCTGAGAATGCTTCTGTCTAGTTTTTACTTGAAGATATTTCCTTTCTCACCATAGGCCTGAAAGCGTTTGAAATGTCCGTTTGCAGATACTACAGAAAGAGTGTTTCAAACATGCTCTATGAAAGGGAATGTTCAGTTCTGTGACGTGAATGCAAACATCACAAAGAAGTTCCTGAGAATGCTTCTCCCTAGATTTTATATGTAATCCCGTTTCCAACGAAATCCGCAAAGCTATCCAAATATCCACTTTCAAATTCCACAAAAAGAGTGTTTCAAAACTGCTCTGTAAAAAGAAAGGTTCATCTGCTGTTAGTTGAATACACACATCACAAACAAGTTTCTGAGAATGCTTCTGTCTAGTTTTTATGGGAAGATATTACCTTTTTCATCATAGGCATCAAAGCGCTGCAAATGTCCACTTCCAAATATTACAAAAAGAGTGTTTCAAGCCTGCTGTATGAAGGGAAGTGTTCAACTCTATGAGTTGAATGCAAACATCACAGAGAAGTTTCTGAGAATGCTTCTGTCTTGATTTTATATGAAGATATTCCCGTTTCCAACGAAACCTTCAAAGCTATTCAAATATCCACTTGCAGATTCTACAAAAAGAGTGTTTCCAAAATGTTGTATCAAAAGAAAGGTTCAACTCTGTTAGTTGAGGACACACATCGCAAATAAGTTTCTGAGAATGCTTCTGTCTAGTTTTTATTTGAAGATATTTCCTTTCTCACCATAGGCCTGAAAGCGTTTGAAATGTCCGTTTGCAGATACTACAGAAAGAGTGTTTCAAACATGCTCTATGAAAGGGAATGTTCAGTTCTGTGACGTGAATGCAAACATCACAAAGAAGTTCCTGAGAATGCTTCTCTCTAGATTTTATATGTAATCCCGTTTCCAACGAAATCCTCAAAGCTATCCAAATATCCACTTTCAGATTCCACAAAAAGAGTGTTTCAAAACTGCTCTGTAAAAAGAAAGGTTCATCTCTGTTAGTTGAATACACACATCACAAACAAGTTTCTGAGAATGCTTCTGTCTGGTTTTTAGGAGAAGATATTTCCTTTTTCAACATAGGCCTCAAAGCGCTGCAAATGTCCACTTCCAAATATTACAAAAAGAGTGTTTCAAACCTGCTGTATGAAGGGAAGTGTTCAACTCTATGAGTTGAATGCAAACATCACAGAGAAGTTTCTGAGAATGCTTCTGTCTTGATTTTATATGAAGATATTCCCGTTTCCAACGAAATCTTCAAAGCTATCCAAATATCCACATGCAGATTCTACAAAAAGAGTGTTTCCAAAATGTTGTATCAAAATAAAGGTTCAACTCTGTTAGTTGAGGACACACATCGCAAATAAGTTTCTGAGAATGCTTCTGTCTAGTTTTTATTTGAAGATATTTCCTTTCTCACCACAGGCCTGAAAGCGCTTAAAACGTCCGCTTGCAGATACTACAGAAAGAGTGTTTCAAACCTGCTCTATGAAAGGGAATGTTCAGTTCTGTGACTTGAATGCAAACATCACAAAGAAGTTCCTGAGAATGCTTCTCCCTAGATTTTATATGTAATCCCGTTTCCAACGAAATCCGCAAAGCTATCCAAATATCCACTTTCAGATTCCACAAAAAGAGTGTTTCAAAACTGCTCTGTAAAAAGAAAGGTTCATCTCTGTTAGTTGAATACACACATCACAAACAAGTTTCTGAGAATGCTTCCTGTCTAGTTTTTATGGGAAGATATTTCCTTTTTCATCATAGGCCTCAAAGCGCTGCAAATGTCCACTTCCAAATATTACAAAAAGAGTGTTTCAAACCTGCTGTATGAAGGGAAGTGTTCAACTCTATGAGTTGAATGCAAACATCACAGAGAAGTTTCTGAGAATGCTTCTGTCTTGATTTCATATGAAGATATTCCCGTTTCCAACGAAACCTTCAAAGCTATCCAAATATCCACTTGCAGATTCTACAAAAAGAGTGTTTCCAAAATGTTGTATCAAAAGAAAGGTTCAACTCTGTTAGTTGAGGACACACATCGCAAATACTTTTCTGAGAATGCTTCTGTCTAGTTTTTATTTGAAGATATTTCCTTTCTCACCACAGGCCTGAAAGCGCTTAAAACGTCCGCTTGCAGATACTACAGAAAGAGTGTTTCAAACCTGCTCTATGAAAGGGAATGTTCAGTTCTGTGACTTGAATGCAAACATCACAAAGAAGTTCCTGAGAATGCTTCTCCCTAGATTTTATATGTAATCCCGTTTCCAACGAAATCCGCAAAGCTATCCAAATATCCACTTTCAGATTCCACAAAAAGAGTGTTTCAAAACTGCTCTGTAAAAAGAAAGGTTCATCTCTGTTAGTTGAATACACACATCACAAACAAGTTTCTGAGAATGCTTCTGTCTAGTTTTTATGGGAAGATATTTCCATTTTCATCATAGGCCTCAAAGCGCTGCAAATGTCCACTTCCAAATATTACAAAAAGAGTGTTTCAAACCTGCTGTATGAAGGGAAGTGTTCAACTCTATGAGTTGAATGCAAACATCACAGAGAAGTTTCTGAGAATGCTTCTGTCTTGATTTTATATGAAGATATTCCCCTTTCCAACGAAACCTTCAAAGCTATTCAAATATCCACTTGCAGATTCTACAAAAAGAGTGGTTCCAAAATGTTGAATCAAAAGAAAGGTTCAACTCTGATAGTTGAGGACACACATCGCAAATAAGTTTCTGAGAATGCTTCTGTCTAGTTTTTATTTGAAGATATTTCCTTTCTCACCATAGGCCTGAAAGCGTTTGAAATGTCCGTTTGCAGATACTACAGAAAGAGTGTTTCAAACATGCTCTATGAAAGGGAATGTTCAGCTCTGTGACGTGAATGCAAACATCACAAAGAAGTTCCTGAGAATGCTTCTCTCTAGATTTTATATGTAATCCCGTTTCCAACGAAATCCTCAAAGCTATCCAAATATCCACTTTCAGATTCCACAAAAAGAGTGTTTCAAAACTGCTCTGTAAAAAGAAAGGTTCATCTCTGTTAGTTGAATACACACATCACAAACAAGTTTCTGAGAATGCTTCTGTCTAGTTTTTATGGGAAGATATTTCCTTTTTCAACATAGGCCTCAAAGCGCTCCAAATGTCCACTTCCAGGTAGTGCAGAAAGAGTGTTTCAAACCTACTCTATAAAAGGGAATATTCAACTCTGTGACTTGAATGCAAACATCACAAAGCACTTTCTGAGAATGCTTCTGTCTTGATTTTATATGAAGATATTCCCGTTTCCAACGAAACCTTCAAAGCTATCCAAATATCCACTTGCAGATTCTACAAAAAGAGTGTTTCCAAAATGCTGTATCCAAACAAAGGTTCAACTCTTTTAGTTGAGAACGGACATCGCTAATAAGTTTCTGAGAATGCTTCTGTCTAGTTTTTATTTCAAGATATTTCCTTTTTCACCACAGGCCTGAAAGCGCTTCAAACGTCCACTTGCAGATACTACAGAAAGAGTGTTTCAAACCTGCTCTATGAAAGGGAATGTTCAGTTCTGTGACTTGAATGCAAACATCACAAAGAAGTTCCTGAGAATGCTTCTCCCTAGATTTTATATGTAATCCCGTTTCCAACGAAATCCGCAAAGCTATCCAAATATCCACTTTCAGATTCCACAAAAAGAGTGTTTCAAAACTGCTCTGTAAAAAGAAAGGTTCATCTCTGTTAGTTGAATACACACATCACAAACAAGTTTCTGAGAATGCTTCTGTCTAGTTTTTATGGGAAGATATTTCCTTTTTCATCATAGGCCTCAAAGCGCTGCAAATGTCCACTTCCAAATATTACAAAAAGAGTGTTTCAAACCTGCTGTATGAAGGGAATTGTTCAACTCTATCAGTTGAATGCAAACATCACAGAGAAGTTTCTGAGAATGCTTCTGTCTTGATTTTATATGAAGATATTCCCGTTTCCAACGAAACCTTCAAAGCTATTCAAATATCCACTTGCAGATTCTACAAAAAGAGTGTTTCCAAAATGTTATATCAAAAGAAAGGTTCAACTCTGTTAGTTGAAGACACACATCGCAAA
Source organism: Homo sapiens (assembly GCF_000001405.40). Lineage (NCBI taxonomy): Eukaryota > Metazoa > Chordata > Mammalia > Primates > Hominidae > Homo > Homo sapiens. Next base: position 44,101,847 of record NC_000009.12, on the reverse strand, counting down.
TAAGTTTCTGAGAATGCTTCTGTCTAGTTTTTATTTGAAGATATTTCCTTTCTCACCATAGGCCTGAAAGCGTTTGAAATGTCCGTTTGCAGATACTACAGAAAGAGTGTTTCAAACATGCTCTATGAAAGGGAATGTTCAGTTCTGTGACGTGAATGCAAACATCACAAAGAAGTTCCTGAGAATGCTTCTCTCTAGATTTTATATTTAATCCCGTTTCCAACGAAATCCTCAAAGCTATCCAAATATCCACTTTCAGATTCCACAAAAAGAGTGTTTCAAAACTGCTCTGTAAAAAGAAAGGTTCATCTCTGTTAGTTGAATACACACATCACAAAGAAGTTTCTGAGAATGCTTCTGTCTAGTTTTTATGGGAAGATATTTCCTTTTTCATCATAGGCCTCAAAGCGCTGCAAATGTCCACTTCCAGGTAGTGCAGAAAGAGTGTCTCAAACCTGGTATATAACAGGGAACATTCTACTCTGTGACTTGAATGAAAACATCACAAAGCAGTTTCTGAGAATGCTTCCGTCTAGATTTTATATGAAGATATTCCCGTTTCCAACGAAACCTTCAAAGCTATCCGAATATCCACCTGCAGATTCTACAAAAAGAGTGTTTCCAAAATGCCGTATCAAAACAAAGGTTCAACTCTGTTAGTTGAGAACACACATCGCAAATAAGTTTCTGAGAATGCTTCTGTCTAGTTTTTACTTGAAGATATTTCCTTTCTCACCATAGGCCTGAAAGCGCTTGAAACGTCAGCTTGCAGATACTACAGAAAGAGTGTTTCAAACCTGCTCTATGAAAGGGAACGTTCAGTTCTGTGACTTGAATGCAAACATCACAAAGAAGTTCCTGAGAATGCTTCTCTCTAGGTTTTATATGTAATCCCGTTTCCAACGAAATCCTCAAAGCTATCCAAATATCCACTTTCAGATTCCACAAAAAGAGTGTTTCAAAACTGCTGTGTAAAAAGAAAGGTTCATCTCTGTTAGTTGAATACACACATCACAAACAAGTTTCTGAGAATGCTTCTGTCTAGTTTTTATGGGAAGATATTTCCTTTTTCAACATAGGCCTCAAAGCGCTCCAAATGTCCACTTCCAGGTAGTGCAGAAAGAGTGTTTCAAACCTGCTCTATAAAAGGGAATATTCAACTCTGTGACTTGAATGCAAACATCACAAAGCACTTTCTGAGAATGCTTCCGTCTAGATTTTATATGAAGATATTCCCGTTTCCAAGGAAATCTTCCTAGCTATCTAAATATCAACTTGCATATCCTACTAAAGGAGTGTTTCCAAAATGCTGTATCCACACAAAGGTTCAACTCTGTTAATTGAGGACATACAGCACAAAGAAGTTTCTGAGAATGCCTCTGTCTAGATTTTATATGAAGATATCCCGTTTCCAAAGAAATCCTCAAAGGTGTCCAAATATCTACTTCCAGATTCTACAAAAAGACTGTTTCAAAACGGCTCTGTCAAAAGTAAGGTTCAACTCTGTTACTTGAGTACACACATCACAAGGAAGTTTCTGAGAATGCTTCTGTCTGGTTTTTAGGAGAAGATATTTCGTTTTTCAACATAGGCCTCAAAGCGCTGCAAATGTCCACTTCCAAATATTACAAAAAGAGTGTTTCAAACCTGCTCTATGAAGGGAAGTGTTCACCTCTATGAGTTGAATGCAAACATCACAGAGAAGTTTCTGAGAATGCTTCTGTCTTGATTTTATATGAAGATATTCCCGTTTCCAACGAAACCTTCAAAGCTATCCAAATATCCACTTGCAGATTCTACTAAAAGAGTGTTTCCAAAATGTTGTATCAAAACAAAGGTTCAACTCTGTTAGTTGAGGACACACATCGCAAATAAGTTTCTGAGAATGCTTCTGTCTAGTTTTTATTTGAAGAAATTTCCTTTCTTACCATAGGCCTGAAAGCGCTTGAAATGTCCGTTTGCAGATACTACAGAAAGAGTGTTTCAAACATGCTCTATGAAAGGGAATGTTCAGTTCTGTGACGTGAATGCAAACATCACAAAGAAGTTCCTGAGAATGCTTCTCTCTAGATTTTATATGTAATCCCGTTTCCAACGAAATCCTCAAAGCTGTCCAAATATCCACTTTCAGATTCCACAAAAAGAGTGTTTCAAATCTGCTCTGTAAAAAGAAAGGTTCATCTCTGTTAGTTGAATACACACATCACAAACAAGTTTCTGAGAATGCTTCTGTCTAGTTTTTATGGGAAGATATTTCCTTTTTCATCATAGGCCTCAAAGCGCTCCAAATGTCCACTTCCAGATAGTGCAGAAAGAGTGTCTCAAACCTGGTATATAAAAGGGAACATTCTACTCTGTGACTTGAATGAAAACATCACAAAGCAGTTTCTGAGAATGCTTCTGTCTTGATTTCATATGAAGATATTCCCGTTTCCAACGAAACCTTCAAAGCTATCCAAATATCCACTTGCAGATTCTACAAAAAGAGTGTTTCCAAAATGTTGTATCAATAGAAAGGTTCAACGCTGTTAGTTGAGGACACACATCGCAAATAAGTTTCTGAGAATGCTTCTGTCTAGTTTTTATTTGAAGATATTTCCTTTCTCACCACAGGCCTGAAAGCGCTTAAAACGTCCGCTTGCAGATACTACAGAAAGAGTGTTTCAAACCTGCTCTATGAAAGGGAATGTTCAGTTCTGTGACTTGAATGCAAACATCACAAAGAAGTTCCTGAGAATGCTTCTCCCTAGATTTTATATGTAATCCCGTTTCCAACGAAATCCGCAAAGCTATCCAAATATCCACTTTCAGATTCCACAAAAAGAGTGTTTCAAAACTGCTCTGTAAAAAGAAAGGTTCATCTCTGTTAGTTGAATACACACATCACAAACAAGTTTCTGAGAATGCTTCTGTCTAGTTTTTATGGGAAGATATTACCTTTTTCATCATAGGCCTCAAAGCGCTGCAAATGTCCACTTCCAAATATTACAAAAAGAGTGTTTCAAACCTGCTGTATGAAGGGAAGTGTTCAACTCTATGAGTTGAATGCAAACATCACAGAGAAGTTTCTGAGAATGCTTCTGTCTTGATTTTATATGAAGATATTCCCGTTTCCAACGAAACCTTCAAAGCTATTCAAATATCCACTTGCAGATTCTACAAAAAGAGTGTTTCCAAAATGTTGTATCAAAAGAAAGGTTCAACTCTGTTAGTTGAGGACACACATCACAAATAAGTTTCTGAGAATGCTTCTGTCTAGTTTTTACTTGAAGATATTTCCTTTCTCACCATAGGCCTGAAAGCGTTTGAAATGTCCGTTTGCAGATACTACAGAAAGAGTGTTTCAAACATGCTCTATGAAAGGGAATGTTCAGTTCTGTGACGTGAATGCAAACATCACAAAGAAGTTCCTGAGAATGCTTCTCTCTAGATTTTATATGTAATCCCGTTTCCAACGAAATCCTCAAAGCCATCCAAATATCCACTTTCAGATTCCACAAAAAGAGTGTTTCAAAACTGCTCTGTAAAAAGAAAGGTTCATCTCTGTTAGTTGAATACACACATCACAAACAAGTTTCTGAGAATGCTTCTGTCTAGTTTTTATGGGAAGATATTTCCTTTTTCAACATAGGCCTCAAAGCGCTCCAAACGTCCACTTCCGGGTAGTGCAGAAAGAGTGTCTCAAACCTGGTATATAACAGGGAACATTCTACTCTGTGACTTGAATGAAAACATCACAAAGCAGTTTCTGAGAATGCTTCCGTCTAGATTTTATATGAAGATATTCCCGTTTCCAAGGAAATCTTCCTAGCTATCTAAATATCAACTTGCATATCCTACTAAAGGGGTGTTTCCAAAATGCTGTATCCACACAAAGGTTCAACTCTGTTAATTGAGGACATACAGCACAAAGAAGTTTCTGAGAATGCTTCTGTCTAGATTTTATATGAAGATATCCCGTTTCCAAAGAAATCCTCAAAGGTGTCCAAATATCTACTTCCAGATTCTACAAAAAGACTGTTTCAAAACGGCTCTGTCAAAAGGAAGGTTCAACTGTGTTACTTGAGTACACACATCACAAGGAAGTTTCTGAGAATGCTTCTGTCTGGTTTTTAGGAGAAGATATTTCCTTTTTCAACATAGGCCTCAAAGCGCTGCAAATGTCCACTTCCAAATATTACAAAAAGAGTGTTTCAAACCTGCTCTATGAAGGGAAGTGTTCACCTCTATGAGTTGAATGCAAACATCACAGAGAAGTTTCTGAGAATGCTTCTGTCTTGATTTTATATGAAGATATTCCCGTTTCCAACGAAACCTTCAAAGCTATCCAAATATTCACTTGCAGATTCTACTAAAAGAGTGTTTCCAAAATGTTGTATCAAAACAAAGGTTCAACTCTGTTAGTTGAGGACACACATCGCAAATAAGTTTCTGAGAATGCTTCTGTCTAGTTTTTATTTGAAGATATTTCCTTTCTTACCATAGGCCTGAAAGCGCTTGAAATGTCCGTTTGCAGATACTACAGAAAGAGTGTTTCAAACATGCTCTATGAAAGGGAATGTTCAGTTCTGTGACGTGAATGCAAACATCACAAAGAAGTTCCTGAGAATGCTTCTCTCTAGATTTTATATGTAATCCCGTTTCCAACGAAATCCTCAAAGCTATCCAAATATGCACTTTCAGATTCTACAAAAAGAGTGTTTCAAAACTGCTCTGTAAAAAGAAAGGTTCATCTCTGTTAGTTGAATACACACATCACAACCAAGTTTCTGAGAATGCTTCTGTCTAGTTTTTATGGGAAGATATTTCCTTTTTCATCATAGGCCTCAAAGCGCTCCAAATGTCCACTTCCAGATAGTGCAGAAAGAGTGTCTCAAACCTGGTATATAAAAGGGAACATTCTACTCTGTGACTTGAATGAAAACATCACAAAGCAGTTTCTGAGAATGCTCCGTCTAGATTTTATATGAAGTTATTCCCGTTTCCAACGAAACCTTCAAAGCTATCCGAATATCCACCTGCAGATTCTACAAAAAGAGTGTTTCCAAAATGCCGTATCAAAACAAAGGTTCAACTCTGTTAGTTGAGAACACACATGGCAAATAAGTTTCTGAGAATGCTTTCTGTCTAGTTTTTACTTGAAGATATTTCCTTTCTCACCATAGGCCTGAAAGGGCTTGAAACGTCAGCCTGCAGATACTACAGAAAGAGTGTTTCAAACCTGCTCTATGAAAGGGAATGTTCAGTCCTGTGACTTGAAGGCAAACATCACAAAGAAGTTCCTGAGAATGCTTCTCTCTAGGTTTTATATGTAATCCCGTTTCCAACGAAATCCTCAAAGCTATCCAAATATCCACTTTCAGATTCCACAAAAAGAGTGTTTCAAAACTGCTCTGTAAAAAGAAAGGTTCATCTCTGTTAGTTGAATACACACATCACAAACAAGTTTCTGAGAATGCTTCTGTCTAGTTTTTATGGGAAGATATTTCCTTTTTCAACATAGGCCTCAAAGCGCTCCAAACGTCCACTTCCAGGTAGTGCAGAAAGAGTGTCTCAAAGCTGGTATATAACAGGGAACATTCTACTCTGTGACTTGAATGAAAACATCACAAAGCAGTTTCTGAGAATGCTTCCGTCTAGATTTTATATGAAGATATTCCCGTTTCCAACGAAACCTTCAAAGCTATCCGAATATCCACCTGCAGATTCTACAAAAAGACTGTTTCCAAAATGCCGTATCAAAACAAAGGTTCAACTCTGTTAGTTGAGAACACACATGGCAAATAAGTTTCTGAGAATGCTTCTGTCTAGTTTTTACTTGAAGATATTTCCTTTCTCACCATAGGCCTGAAAGCGCATGAAACGTCAGCTTGCAGATACTACAGAAAGAGTGTTTCAAACCTGCTCTATGAAAGGGAATGTTCAGTCCTGTGACTTGAAGGCAAACATCACAAAGAAGTTCCTGAGAATGCTTCTCTCTAGGTTTTATATGTAATCCCGTTTCCAACGAAATCCTCAAAGCTATCCAAATATCCACTTTCAGATTCCACAAAAAGAGTGTTTCAAAACTGCTCTGTAAAAAGAAAGGTTCATCTCTGTTAGTTGAATACACACATCACAAACAAGTTTCTGAGAATGCTTCTGTCTAGTTTTTATGGGAAGATATTTCCTTTTTCAACATAGGCCTCAAAGCGCTCCAAATGTCCACTTCCAGGTAGTGCAGAAAGAGTGTTTCAAACCTGCTCTATAAAAGGGAATATTCAACTCTGTGACTTGAATGCAAACATCACAAAGCACTTTCTGAGAATGCTTCCGTCTAGATTTTATATGAAGATATTCCCGTTTCCAACGAAACCTTCAAAGCTATCCGAATATCCACCTGCAGATTCTACAAAAAGAGTGTTTCCAAAATGCCGTATCAAAACAAAGGTTCAACTCTGTTAGTTGAGAACACACATGACAAATAAGTTTCTGAGAATGCTTCTGTCTAGTTTTTACTTGAAGATATTTCCTTTCTTACCATAGGCCTGAAAGCGCATGAAACGTCAGCTTGCAGATAGTACAGAAAGAGTGTTTCAAACCTGCTCTATGAAAGGGAATGTTCAGTCCTGTGACTTGAAGGCAAACATCACAAAGAAGTTCCTGAGAATGCTTCTCTCTAGGTTTTATATGTAATCCCGTTTCCAACGAAATCCTCAAAGCTATCCAAATATCCACTTTCAGATTCCACAAAAAGAGTGTTTCAAAACTGCTCTGTAAAAAGAAAGGTTCATCTCTGTTAGTTGAATACACACATCACAAACAAGTTTCTGAGAATGCTTCTGTCTAGTTTTTATGGGAACATATTTCCTTTTTCAACATAGGCCTCAAAGCGCTCCAAATGTCCACTTCCAGGTAGTGCAGAAAGAGTGTTTCAAACCTGCTCTATAAAAGGGAATATTCAACTCTGTGACTTGAATGCAAACATCACAAAGCACTTTCTGAGAATGCTTCCGTCTAGATTTTATATGAAGATATTCCCGTTTCCAAGGAAATCTTCCTAGCTATCTAAATATCAACTTGCAGATTCTACTAAAGGAATGTTTCCAAAATGCTGTATCCACACAAAGGTTCAACTCTGTTAATTGAGGACATACAGCACAAAGAAGTTTCTGAGAATGCTTCTGTCTAGATTTTATATGAAGATATCCCGTGTCCAACGAAATCCTCAAAGGTATCAAAATATCCACTTGCAGATTCTACAAAAAGAGTGCTTCAAAACTGCTCTGTCAAAAGGAAGGTTCAACTCTGTTACTTGAGTACACACATCACAAGGAAGTTTCTGAGAATGCTTCTGTCTGGTTTTTAGGAGAAGATATTTCCTTTTTCAACATAGGCCTCAAAGCGCTGCAAATGTCCACTTCCAAATATTAGAAAAAGAGTGTTTCAAACCTGCTGTATGAAGGGAAGTGTTCAACTCTATGAGTTGAATGCAAACATCACAGAGAAGTTTCTGAGAATGCTTCTGTCTTGATTTCATATGAAGATATTCCCGTTTCCAACGAAACCTTCAAAGCTATCCAAATATTCACTTGCAGATTCTACAAAAAGAGTGTTTCCAAAATGTTGTATCAAAAGAAAGGTTCAACTCTGTTAGTTGAGGACACATATCGCAAATAAGTTTCTGAGAATGCTTCTGTCTAGTTTTTATTTGAAGATATTTCCTTTCTCACCACAGGCCTGAAAGCGCTTAAAACGTCCGCTTGCAGATACTACAGAAAGAGTGTTTCAAACCTGCTCTATGAAAGGGAATGTTCAGTTCTGTGACTTGAATGCAAACATCACAAAGAAGTTCCTGAGAATGCTTCTCCCTAGATTTTATATGTAATCCCGTTTCCAACGAAATCCGCAAAGCTATCCAAATATCCACTTTCAGATTCCACAAAAAGAGTGTTTCAAAACTGCTCTGTAAAAAGAAAGGTTCATCTCTGTTAGTTGAATACACACATCACAAACAAGTTTCTGAGAATGCTTCTGTCTAGTTTTTATGGGAAGATATTTCCTTTTTCATCATAGGCCTCAAAGCGCTGCAAATGTCCACTTCCAAATATTACAAAAAGAGTGTTTCAAACCTGCTGTATGAAGGGAAGTGTTCAACTCTATGAGTTGAATGCAAACATCACAGAGAAGTTTCTGAGAATGCTTCTGTCTTGATTTTATATGAAGATATTCCCGTTTCCAACGAAACCTTCAAAGCTATCCAAATATCCACTTGCAGATTCTACAAAAAGAGTGTTTCCAAAATGTTGTATCAAAAGAAAGGTTCAACTCTGTTAGTTGAGGACACACATCGCAAATAAGTTTCTGAGAATGCTTCTGTCTAGTTTTTATTTGAAGATATTTCCTTTCTCACCATAGGCCTGAAAGCGTTTGAAATGTCCGTTTGCAGATACTACAGAAAGAGTGTTTCAAACATGCTCTATGAAAGGGAATGTTCAGTTCTGTGACGTGAATGCAAACATCACAAAGAAGTTCCTGAGAATGCTTCTCTCTAGGTTTTATATGTAATCCCGTTTCCAACGAAATCCTCAAAGCTATCCAAATATCCACTTTCAGATTCCACAAAAAGAGTGTTTCAAAACTGCTCTGTAAAAAGAAAGGTTCATCTCTGTTAGTTGAATACACACATCACAAACAAGTTTCTGAGAATGCTTCTGTCTAGTTTTTATGGGAAGATATTTCCTTTTTCAACATAGGCCTCAAAGCGCTCCAAATGTCCACTTCCAGGTAGTGCAGAAAGAGTGTTTCAAACCTGCTCTATAAAAGGGAATATTCAACTCTGTGACTTGAATGCAAACATCACAAAGCACTTTCTGCGAATGCTTCCGTCTAGATTTTATATGAAGATATTCCCGTTTCCAAGGAAATCTTCCTAGCTATCTAAATATCAACTTGCAGATTCTACTAAAGGAATGTTTCCAAAATGCTGTATCCACACAAAGGTTCAACTCTGTTAATTGAGGACATACAGCACAAAGAAGTTTCTGAGAATCCTTCTGTCTAGTTTTTACTTGAAGTATATTTCCTTTCTCACCATAGGCCTGAAAGCGCTTGAAACGTCAGCTTGCAGATACTACAGAAAGAGTGTTTCAAACCTGCTCTATGAAAGGGAATGTTCAGTTCTGTGACTTGAATGCAAACATCACAAAGAAGTTCCTGAGAATGCTTCTCTCCAGATTTTCTATGTAATCCCGTTTCCAACGAAATCCTCAAAGCTCTCCAAATATCCACTTTCAGATTCCACAAAAAGAGTGTTTCAAAACTGCTCTGTAAAAAGAAAGGTTCATCTCTGTTAGTTGAATACACACATCACAAACAAGTTTCTGAGAATGCATCTGTCTAGTTTTTATGGGAAGATATTTCCTTTTTCATCATAGGCCTCAAAGCGCTACAAATGTCCACTTCCAGGTAGTGCAGAAAGAGTGTCTCAAACCTGCTCTATAAAAGGGAACATTCTACTCTGTGACTTGAATGAAAACATCACAAAGCAGTTTCTGAGAATGCTTCCGTCTAGCATTTTATATGAAGATATTCCCGTTTCCAACGAAACCTTCAAAGCTATCCGAATATCCACCTGCAGATTCTACAAAAAGAGTGTTTCCAAAATGCCGTATCAAAACAAAGGTTCAACTCTGTTAGTTGAGAACACACATGGCAAATAAGTTTCTGAGAATGCTTCTGTCTAGTTTTTACTTGAAGATATTTCCTTTCTCACCATAGGCCTGAAAGCGCTTGAAACGTCAGCTTGCAGATACTACAGAAAGAGTGTTTCAAACCTGCTCTATGAAAGGGAATGTTCAGTCCTGTGACTTGAAGGCAAACATCACAAAGAAGTTCCTGAGAATGCTTCTCTCTAGGTTTTATATGTAATCCCGTTTCCAACGAAATCCTCAAAGCTATCCAAATATCCACTTTCAGATTCCACAAAAAGAGTGTTTCAAAACTGCTCTGTAAAAAGAAAGGTTCATCTCTGTTAGTTGAATACACACATCACAAACAAGTTTCTGAGAATGCTTCTGTCTAGTTTTTATGGGAAGATATTTCCTTTTTCAACATAGGCCTCAAAGCGCTCCAAACATCCACTTCCAGGTAGTGCAGAAAGAGTGTCTCAAACCTGGTATATAACAGGGAACATTCTACTCTGTGACTTGAATGAAAACATCACAAAGCAGTTTCTGAGAATGCTTCCGTCTAGATTTTATATGAAGATATTCCCGTTTCCAACGAAACCTTCAAAGCTATCCGAATATCCACCTGCAGATTCTACAAAAAGAGTGTTTCCAAAATGCCATATCAAAACAAAGGTTCAACTCTGTTAGTTGAGAACACACATCGCAAATAAGTTTCTGAGAATGCTTCTGTCTAGTTTTTACTTGAAGATATTTCCTTTCTCACCATAGGCCTGAAAGCGCTTGAAACGTCAGCTTGCAGATACTACAGAAAGAGTGTTTCAAACCTGCTCTATGAAAGGGAATGTTCAGTTCTGCGACTTGAATGCAAACATCACAAAGAAGTTCCTGAGAATGCTTCTCTCTAGGTTTTATATGTAATCCCGTTTCCAACGAAATCCTCAAAGCTATCCAAATATCCACTTTCAGATTCCACAAAAAGAGTGTTTCAAAACTGCTCTGTAAAAAGAAAGGTTCATCTCTGTTAGTTGAATACACACATCACAAACAAGTTTCTGAGAATGCTTCTGTCTAGTTTTTATGGGAAGATATTTCCTTTTTCAACATAGGCCTCAAAGCGCTCCAAATGTCCACTTCCAGATAGTGCAGAAAGAGTGTTTCAAACCTGCTCTATAAAAGGGAATATTCAACTCTGTGACTTGAATGCAAACATCACAAAGCACTTTCTGAGAATGCTTCCGTCTAGATTTTATATGAAGATATTCCCGTTTCCAAGGAAATCTTCCTAGCTATCTAAATATCAACTTGCAGATTCTACTAAAGGAATGTTTCCAAAATGCTGTATCCACACAAAGGTTCAACTCTGTTAATTGAGGACATACAGCACAAAGAAGTTTCTGAGAATGCTTCTGTCTAGATTTTATATGAAGATATCCCGTGTCCAACGAAATCCTCAAAGGTATCAAAATATCCACTTGCAGATTCTACTAAAAGAGTGCTTCAAAACTGCTCTGTCAAAAGGAAGGTTCAACTCTGTTACTTGAGTACACACATCACAAGGAAGTTTCTGAGAATGCTTCTGTCTGGTTTTTAGGAGAAGATATTTCCTTTTTCAACATAGGCCTCAAAGCGCTGCAAATGTCCACTTCCAAATATTAGAAAAAGAGTGTTTCAAACCTGCTGTATGAAGGGAAGTGTTCAACTCTATGAGTTGAATGCAAACATCACAGAGAAGTTTCTGAGAATGCTGCTGTCTTGATTTTATATGAAGATATTCCCGTTTCCAACGAAACCTTCAAAGCTATCCAAATATCCACTTGCAGATTCTACAAAAAGAGTGTTTCCAAAATGTTGTATCAAAAGAAAGGTTCAACTCTGTTAGTTGAGGACACACATCGCAAATAAGTTTCTGAGAATGCTTCTGTCTAGTTTTTATTTGAAGATATTTCCTTTCTCACCACAGGCCTGAAAGCGCTTAAAACGTCCGCTTGCAGATACTACAGAAAGAGTGTTTCAAACCTGCTCTATGAAAGGGAATGTTCAGTTCTGTGACTTGAATGCAAACATCACAAAGAAGTTCCTGAGAATGCTTCTCCCTAGATTTTATATGTAATCCCGTTTCCAACGAAATCCTCAAAGCTATCCAAATATCCACTTTCAGATTCCACAAAAAGAGTGTTTCAAAACTGCTCTGTAAAAAGAAAGGTTCATCTCTGTTAGTTGAATACACACATCACAAACAAGTTTCTGAGAATGCTTCTGTCTAGTTTTTATGGGAAGATATTACCTTTTTCATCATAGGCCTCAAAGCGCTGCAAATGTCCACTTCCAAATATTACAAAAAGAGTGTTCCAAACCTGCTGTATGAAGGGAAGTGTTCAACTCTATGAGTTGAATGCAAACATCACAGAGAAGTTTCTGAGAATGCTTCTGTCTTGATTTTATATGAAGATATTCCCGTTTCCAACGAAACCTTCAAAGCTATTCAAATATCCACTTGCAGATTTTACAAAAAGAGTGTTTCCAAAATGTTGCATCAAAAGAAAGGTTCAACTCTGTTAGTTGAGGACACAAATCGCAAATAAGTTTCTGAGAATGCTTCTGTCTAGTTTTTACTTGAAGATATTTCCTTTCTCACCATAGGCCTGAAAGCGTTTGAAATGTCCGTTTGCAGATACTACAGAAAGAGTGTTTCAAACATGCTCTATGAAAGGGAATGTTCAGTTCTGTGACGTGAATGCAAACATCACAAAGGAGTTCCTGAGAATGCTTCTCTCTAGATTTTATATGTAATCCCGTTTCCAACGAAATCCTCAAAGCTATCCAAATATCCACTTTCAGATTCCACAAAAAGAGTGTTTCAAAACTGCTCTGTAAAAAGAAAGGTTCATCTCTGTTAGTTGAATACACACATCACAAACAAGTTTCTGAGAATGCTTCTGTCTAGTTTTTATGGGAAGATATTTCCTTTTTCAACATAGGCCTCAAAGCGCTCCAAACGTCCACTTCCAGGTAGTGCAGAAAGAGTGTCTCAAACCTGGTATATAACAGGGAACATTCTACTCTGTGACTTGAATGAAAACATCACAAAGCAGTTTCTGAGAATGCTTCCGTCTAGATTTTATATGAAGATATTCCCGTTTCCAAAGAAACCTTCAAAGCTATCCGAATATCCACCTGCAGATTCTACAAAAAGAGTGTTTCCAAAATGCCATATCAAAACCAAGGTTCAACTCTGTTAGTTGAGAACACACATGGCAAATAAGTTTCTGAGAATGCTTCTGTCTAGTTTTTACTTGAAGATATTTCCTTTCTCACCATAGGCCTGAAAGCGCTTGAAACGTCAGCTTGCAGATACTACAGAAAGAGTGTTTCAAACCTGCTCTATGAAAGGGAATGTTCAGTCCTGTGACTTGAAGGCAAACATCACAAAGAAGTTCCTGAGAATGCTTCTGTCTAGATTTTATATGAAGATATCCCGTTTCCAAAGAAATCCTCAAAGGTATCCAAATATCTACTTCCAGATTCTACAAAAAGACTGTTTCAAAACGGCTCTGTCAAAAGTAAGGTTCAACTGTGTTACTTGAGTACACACATCACAAGGAAGTTTCTGAGAATGCTTCCTGTCTGGTTTTTAGGAGAAGATATTTCCTTTTTCAACATAGGCCTCAAAGCGCTGCAAATGTCCACTTCCAAATATTACAAAAAGAGTGTTTCAAACCTGCTCTATGAAGGGAAGTGTTCAACTCTATGAGTTGAATGCAAACATCACAGAGAAGTTTCTGAGAATGCTTCTGTCTTGATTTTATATGAAGATATTCCCGTTTCCAACGAAACCTTCAAAGCTATCCAAATATCCACTTGCAGATTCTACAAAAAGAGTGTTTCCAAAATGTTGTATCAAAACAAAGGTTCAACTCTGTTAGTTGAGGACACACATCGCAAATAAGTTTCTGAGAATGCTTCTGTCTAGTTTTTATTTGAAGATATTTCCTTTCTTACCATAGGCCTGAAAGCGCTTGAAATGTCCGTTTGCAGATACTACAGAAAGAGTGTTTCAAACATGCTCTATGAAAGGGAATGTTCAGTTCTGTGACTTGAATGCAAACATCACAAAGAAGTTCCTGAGAATGCTTCTCTCTAGGTTTTATATGTAATCCCGTTTCCAACGAAATCCTCAAAGGTATCCAAATATCCACTTTCAGATTCCACAAAAAGAGTGTTTCAAAACTGCTCTGTAAAAAGAAAGGTTCATCTCTGTTAGTTGAATACACACATCACAAACAAGTTTCTGAGAATGCTTCTGTCTAGTTTTTATGGGAAGATATTACCTTTTTCATCATAGGCCTCAAAGCGCTGCAAATGTCCACTTCCAAATATTACAAAAAGAGTGTTTCAAACCTGCTGTATGAAGGGAAGTGTTCAACTCTATGAGTTGAATGCAAACATCACAGAGAAGTTTCTGAGAATGCTTCTGTCTTGATTTTATATGAAGATATTCCCGTTTCCAACGAAACCTTCAAAGCTATCCAAATATCCACTTGCAGATTCCACAAAAAGAGTGTTTCCAAAATGTTGTATCAAAAGAAAGGTTCAACTCTGTTAGTTGAGGACACACATCGCAAATAAGTTTCTGAGAATGCTTCTGTCTAGTTTTTATTTGAAGATATTTCCTTTCTCACCATAGGCCTGAAAGCGTTTGAAATGTCCGTTTGCAGATACTACAGAAAGAGTGTTTCAAACATGCTCTATGAAAGGGAATGTTCAGTTCTGTGACGTGAATGCAAACATCACAAAGAAGTTCCTGAGAATGCTTCTCTCTAGATTTTATATGTAATCCCGTTTCCAACGAAATCCTCAAAGCTATCCAAATATCCACTTTCAGATTCCACAAAAAGAGTGTTTCAAAACTGCTCTGTAAAAAGAAAGGTTCATCTCTGTTAGTTGAATACACACATCACAAACAAGTTTCTGAGAATGCTTCTGTCTAGTTTTTATGGGAAGATATTTCCTTTTTCATCATAGGCCTCAAAGCGCTGCAAATGTCCACTTCCAGGTAGTGCAGAAAGAGTGTCTGAAACCTGGTATATAACAGGGAAGATTCTACTCTGTGACTTGAATGAAAACATCACAAAGCAGTTTCTGAGAATGCTTCCGTCTAGATTTTATATGAAGATATTCCCGTTTCCAACGAAACCTTCAAAGCTATCCGAATATCCACCTGCAGATTCTACAAAAAGAGTGTTTCCAAAATGCCGTATCAAAACAAAGGTTCAACTCTGTTAGTTGAGAACACACATGGCAAATAAGTTTCTGAGAATGCTTCTGTCTAGTTTTTACTTGAAGATATTTCCTTTCTCACCATAGGCCTGAAAGCGCTTGAAACGTCAGCTTGCAGATACTACAGAAAGAGTGTTTCAAACCTGCTCTATGAAAGGGAATGTTCAGTTCTGTGACTTGAATGCAAACATCACAAAGAAGTTCCTGAGAATGCTTCTCTCTAGGTTTTATATGTAATCCCGTTTCCAACGAAATCCTCAAAGCTATCCAAATATCCACTTTCAGATTCCACAAAAAGAGTGTTTCAAAACTGCTCTGTAAAAAGAAAGGTTCATCTCTGTTAGTTGAATACACACATCACAAACAAGTTTCTGAGAATGCTTCTGTCTAGTTTTTAGGGGAAGATATTTCCTTTTTCAACATAGGCCTCAAAGCGCTCCAAATGTCCACTTCCAGGTAGTGCAGAAAGAGTGTTTCAAACCTGCTCTATAAAAGGGAATATTCAACTCTGTGACTTGAATGCAAACATCACAAAGCACTTTCTGAGAATGCTTCCGTCTAGATTTTATATGAAGATATTCCCGTTTCCAAGGAAATCTTCCTAGCTATCTAAATATCAACTTGCAGATTCTACTAAAGGAATGTTTCCAAAATGCTGTATCCACCCAAGGTTCAACTCTGTTAATTGAGGACATACAGCACAAAGAAGTTTCTGAGAATGCTTCTGTCTAGATTTTATATGAAGATATCCCGTGTCCAACGAAATCCTCAAAGGTATCAAAATATCCACTTGCAGATTCTACAAAAAGAGTGCTTCAAAACTGCTCTGTCAAAAGGAAGGTTCAACTCTGTTACTTGAGTACACACATCACAAGGAAGTTTCTGAGAATGCTTCTGTCTGGTTTTTAGGAGAAGATATTTCCTTTTTCAACATAGGCCTCAAAGCGCTGCAAATGTCCACTTCCAAATATTACAAAAAGAGTGTTTCAAACCTGCTGTATGAAGGGAAGTGTTCAACTCTATGAGTTGAATGCAAACATCACAGAGAAGTTTCTGAGAATGCTTCTGTCTTGATTTCATATGAAGATATTCCCGTTTCCAACGAAACCTTCAAAGCTATCCAAATATCCACTTGCAGATTCTACAAAAAGAGTGTTTCCAAAATGTTGTATCAAAAGAAAGGTTCAACTCTGTTAGTTGAGGACACACATCGCAAATAAGTTTCTGAGAATGCTTCTGTCTAGTTTTTATTTGAAGATATTTCCTTTCTCACCACAGGCCTGAAAGCGCTTAAAACGTCCGCTTGCAGATACTACAGAAAGAGTGTTTCAAACCTGCTCTATGAAAGGGAATGTTCAGTTCTGTGACTTGAATGCAAACATCACAAAGAAGTTCCTGAGAATGCTTCTCCCTAGATTTTATATGTAATCCCGTTTCCAACGAAATCCGCAAAGCTATCCAAATATCCACTTTCAGATTCCACAAAAAGAGTGTTTCAAAACTGCTCTGTAAAAAGAAAGGTTCATCTCTGTTAGTTGAATACACACATCACAAACAAGTTTCTGAGAATGCTTCTGTCCAGTTTTTATGGGAAGATATTTCCTTTTTCAACATAGGCCTCAAAGCGCTCCAAATGTCCACTTCCAGGTAGTGCAGAAAGAGTGTTTCAAACCTGCTCTATAAAAGGGAATATTCAACTCTGTGACTTGAATGCAAACATCACAAAGCACTTTCTGAGAATGCTTCCGTCTAGATTTTATATGAAGATATTCCCGTTTCCAAGGAAATCTTCCTAGCTATCTAAATATCAACTTGCAGATTCTACTAAAGGAATGTTTCCAAAATGCTGTATCCACACAAAGGTTCAACTCTGTTAATTGAGGACATACAGCACAAAGAAGTTTCTGAGAATGCTTCTGTCTAGATTTTATATGAAGATATCCCGTGTCCAACGAAATCCTCAAAGGTATCAAAATATCCACTTGCAGATTCTACAAAAAGAGTGCTTCAAAACTGCTCTGTCAAAAGGAAGGTTCAACTCTGTTACTTGAGTACACACATCACAAGGAAGTTTCTGAGAATGCTTCCTGTCTGGTTTTTAGGAGAAGATATTTCCTTTTTCAACATAGGCCTCAAAGCGCTGCAAATGTCCACTTCCAAATATTAGAAAAAGAGTGTTTCAAACCTGCTGTATGAAGGGAAGTGTTCAACTCTATGAGTTGAATGCAAACATCACAGAGAAGTTTCTGAGAATGCTTCTGTCTTGATTTTATATGAAGATATTCCCGTTTCCAACGAAACCTTCAAAGCTATCCAAATATCCACTTGCAGATTCTACAAAAAGAGTGTTTCCAAAATGTTGTATCAAAAGAAAGGTTCAACTCTGTTAGTTGAGGACACACATCGCAAATAAGTTTCTGAGAATGCTTCAGTCTAGTTTTTATTTGAAGATATTTCCTTTTTCACCACAGGCCTGAAAGCGCTTGAAACGTCAGCTTGCAGATACTACAGAAAGAGTGTTTCAAACCTGCACTATGAAAGGGAATGTTCAGTTCTGTGACTTGAATGCAAACATCACAAAGAAGTTCCTGAGAATGCTTCTCTCTAGATTTTATATGTAATCCCGTTTCCAACGAAATCCTCAAAGCTATCCAAATATCCACTTTCAGATTCCACAAAAAGAGTGTTTCAAAACTGCTCTGTAAAAAGAAAGGTTCATCTCTGTTAGTTGAATACACACATCACAAACAAGTTTCTGAGAATGCTTCTGTCTAGTTTTTATGGGAAGATATTTCCTTTTTCATCATAGGCCTCAAAGCGCTGCAAATGTCCACTTCCAGGTAGTGCAGAAAGAGTGTCTCAAACCTGGTATATAACAGGGAACATTCTACTCTGTGACTTGAATGAAAACATCACAAAGCAGTTTCTGAGAATGCTTCCGTCTAGATTTTATATGAAGATATTCCCGTTTCCAACGAAACCTTCAAAGCTATCCGAATATCCACCTGCAGATTCTACAAAAAGAGTGTTTCCAAAATGCCATATCAAAACAAAGGTTCAACTCTGTTAGTTGAGAACACACATCGCAAATAAGTTTCTGAGAATGCTTCTGTCTAGTTTTTACTTGAAGATATTTCCTTTCTCACCATAGGCCTGAAAGCGCTTGAAACGTCAGCTTGCAGATACTACAGAAAGAGTGTTTCAAACCTGCTCTATGAAAGGGAATGTTCAGTTCTGTGACTTGAATGCAAACATCACAAAGAAGTTCCTGAGAATGCTTCTCTCTAGATTTTATATGTAATCCCGTTTCCAACGAAATCCTCAAAGCTATCCAAATATCCACTTTCAGATTCCACAAAAAGAGTGTTTCAAAACTGCACTGTAAAAAGAAAGGTTCATCTCTGTTAGTTGAATACACACATCACAAACAAGTTTCTGAGAATGCTTCTGTCTAGTTTTTATGGGAAGATATTTCCTTTTTCAACATAGGCCTCAAAGCGGCTCCAAATGTCCACTTCCAGGTAGTACAGAAAGAGTGTTTCAAACCTGCTCTATAAAAGGGAATATTCAACTCTGTGACTTGAATGCAAACATCACAAAGCACTTTCTGAGAATGCTTCCGTCTAGATTTTTTATGAAGATATTCCCGTTTCCAAGGAAATCTTCCTAGCTATCTAAATATCAACTTGCAGATTCTACTAAAGGAATGTTTCCAAAATGCTGTATCCACACAAAGGTTCAACTCTGTTAATTGAGGACATACAGCACAAAGAAGTTTCTGAGAATGCTTCTGTCTAGTTTTTACTTGAAGATATTTCCTTTCTCACCATAGGCCTGAAAGCGTTTGAAATGTCCGTTTGCAGATACTACAGAAAGAGTGTTTCAAACATGCTCTATGAAAGGGAATGTTCAGTTCTGTGACGTGAATGCAAACATCACAAAGAAGTTCCTGAGAATGGTTCTCTCTAGATTTTATATGTAATCCCGTTTCCAACGAAATCCTCAAAGCTATCCAAATATCCACTTTCAGATTCCACAAAAAGAGTGTTTCAAAACTGCTCTGTAAAAAGAAAGGTTCATCTCTGTTAGTTGAATACACACATCACAAACAAGTTTCTGAGAATGCTTCTGTCTAGTTTTTATGGGAAGATATTTCCTTTTTCATCATAGGCCTCAAAGCGCTGCAAATGTCCACTTCCAGGTAGTGCAGAAAGAGTGTCTGAAACCTGGTATATAACAGGGAAGATTCTACTCTGTGACCTGAATGAAAACATCACAAAGCACTTTCTGAGAATGCTTCTGTCTTGATTTTATATGAAGATATTCCCGTTTCCAACGAAACCTTCAAAGCTATCCAAATATCCACTTGCAGATCCTACAAAAAGAGTGTTTCCAAAATGTTGTATCAAAACAAAGGTTCAACTCTGTTAGTTGAGGACACACATCGCAAATAAGTTTCTGAGAATGCTTCTGTCTAGTTTTTATTTGAAGATATTTCCTTTCTCACCACAGGCCTGAAAGCGCTTAAAACGTCCGCTTGCAGATACTACAGAAAGAGTGTTTCAAACCTGCTCTATGAAAGGGAATGTTCAGTTCTGTGACTTGAATGCAAACATCACAAAGAAGTTCCTGAGAATGCTTCTCCCTAGATTTTATATGTAATCCCGTTTCCAACGAAATCCGCAAAGCTATCCAAATATCCACTTTCAGATTCCACAAAAAGAGTGTTTCAAAACTGCTCTGTAAAAAGAAAGGTTCATCTCTGTTAGTTGAATACACACATCACAAACAAGTTTCTGAGAATGCTTCTGTCTAGTTTTTATGGGAAGATATTACCTTTTTCATCATAGGCCTCAAAGCGCTGCAAATGTCCACTTCCAAATATTACAAAAAGAGTGTTTCAAACCTGCTGTATGAAGGGAAGTGTTCAACTCTATGAGTTGAATGCAAACATCACAGAGAAGTTTCTGAGAATGCTTCTGTCTTGATTTTATATGAAGATATTCCCGTTTCCAACGAAACCTTCAAAGCTATTCAAATATCCACTTGCAGATTCTACAAAAAGAGTGTTTCCAAAATGTTGTATCAAAAGAAAGGTTCAACTCTGTTAGTTGAGGACACACATCGCAAATAAGTTTCTGAGAATGCTTCTGTCTAGTTTTTATTTGAAGATATTCCCGTTTCCAACGAAACCTTCAAAGCTATTCAAATATCCACTTGCAGATTCTACAAAAAGAGTGTTTCCAAAATGTTGTATCAAAAGACAGGTTCAACTCTGTTAGTTGAGGACACACATCGCAAATAAGTTTCTGAGAATGCTTCTGTCTAGTTTTTATTTGAAGATATTTCCTTTCTCACCATAGGCCGGAAAGCGTTTGAAATGTCCGTTTGCAGATACTACAGAAAGAGTGTTTCAAACATGCTCTATGAAAGGGAATGTTCAGTTCTGTGACGTGAATGCAAACATCACAAAGAAGTTCCTGAGAATGCTTCTCTCTAGATTTTATATGTAATCCCGTTTCCAACGAAATCCTCAAAGCTATCCAAATATCCACTTTCAGATTCCACAAAAAGAGTGATTCAAAACTGCTCTGTAAAAAGAAAGGTTCATCTCTGTTAGTTGAATACACACATCACAAACAAGTTTCTGAGAATGCTTCTGTCTAGCTTTTATGGGAAGATATTTCCTTTTTCAACATAGGCCTCAAAGCGCTCCAAACGTCCACTTCCGGGTAGTGCAGAAAGAGTGTCTCAAACCTGGTATATAACAGGGAACATTCTACTCTGTGACTTGAATGAAAACATCACAAAGCAGTTTCTGAGAATGCTTCTGTCTTGATTTTATATGAAGATATTCCCGTTTCCAACGAAACCTTCAAAGCTATCCAAATATCCACTTGCAGATTCTACAAAAAGAGTGTTTCCAAAATGTTGTATCAAAACAAAGGTTCAACTCTGTTAGTTGAGGACACACATCACAAATAAGTTTCTGAGAATGCTTCTGTCTAGTTTTTATTTGAAGATATTTCCTTTCTTACCATAGGCCTGAAAGCGCTTGAAATGTCCGTTTGCAGATACTACAGAAAGAGTGTTTCAAACATGCTCTATGAAAGGGAATGTTCAGTTCTGTGACGTGAATGCAAACATCACAAAGAAGTTCCTGAGAATGCTTCTCTCTAGATTTTATATGTAATCCCGTTTCCAACGAAATCCTCAAAGCTATCCAAATATCCACTTTCAGATTCCACAAAAAGAGTGTTTCAAAACTGCTCTGTAAAAAGAAAGGTTCATCTCTGTTAGTTGAATACACACATCACAACCAAGTTTCTGAGAATGCTTCTGTCTAGTTTTTATGGGAAGATATTTCCTTTTTCATCATAGGCCTCAAAGCGCTCCAAATGTCCACTTCCAGATAGTGCAGAAAGAGTGTCTCAAACCTGGTATATAAAAGAGAACATTCTACTCTGTGACTTGAATGAAAACATCACAAAGCAGTTTCTGAGAATGCTTCCGTCTAGATTTTCTATGAAGATATTCCCGTTTCCAACGAAACCTTCAAAGCTATCCGAATATCCACCTGCAGATTCTACAAAAAGAGTGTTTCCAAAATGCCGTATCAAAACAAAGGTTCAACTCTGTTAGTTGAGAACACACATGGCAAATAAGTTTCTGAGAATGCTTCTGTCTAGTTTTTACTTGAAGATATTTCCTTTCTCACCATAGGCCTGAAAGCGCTTGAAACGTCCGCTTGCAGATACTACAGAAAGAGTGTTTCAAACATGCTCTATGAAAGGGAATGTTCAGTTCTGTGACTTGAATGCAAACATCACAAAGAAGTTCCTGAGAATGCTTCTCTCTAGGTTTTATATGTAATCCCGTTTCCAACGAAATCCTCAAAGCTATCCAAATATCCACTTTCAGATTCCACAAAAAGAGTGTTTCAAAACTGCTCTGTAAAAAGAAAGGTTCATCTCTGTTAGTTGAATACACACATCACAAACAAGTTTCTGAGAATGCTTCTGTCTAGTTTTTATGGGAAGATATTCCCTTTTTCAACATAGGCCTCAAAGCGCTCCAAATGTCCACTTCCAGGTAGTGCAGAAAGAGTGTTTCAAACCTGCTCTATAAAAGGGAATATTCAACTCTGTGACTTGAATGCAAACATCACAAAGCACTTTACTGAGAATGCTTCTGTCTTGATTTCATATGAAGTATATTCCCGTTTCCAACGAAACCTTCAAAGCTATCCAAATATCCACTTGCAGATTCTACAAAAAGAGTGTTTCCAAAATGTTGTATCAAAAGAAAGGTTCAACTCTGTTAGTTGAGGACACACATCGCAAATAAGTTTCTGAGAATGCTTCTGTCTAGTTTTTATTTGAAGATATTTCCTTTCTCACCATAGGCCTGAAAGCGTTTGAAATGGCCGTTTGCAGATACTACAGAAAGAGTGTTTCAAACATGCTCTATGAAAGGGAATGTTCAGTTCTGTGACTTGAATGCAAACATCACAAAGAAGTTCCTGAGAATGCTTCTCTCTAGATTTTATATGTAATCCCGTTTCCAACGAAATCCTCAAAGCTCTCCAAATATCCACTTTCAGATTCCACAAAAAGAGTGTTTCAAAACTGTTCTGTAAAAAGAAAGGTTCATCTCTGTTAGTTGAATACACACATCACAAACAAGTTTCTGAGAATGCTTCTGTCTAGTTTTTATGGGAAGATATTTCCTTTTTCAACATAGGGCTCAAAGCGCTTCAAACGTCCACTTCCAGGTAGTGCAGAAAGAGTGTCTCAAACCTGGTATATAACAGCGAACATTCTACTCTGTGACTTGAATGAAAACATCACAAAGCAGTTTCTGAGAATGCTTCCGTCTAGATTTTATATGAAGGTATTCCCGTTTCCAACGAATCCTTCAAATCTATCCGAATATCCACCTGCAGATTCTACAAAAAGAGTGTTTCCAAAATGCCGTATCAAAACAAAGGTTCAACTCTGTTAGTTGAGAACACACATGGCAAAAAAGCTTCTGAGAATGCTTCCTGTCTAGTTTTTATTTGAAGATATTTCCTTTCTTACCATAGTCCTGAAAGCGCTTGAAATGTCCGTTTGCAGATACTACAGAAAGAGTGTTTCAAACATGCTCTATGAAAGGGAATGTTCAGTTCTGTGACTTGAATGCAAACATCACAAAGAAGTTCCTGAGAATGCTTCTCTCTAGATTTTATATGTAATCCCGTTTCCAACGAAATCCTCAAAGCTATCCAAATATCCACTTTCAGATTCCACAAAAAGAGTGTTTCAAAACTGCTCTGTAAAAAGAAAGGTTCATCTCTGTTAGTTGAATACACACATCACAAGCAAGTTTCTGAGAATGCTTCTGTCTAGTTTTTATGGGAAGATATTTCCTTTTTCATCATAGGCCTCAAAGCGCTGCAAATGTCCACTTCCAGGTAGTGCAGAAAGAGTGTCTCAAACCTGGTATATAACAGGGAACATTCTACTCTGTGACTTGAATGAAAACATCACAAAGCAGTTTCTGAGAATGCTTCCGTCTAGATTTTATATGAAGATATTCCCGTTTCCAACGAAACGTTCAAAGCTATCCGAATATCCACCTGCAGATTCTACAAAAAGAGTGTTTCCAAAATGCCATATCAAAACAAAGGTTCAACTCTGTTAGTTGAGAACACACATCGCAAATAAGTTTCTGAGAATGCTTCTGTCTAGTTTTTACTTGAAGATATTTCCTTTCTCACCATAGGCCTGAAAGCGCTTGAAACGTCAGCTTGCAGATACTACAGAAAGAGTGTTTCAAACCTGCTCTATGAAAGGGAATGTTCAGTTCTGTGACTTGAATGCAAACATCACAAAGAAGTTCCTGAGAATGCTTCTCTCTAGGTTTTATATGTAATCCCGTTTCCAACAAAATCCTCAAAGCTATCCAAATATCCACTTTCAGAATCCACAAAAAGAGTGTTTCAAAACTGCTCTGTAAAAAGAAAGGTTCATCTCTGTTAGTTGAATACACACATCACAAACAAATTTCTGAGAATGCTTCTGTCTAGTTTTTATGGGAAGATATTTCCTTTTTCAACATAGGCCTCAAAGCGCTCCAAATGTCCACTTCCAGGTAGTGCAGAAAGAGTGTTTCAAACCTGCTCTATAAAAGGGAATATTCAACTCTGTGACTTGAATGCAAACATCACAAAGCACTTTCTGAGAATGCTTCCGTCTAGATTTTATATGAAGATATTCCCGTTTCCAAAGGAAATCTTCCTAGCTATCTAAATATCAACTTGCAGATTCTACTAAAGGAATGTTTCCAAAATGCTGTATCCACACAATGGTTCAACTCTGTTAATTGAGGACATACAGCACAAAGAAGTTTCTGAGAATGCTTCTGTCTAGATTTTATATGAAGATATCCCGTGTCCAACGAAATCCTCAAAGGTATCAAAATATCCACTTGCAGATTCTACAAAAAGAGTGCTTCAAAACTGCTCTGTCAAAAGGAAGGTTCAACTCTGTTACTTGAGTACACACATCACAAGGAAGTTTCTGAGAATGCTTCTGTCTGGTTTTTAGGAGAAGATATTTCCTTTTTCAACATAGGCCTCAAAGCGCTGCAAATGTCCACTTCCAAATATTAGAAAAAGAGTGTTTCAAACCTGCTGTATGAAGGGAAGTGTTCAACTCTATGAGTTGAATGCAAACATCACAGAGAAGTTTCTGAGAATGCTTCTGTCTTGATTTCATATGAAGATATTCCCGTTTCCAACGAAACCTTCAAAGCTATCCAAATATCCACTTGCAGATTCTACAAAAAGAGTGTTTCCAAAATGTTGTATCAAAAGAAAGGTTCAACTCTGTTAGTTGAGGACACACATCGCAAATAAGTTTCTGAGAATGCTTCTGTCTAGTTTTTATTTGAAGATATTTCCTTTCTCACCACAGGCCTGAAAGCGCTTAAAACGTCCGCTTGCAGATACTACAGAAAGAGTGTTTCAAACCTGCTCTATGAAAGGGAATGTTCAGTTCTGTGACTTGAATGCAAACATCACAAAGAAGTTCCTGAGAATGCTTCTCCCTAGATTTTATAAGTAATCCCGTTTCCAACGAAATCCGCAAAGCTATCCAAATATCCACTTTCAGATTCCACAAAAAGAGTGTTTCAAAACTGCTCTGTAAAAAGAAAGGTTCATCTCTGTTAGTTGAATACACACATCACAAACAAGTTTCTGAGAATGCTTCTGTCTAGTTTTTATGGGAAGATATTACCTTTTTCATCATAGGCCTCAAAGCGCTGCAAATGTCCACTTCCAAATATTACAAAAAGAGTGTTTCAAACCTGCTGTATGAAGGGAAGTGTTCAACTCTATGAGTTGAATGCAAACATCACAGAGAAGTTTCTGAGAATGCTTCTGTCTTGATTTTATATGAAGATATTCCCGTTTCCAAAGAAACCTTCAAAGCTATCCAAATATCCACTTGCAGATTCTACAAAAAGAGTGTTTCCAAAATGTTGTATCAAAAGAAAGGTTCAACTCTGTTAGTTGAGGAAACACATCGCAAACAAGTTTCTGAGAATGCTTCTGTCTAGTTTTTATTTGAAGATATTTCCTTTCTCACCATAGGCCTGAAAGCGTTTGAAATGTCCGTTTGCAGATACTACAGAAAGAGTGTTTCAAACATGCTCTATGATAGGGAATGTTCAGTTCTGTCACTTGAATGCAAACATCACAAAGAAGTTCCTGAGAATGCTTCTCTCTAGGTTTTATATGTAATCCCGTTTCCAACGAAATCCTCAAAGCTATCCAAATATCCACTTTCAGATTCCACAAAAAGAGTGTTTCAAAACTGCTCTGTAAAAAGAAAGGTTCATCTCTGTTAGTTGAATACACACATCACAAACAAGTTTCTGAGAATGCTTCTGTCTAGTTTTTATGGGAAGATATTTCCTTTTTCAACATAGGCCTCAAAGCGCTCCAAACGTCCACTTCCAGGTAGTGCAGAAAGAGTGTCTCAAACCTGGTATATAACAGGGAACATTCTACTCTGTGACTTGAATGAAAACATCACAAAGCAGTTTCTGAGAATGCTTCCGTCTAGATTTTATATGAAGATATTCCCGTTTCCAACGAAACCTTCAAAGCTATCCGAATATCCACCTGCAGATTCTACAAAAAGAGTGTTTCCAAAATGCCGTATCAAAACAAAGGTTCAACTCTGTTAGTTGAGAACACACATGGCAAATAAGTTTCTGAGAATGCTTCTGTCTAGTTTTTACTTGAAGATATTTCCTTTCTCACCATAGGCCTGAAAGCGCTTGAAACGTCAGCTTGCAGATACTACAGAAAGAGTGTTTCAAACCTGCTCTATGAAAGGGAATGTTCAGTTCTGTGACTTGAATGCAAACATCACAAAGAAGTTCCTGAGAATGCTTCTCTCTAGGTTTTATATGTAATCCCGTTTCCAACGAAATCCTCCAAGCTATCCAAATATCCACTTTCAGATTCCACAAAAAGAGTGTTTCAAAACTGCTCTGTAAAAAGAAAGGTTCATCTCTGTTAGTTGAATACACACATCACAAACAAGTTTCTGAGAATGCTTCTGTCTAGTTTTTATGGGAAGATATTTCCTTTTTCAACATAGGCCTCAAAGCGCTCCAAACGTCCACTTCCAGGTAGTGCAGAAAGAGTGTCTCAAACCTGGTATATAACAGGGAACATTCTACTCTGTGACTTGAATGAAAACATCACAAAGCAGTTTCTGAGAATGCTTCCGTCTAGATTTTATATGAAGATATTCCCGTTTCCAACGAAACCTTCAAAGCTATCCGAATATCCACCTGCAGATTCTACAAAAAGAGTGTTTCCAAAATGCCGTATCAAAACAAAGGTTCAACTCTGTTAGTTGAGAACACACATGGCAAATAAGTTTCTGAGAATGCTTCTGTCTAGTTTTTACTTGAAGATATTTCCTTTCTCACCATAGGCCTGAAAGCGCTTGAAACGTCAGCTTGCAGATACTACAGAAAGAGTGTTTCAAACCTGCTCTATGAAAGGGAATGTTCAGTTCTGTGACTTGAATGCAAACATCACAAAGAAGTTCCTGAGAATGCTTCTCTCTAGGTTTTATCTGTAATCCCGTTTCCAACGAAATCCTCAAAGCTATCCAAATATCCACTTTCAGATTCCACAAAAAGAGTGTTTCAAAACTGCTCTGTAAAAAGAAAGGTTCATCTCTGTTAGTTGAATACACACATCACAAACAAGTTTCTGAGAATGCTTCTGTCTAGTTTTTATGGGAAGATATTTCCTTTTTCAACAAAGGCCTCAAAGCGCTCCAAACGTCCACTTCCAGGTAGTGCAGAAAGAGTGTCTCAAACCTGGTATATAACAGGGAACATTCTACTCTGTGACTTGAATGAAAACATCACAAAGCAGTTTCTGAGAATGCTTCCGTCTAGATTTTATATGAAGATATTCCCGTTTCCAACGAAACCTTCAAAGCTATCCGAATATCCACCTGCAGATTCTACAAAAAGAGTGTTTCCAAAATGCCGTATCAAAACAAAGGTTCAACTCTGTTAGTTGAGAACACACATGGCAAATAAGTTTCTGAGAATGCTTCTGTCTAGTTTTTACTTGAAGATATTTCCTTTCTCACCATAGGCCTGAAAGCGCTTGAAACGTCAGCTTGCAGATACTACAGAAAGAGTGTTTCAAACCTGCTCTATGAAAGGGAATGTTCAGTTCTGTGACTTGAATGCAAACATCACAAAGAAGTTCCTGAGAATGCTTCTGTCTAGATTTTATATGAAGATATCCCGTGTCTAACGAAATCCTCAAAGGTATCAAAATATCCACTTGCAGATTCTACAAAAAGAGTGCTTCAAAACTGCTCTGTCAAAATGAAGGTTCAACTCTGTTACTTGAGTACACACATCACAAGGAAGTTTCTGAGAATGCTTCTGTCTGGTTTTTAGGAGAAGATATTTCCTTTTTCAACATAGGCCTCAAAGCGCTGCAAATGTCCACTTCCAAATATTACAAAAAGAGTGTTTCAAACCTGCTGTATGAAGGGAAGTGTTCAACTCTATGAGTTGAATGCAAACATCACAGAGAAGTTTCTGAGAATGCTTCTGTCTTGATTTCATATGAAGATATTCCCGTTTCCAACGAAACCTTCAAAGCTATCCAAATATCCACTTGCAGATTCTACAAAAAGAGTGTTTCCAAAATGTTGTATCAAAAGAAAGGTTCAACTCTGTTAGTTGAGGACACACATCGCAAATAAGTTTCTGAGAATGCTTCTGTCTAGTTTTTATTTGAAGATATTTCCTTTCTCACCACAGGCCTGAAAGTGCTTAAAACGTCCGCTTGCAGATACTACAGAAAGAGTGTTTCAAACCTGCTCTATGAAAGGGAATGTTCAGTTCTGTGACTTGAATGCAAACATCACAAAGAAGTTCCTGAGAATGCTTCTCCCTAGATTTTATATGTAATCCCGTTTCCAACGAAATCCGCAAAGCTATCCAAATATCCACTTTCAGATTCCACAAAAAGAGTGTTTCAAAACTGCTCTGTAAAAAGAAAGGTTCATCTCTGTTAGTTGAATACACACATCACAAACAAGTTTCTGAGAATGCTTCTGTCTAGTTTTTATGGGAAGATATTACCTTTTTCATCATAGGCCTCAAAGCGCTGCAAATGTCCACTTCCAAATATTACAAAAAGAGTGTTTCAAACCTGCTGTATGAAGGGAAGTGTTCAACTCTATGAGTTGAATGCAAACATCACAGAGAAGTTTCTGAGAATGCTTCTGTCTTGATTTTATATGAAGATATTCCCGTTTCCAACGAAACCTTCAAAGCTATTCAAATATCCACTTGCAGATTCTACAAAAAGAGTGTTTCCAAAATGTTGTATCAAAAGAAAGGTTCAACTCTGTTAGTTGAGGACACACATCGCAAATAAGTTTCTGAGAATGCTTCTGTCTAGTTTTTACTTGAAGATATTTCCTTTCTCACCATAGGCCTGAAAGCGTTTGAAATGTCCGTTTGCAGATACTACAGAAAGAGTGTTTCAAACATGCTCTATGAAAGGGAATGTTCAGTTCTGTGACGTGAATGCAAACATCACAAAGAAGTTCCTGAGAATGCTTCTCTCTAGATTTTATATGTAATCCCGTTTCCAACGAAATCCTCAAAGCTATCCAAATATCCACTTTCAGATTCCACAAAAAGAGTGTTTCAAAACTGCTCTGTAAAAAGAAAGGTTCATCTCTGTTAGTTGAATACACACATCACAAACAAGTTTCTGAGAATGCTTCTGTCTAGTTTTTATGGGAAGATATTTCCTTTTTCAACATAGGCCTCAAAGCGCTCCAAACGTCCACTTCCGGGTAGTGCAGAAAGAGTGTCTCAAACCTGGTATATAACAGGGAACATTCTACTCTGTGACTTGAATGAAAACATCACAAAGCAGTTTCTGAGAATGCTTCCGTCTAGATTTTATATGAAGATATTCCCGTTTCCAACGAAACCTTCAAAGCTATCCGAATATCCACCTGCAGATTCTACAAAAAGAGTGTTTCCAAAATGCCGTATCAAAACAAAGGTTCAACTCTGTTAGTTGAGAACACACATGGCAAATAAGTTTCTGAGAATGCTTCTGTCTAGTTTTTACTTGAAGATATTTCCTTTCTCACCACAGGCCTGAAACCGCTTAAAACGTCCGCTTGCAGATACTACATAAAGAGTGTTTCAAACCTGATCTATGAAAGGGAATGTTCAGTTCTGTGACTTGAATGCAAACATCACAAAGAAGTTCCTGAGAATGCTTCTCTCTAGGTTTTATATGTAATCCCGTTTCCAACGAAATCCTCAAAGCTATCCAAATATCCACTTTCAGATTCCACAAAAAGAGTGTTTCAAAACTGCTCTGTAAAAAGAAAGGTTCATCTCTGTTAGTTGAATACACACATCACAAACAAGTTTCTGAGAATGCTTCTGTCTAGTTTTTATGGGAAGATATTTCCTTTTTCATCATAGGCCTCAAAGCGCTGCAAATGTCCACTTCCAAATATTACAAAAAGAGTGTTTCAAACCTGCTGTATGAAGGGAAGTGTTCAACTCTATGAGTTGAATGCAAACATCACAGAGAAGTTTCTGAGAATGCTTCTGTCTTGATTTTATATGAAGATATTCCCGTTTCCAACGAAACCTTCAAAGCTATTCAAATATCCACTTGCAGATTCTACAAAAAGAGTGTTTCCAAAATGTTGTATCAAAAGAAAGGTTCAACTCTGTTAGTTGAGGACACACATCGCAAATAAGTTTCTGAGAATGCTTCTGTCTAGTTTTTATTTGAAGATATTTCCTTTCTCACCATAGGCCTGAAAGCGTTTGAAATGTCCGTTTGCAGATACTACAGAAAGAGTGTTTCAAACATGCTCTATGAAAGGGAATGTTCAGTTCTGTGACGTGAATGCAAACATCACAAAGAAGTTCCTGAGAATGCTTCTGTCTAGATTTTATATGAAGATATCCCGTGTCCAACGAAATCCTCAAAGGTATCAAAATATCCACTTGCAGATTCTACAAAAAGAGTGGTTCAAAACTGCTCTGTCAAAAGGAAGGTTCAACTCTGTTACTTGAGTACACACATCACAAGGAAGTTTCTGAGAATGCTTCTGTCTGGTTTTTAGGAGAAGATATTTCCTTTTTCAACATAGGCCTCAAAGCGCTGCAAATGTCCACTTCCAAATATTAGAAAAAGAGTGTTTCAAACCTGCTGTATGAAGGGAAGTGTTCAACTCTATGAGTTGAATGCAAACATCACAGAGAAGTTTCTGAGAATGCTTCTGTCTTGATTTCATATGAAGATATTCCCGTTTCCAACGAAACCTTCAAAGCTATCCAAATATCCACTTGCAGATTCTACAAAAAGAGTGTTTCCAAAATGTTGTATCAAAAGAAAGGTTCAACTCTGTTAGTTGAGGACACACATCGCAAATAAGTTTCTGAGAATGCTTCTGTCTAGTTTTTATTTGAAGATATTTCCTTTCTCACCATAGGCCTGAAAGCGCTTAAAACGTCCGCTTGCAGATACTACAGAAAGAGTGTTTCAAACCTGCTCTATGAAAGGGAATGTTCAGTTCTGTGACTTGAATGCAAACATCACAAAGAAGTTCCTGAGAATGCTTCTCCCTAGATTTTATATGTAATCCCGTTTCCAACGAAATCCGCAAAGCTATCCAAATATCCACTTTCAGATTCCACAAAAAGAGTGTTTCAAAACTGCTCTGTAAAAAGAAAGGTTCATCTCTGTTAGTTGAATACACACATCACAAACAAGTTTCTGAGAATGCTTCCTGTCTAGTTTTTATGGGAAGATATTTCCTTTTTCATCATAGGCCTCAAAGCGCTGCAAATGTCCACTTCCAAATATTACAAAAAGAGTGTTTCAAACCTGCTGTATGAAGGGAAGTGTTCAACTCTATGAGTTGAATGCAAACATCACAGAGAAGTTTCTGAGAATGCTTCTGTCTTGATTTTATATGAAGATATTCCCGTTTCCAACGAAACCTTCAAAGCTATTCAAATATCCACTTGCAGATTCTACAAAAAGAGTGGTTCCAAAATGTTGTATCAAAAGAAAGGTTCAACTCTGATAGTTGAGGACACACATCGCAAATAAGTTTCTGAGAATGCTTCTGTCTAGTTTTTATTTGAAGATATTTCCTTTCTCACCATAGGCCTGAAAGCGTTTGAAATGTCCGTTTGCAGATACTACAGAAAGAGTGTTTCAAACATGCTCTATGAAAGGGAATGTTCAGTTCTGTGACGTGAATGCAAACATCACAAAGAAGTTCCTGAGAATGCTTCTCTCTAGGTTTTATATGTAATCCCGTTTCCAACGAAATCCTCAAAGCTATCCAAATATCCACTTTCAGATTCCACAAAAAGAGTATTTCAAAACTGCTCTGTAAAAAGAAAGGTTCATCTCTGTTAGTTGAATACACACACCACAAACAAGTTTCTGAGAATGCTTCTGTCTAGTTTTTATGGGAAGATATTACCTTTTTCATCATAGGCCTCAAAGCGCTGCAAATGTCCACTTCCAAATATTACAAAAAGAGTGTTTCAAACCTGCTGTATGAAGGGAAGTGTTCAACTCTATGAGTTGAATGCAAACATCACAGAGAAGTTTCTGAGAATGCTTCTGTCTTGATTTTATATGAAGATATTCCCGTTTCCAACGAAACCTTCAAAGCTATTCAGATATCAACTTGCTGATTCTACAAAAAGAGTGTTTCCAAAATGTTGTATCAAAAGAAAGGTTCAACTCTGTTAGTTGAGGACACACATCGCAAATAAGTTTCTGAGAATGCTTCTGTCTAGTTTTTACTTGAAGATATTTCCTTTCTCACCATAGGCCTGAAAGCGTTTGAAATGTCCGTTTGCAGATACTACAGAAAGAGTGTTTCAAACATGCTCTATGAAAGGGAATGTTCAGTTCTGTGACGTGAATGCAAACATCACAAAGAAGTTCCTGAGAATGCTTCTCTCTAGATTTTATATGTAATCCCGTTTCCAACGAAATCCTCAAAGCTATCCAAATATCCACTTTCAGATTCCACAAAAAGAGTGTTTCAAAACTGCTCTGTAAAAAGAAAGGTTCATCTCTGTTAGTTGAATACACACATCACAAACAAGTTTCTGAGAATGCTTCTGTCTTTTTTTTATGGGAAGATATTTCCTTTTTCATCATAGGCCTCAAAGCGCTCCAAATGTCCACTTCCAGGTAGTGCAGAAAGAGTGTCTCAAACCTGGTATATAACAGGGAACATTCTACTCTGTGAGTTGAATGAAAACATCACAAAGCAGTTTCTGAGAATGCTTCCGTCTAGATTTTATATGAAGATATTCCCGTTTCCAACGAAACCTTCAAAGCTATCCGAATATCCACCTGCAGATTCTACAAAAAGAGTGTTTCCAAAATGCCGTATCAAAACAAAGGTTCAACTCTGTTAGTTGAGAACACACATGGCAAATAAGTTTCTGAGAATGCTTCTGTCTAGTTTTTACTTGAAGATATTTCCTTTCTCACCATAGGCCTGAAAGCGCTTGAAACGTCAGCTTGCAGATACTACAGAAGGAGTGTTTCAAACCTGCTCTATGAAAGGGAATGTTCAGTCCTGTGACTTGAAGGCAAACATCACAAAGAAGTTCCTGAGAATGCTTCTCCCTAGATTTTATATGTAATCCCGTTTCCAACGAAATCTTCAAAGCTATCCAAATATCCACTTTCAGATTCCACAAAAAGAGTGTTTCAAAACTGCTCTGTAAAAAGAAAGGTTCATCTCTGTTAGTTGAATACACACATCACAAACAAGTTTCTGAGTATGCTTCTGTCTAGTTTTTATGGGAAGATATTTCCTTTTTCAACATAGGTCTCAAAGCGCTCCAAATGTCCACTTCCAGGTAGTGCAGAAAGAGTGTTTCAAACCTGCTCTATAAAAGGGAACATTCTACTCTGTGACTTGAATGAAGACATCACAAAGCACTTTCTGAGAATGCTTCTGTGTTGATTTTATATGAAGATATTCCCGTTTCCAACGAAACCTTCAAAGCTATCGAAATATCCACCTGCAGATCCTACAAAAAGAGTGTTTCCAAAATGCTGTATCAAAACAAAGGTTCAACTCTGTTAGTTGAGAACACACATCGCAAATAAGTTTCTGAGAATGCTTCTGTCTAGATTTTATATGAAGATATCCCGTGTCCAACGAAATCCTCAAAGGTATCAAAATATCCACTTGCAGATTCTACAAAAAGACTGCTTCAAAACTGCTCTGTCAAAAGGAAGGTTCAACTCTGTTACTTGAGTACACACATCACAAGGAAGTTTCTGAGAATGCTTCTGTCTGGTTTTTAGGAGAAGATATTTCCTTTTTCATCATAGGCCTCAAAGCGCTGCAAATGTCCACTTCCAGGTAGTGCAGAAAGAGTGTCTCAAACCTGGTATATAACAGGGAACATTCTACTCTGTGACTTGAATGAAAACATCACAAAGCAGTTTCTGAGAATGCTTCCGTCTAGATTTTATATGAAGATATTCCCGTTTCCAACGAAACCTTCAAAGCTATCCGAATATCCACCTGCAGATTCTACAAAAAGAGTGTTTCCAAAATGCCATATCAAAACAAAGGTTCAACTCTGTTAGTTGAGAACACACATGGCAAATAAGTTTCTGAGAATGCTTCTGTCTAGTTTTTACTTGAAGATATTTCCTTTCTCACCATAGGCCTGAAAGCGCTTGAAACGTCAGCTTGCAGATACTACAGAAAGACTGTTTCAAACCTGCTCTATGAAAGGGAATGTTCAGTTCTGTGACTTGAATGCAAACATCACAAAGAAGTTCCTGAGAATGCTTCTCTCTAGGTTTTATATGTAATCCCGTTTCCAACGAAATCCTCAAAGCTATCCAAATATCCACTTTCAGATTCCACAAAAAGAGTGTTTCAAAACTGCTCTGTAAAAAGAAAGGTTCATCTCTGTTAGTTGAATACACACATCACAAACAAGTTTCTGAGAATGCTTCTGTCTAGTTTTTATGGGAAGATATTTCCTTTTTCAACATACGCCTCAAAGCGCTCCAAACGTCCACTTCCAGGTAGTGCAGAAAGAGTGTCTCAAACCTGGTATATAACAGGGAACATTCTACTCTGTGACTTGAATGAAAACATCACAAAGCAGTTTCTGAGAATGCTTCCGTCTAGATTTTATATGAAGATATTCCCGTTTCCAACGAAACCTTCAAAGCTATCCGAATATCCACCTGCAGATTCTACAAAAAGAGTGTTTCCAAAATGCCGTATCAAAACAAAGGTTCAACTCTGTTAGTTGAGAACACACATGGCAAATAAGTTTCTGAGAATGCTTCTGTTTAGTTTTTATTTGAAGATATTTCCTTTCTCACCATAGGCCTGAAAGCGTTTGAAATGTCCGTTTGCAGATACTACAGAAAGAGTGTTTCAAACATGCTCTATGAAAGGGAATGTTCAGCTCTGTGACGTGAATGCAAACATCACAAAGAAGTTCCTGAGAATGCTTCTCCCTAGATTTTATATGTAATCCCGTTTCCAACGAAATCCGCAAAGCTATCCAAATATCCACTTTCAGATTCCACAAAAAGAGTGTTTCAAAACTGCTCGGTAAAAAGAAAGGTTCATCTCTGTTAGTTGAATACACACATCACAAACAAGTTTCTGAGAATGCTTCTGTCTAGTTTTTATGGGAAGATATTTCCTTTTTCATCATAGGCCTCAAAGCGCTGCAAATGTCCACTTCCAAATATTACAAAAAGAGTGTTTCAAACCTGCTGTATGAAGGGAAGTGTTCAACTCTATGAGTTGAATGCAAACATCACAGAGAAGTTTCTGAGAATGCTTCTGTCTTGATTTTATATGAAGATATTCCCGTTTCCAACGAAACCTTCAAAGCTATTCAAATATCCACTTGCTGATTCTACAAAAAGAGTGTTTCCAAAATGTTGTATCAAAAGAAAGGTTCAACTCTGTTAGTTGAGGACACACATCGCAAATAAGTTTCTGAGAATGCTTCTGTCTAGTTTTTACTTGAAGATATTTCCTTTCTCACCATAGGCCTGAAAGCGTTTGAAATGTCCGTTTGCAGATACTACAGAAAGAGTGTTTCAAACATGCTCTATGAAAGGGAATGTTCAGTTCTGTGACGTGAATGCAAACATCACAAAGAAGTTCCTGAGAATGCTTCTCTCTAGATTTTATATGTAATCCCGTTTCCAACGAAATCCTCAAAGCTATCCAAATATCCACTTTCAGATTCCACAAAAAGAGTGTTTCAAAACTGCTCTGTAAAAAGAAAGGTTCATCTCTGTTAGTTGAATACACACATCACAAACAAGTTTCTGAGAATGCTTCTGTCTAGTTTTTATGGGAAGATATTTCCTTTTTCAACATAGGCCTCAAAGCGCTCCAAACGTCCACTTCCAGGTAGTGCAGAAAGAGTGTCTCAAACCTGGTGTATAACAGGGAACATTCTACTCTGTGACTTGAATGAAAACATCACAAAGCAGTTTCTGAGAATGCTTCCGTCTAGATTTTATATGAAGATATTCCCGTTTCCAACGAAACCTTCAAAGCTATCCGAATATCCACCTGCAGATTCTACAAAAAGAGTGTTTCCAAAATGCCATATCAAAACAAAGGTTCAACTCTGTTAGTTGAGAACACACATCGCAAATAAGTTTCTGAGAATGCTTCTGTCTAGTTTTTACTTGAAGATATTTCCTTTCTCACCATAGGCCTGAAAGCGCTTGAAACGTCAGCTTGCAGATACTACAGAAAGAGTGTTTCAAACCTGCTCTATGAAAGGGAATGTTCAGTCCTGTGACTTGAAGGCAAACATCACAAAGAAGTTCCTGAGAATGCTTCTCTCTAGGTTTTATATGTAATCCCGTTTCCAACGAAATCCTCAAAGCTATCCAAATATCCACTTTCAGATTCCACAAAAAGAGTGTTTCAAAACTGCTCTGTAAAAAGAAAGGTTCATCTCTGTTAGTTGAATACACACATCACAAACAAGTTTCTGAGAATGCTTCTGTCTAGTTTTTATGGGAAGATATTTCCTTCTTCAACATAGGCCTCAAAGCGCTCCAAATGTCCACTTCCAGGTAGTGCAGAAAGAGTGTCTCAAACCTGGTATATAACGGGGAACATTCTACTCTGTGACTTGAATGAAAACATCACAAAGCAGTTTCTGAGAATGCTTCCGTCTAGATTTTATATGAAGATATTCCCGTTTCCAACGAAACCTTCAAAGCTATCCGAATATCCACCTGCAGATTCTACAAAAAGAGTGTTTCCAAAATGCCATATCAAAACAAAGGTTCAACTCTGTTAGTTGAGAACACACATCGCAAATAAGTTTCTGAGAATGCTTCTGTCTAGTTTTTATTTGAAGATATTTCCTTTCTCACCATAGGCCTGAAAGCGTTTGAAATGTCCGTTTGCAGATACTACAGAAAGAGTGTTTCAAACATGCTCTATGAAAGGGAATGTTCAGTTCTGTGACGGTGAATGCAAACATCACAAAGAAGTTCCTGAGAATGCTTCTCTCTAGGTTTTATATGTAATCCCGTTTCCAACGAAATCCTCAAAGCTATCCAAATATCCACTTTCAGATTCCACAAAAAGAGTGTTTCAAAACTGCTCTGTAAAAAGAAAGGTTCATCTCTGTTAGTTGAATACACACATCACAAACAAGTTTCTGAGAATGCTTCTGTCTAGTTTTTATGGGAAGATATTTCCTTTTTCATCATAGGCCTCAAAGCGCTGCAAATGTCCACTTCCAGGTAGTGCAGAAAGAGTGTCTGAAACCTGGTATATAACAGGGAAGATTCTACTCTGTGACTTGAATGAAAACATCACAAAGCAGTTTCTGAGAATGCTTCCGTCAAGATTTTATATGAAGATATTCCCGTTTCCAACGAAACCTTCAAAGCTATCCGAATATCCACCTGCAGATTCTACAAAAAGAGTGTTTCCAAAATGCCGTATCAAAACAAAGGTTCAACTCTGTTAGTTGAGAACACACATGGCAAATAAGTTTCTGAGAATGCTTCTGTCTAGTTTTTACTTGAAGATATTTCCTTTCTCACCATAGGCCTGAAAGCGCTTGAAACGTCAGCTTGCAGATACTACAGAAAGAGTGTTTCAAACCTGCTCTATGAAAGGGAATGTTCAGTCCTGTGACTTGAAGGCAAACATCACAAAGAAGTTCCTGAGAATGCTTCTCTCTAGGTTTTATATGTAATCCCGTTTCCAACGAAATCCTCAAAGCTATCCAAATATCCACTTTCAGATTCCACAAAAAGAGTGTTTCAAAACTGCTCTGTAAAAAGAAAGGTTCATCTCTGTTAGTTGAATACACACATCACAAACAAGTTTCTGAGAATGCTTCTGTCTAGTTTTTATGGGAAGATATTTCCTTTTTCATCATAGGCCTCAAAGCGCTCCAAATGTCCACTTCCAGGTAGTGCAGAAAGAGTGTCTCAAACCTGGTATATAAAAGGGAACATTCTACTCTGTGACTTGAATGAAAACATCACAAAGCAGTTTACTGAGAATGCTTCTGTCTTGATTTCATATGAAGATATTCCCGTTTCCAACGAACCTTCAAAGCTATCCAAATATCCACTTGCAGATTCTACAAAAAGAGTGTTTCCAAAATGTTGTATCAAAAGAAAGGTTCAACTCTGTTAGTTGAGGACACACATCGCAAATAAGTTTCTGAGAATGCTTCTGTCTAGTTTTTATTTGAAGATATTTCCTTTCTCACCATAGGCCTGAAAGCGTTTGAAATGTCCGTTTGCAGATACTACAGAAAGAGTGTTTCAAACATGCTCTATGAAAGGGAATGTTCAGTTCTGTGACGTGAATGCAAACATCACAAAGAAGTTCCTGAGAATGCTTCTCTCTAGATTTTATATGTAATCCCGTTTCCAACGAAATCCTCAAAGCTATCCAAATATCCACTTTCAGATTCCACAAAAAGAGTGTTTCAAAACTGCTCTGTAAAAAGAAAGGTTCATCTCTGTTAGTTGAATACACACATCACAAACAAGTTTCTGAGAATGCTTCTGTCTAGTTTTTATGGGAAGATATTTCCTTTTTCAACATTGGCCTCAAAGCGCTCCAAACGTCCACTTCCGGGTAGTGCAGAAAGAGTGTCTCAAACCTGGTATATAACAGGGAACATTCAACTCTGTGACTTGAATGAAAACATCACAAAGCAGTTTCTGAGAATGCTTCCGTCTAGATTTTATATGAAGATATTCCCGTTTCCAACGAAACCTTCAAAGCTATCCGAATATCCACCTGCAGATTCTACAAAAAGAGTGTTTCCAAAATGCCGTATCAAAACAAAGGTTCAACTCTGTTAGTTGAGAACACACATGGCAAATAAGTTTCTGAGAATGCTTCTGTCTAGTTTTTACTTGAAGATATTTCCTTTCTCACCATAGGCCTGAAAGCGCTTGAAACGTCAGCTTGCAGATACTACAGAAAGTGTGTTTCAAACCTGCTCTATGAAAGGGAATGTTCAGTTCTGTGACTTGAATGCAAACATCACAAAGAAGTTCCTGAGAATGCTTCTCTCTAGGTTTTATATGTAATCCCGTTTCCAACGAAATCCTCAAAGCTATCCAAATATCCACTTTCAGATTCCACAAAAAGAGTGTTTCAAAACTGCTCTGTAAAAAGAAAGGTTCATCTCTGTTAGTTGAATACACACATCACAAACAAGTTTCTGAGAATGCTTCTGTCTAGTTTTTATGGGAAGATATTTCCTTTTTCAACATAGGCCTCAAAGCGCTCCAAATGTCCACTTCCAGGTAGTGCAGAAAGAGTGTTTCAAACCTGCTCTATAAAAGGGAATATTCAACTCTGTGACTTGAATGCAAACATCACAAAGCACTTTCTGAGAATGCTTCCGTCTAGATTTTATATGAAGATATTCCCGTTTCCAGGGAAATCTTCCTAGCTATCTAAATATCAACTTGCAGATTCTACTAAAGGAATGTTTCCAAAATGCTATATCCACACAAAGGTTCAACTCTGTTAATTGAGGACATACAGCACAAAGAAGTTTCTGAGAATGCTTCTGTCTAGTTTTTATTTGAAGAAATTTCCTTTCTTATCATAGGCCTGAAAGCGCTTGAAATGTCCGTTTGCAGATACTACAGAAAGAGTGTTTCAAACATGCTCTATGAAAGGGAATGTTCAGTTCTGTGACGTGAATGCAAACATCACAAAGAAGTTCCTGAGAATGCTTCTCTCTAGATTTTATATGTAATCCCGTTTCCAACGAAATCCTCAAAGCTATCCAAATATGCACTTTCAGATTCCACAAAAAGAGTGTTTCAAAACTGCTCTGTAAAAAGAAAGGTTCATCTCTGTTAGTTGAATACACACATCACAAACAAGTTTCTGAGAATGCTTCTGTCTAGTTTTTATGGGAAGCTATTTCCTTTTTCATCATAGGCCTCAAAGCGCTCCAAATGTCCACTTCCAGATAGTGCAGAAAGAGTGTCTCAAACCTGGTATATAAAAGGGAACATTCTACTCTGTGACTTGAATGAAAACATCACAAAGCAGTTTCTGAGAATGTTTCCGTCTAGATTTTCTATGAAGATATTCCCGTTTCCAACGAAACCTTCAAAGCTATCCGAATATCCACCTGCAGATTCTACAAAAAGAGTGTTTCCAAAATGCCGTATCAAAACAAAGGTTCAACTCTGTTAGTTGAGAACACACATGGGAAATAAGTTTCTGAGAATGCTTCTGTCTAGTTTTTACTTGAAGATATTTCCTTTCTCACCATAGGCCTGAAAGCGCTTGAAACGTCCGCTTGCAGATACTACAGAAAGAGTGTTTCAAACATGCTCTATGAAAGGGAATGTTCAGTTCTGTGACTTGAATGCAAACATCACAAAGAAGTTCCTGAGAATGCTTCTCTCTAGATTTTATATGTAATCCCGTTTCCAACGAAATCCTCGAAGCTATCCAAATATCCACTTTCAGATTCCACAAAAAGAGTGTTTCAAAACTGCTCTGTAAAAAGAAAGGTTCATCTCTGTTAGTTGAATACACACATCACAAACAAGTTTCTGAGAATGCTTCTGTCTAGTTTTTATGGGAAGATATTTCCTTTTTCAACATAGGCCTCAAAGCGCTCCAAATGTCCACTTCCAGGTAGTGCAGAAAGAGTGTTTCAAACCTGCTGTATAAAAGGGAATATTCAACTCTGTGACTTGAATGCAAACATCACAAAGCACTTTCTGAGAATGCTTCCGTCTAGATTTTATATGAAGATATTCCCGTTTCCAAGGAAATCTTCCTAGCTATCTAAATATCAACTTGCATATCCTACTAAAGGAGTGTTTCCAAAATGCTGTATCCACACAAAGGTTCAACTCTGTTAATTGAGGACATACAGCACAAAGAAGTTTCTGAGAATGCTTCTGTCTAGATTTTATATGAAGATATCCCGTTTCCAAAGAAATCCTCAAAGGTGTCCAAATATCTACTTCCAGATTCTACAAAAAGACTGTTTCAAAACGGCTCTGTCAAAAGTAAGGTTCAACTCTGTTACCTGAGTACACACATCACAAGGAAGTTTCTGAGAATGCTTCTGTCTGGTTTTTAGGAGAAGATATTTCCTTTTTCAACATAGGCCTCAGAGCGCTCCAAATATCCACTTGCACATACTACAAAAAGAGTGCTTCAAAGCTGCTCTCTGAAACGGAATGTTCAACTCTATGAGTTGAATGCAAACATCACAAAGACGTTTCTGAGAATGCTTCTGTCTAGATTTGATATGAAGATATTCCCTTTTCCAAGGAAATCTTCAAAACTATCCAAATGTCCACTTGCAGATTCAACAAAAAGTGTTTTTCAGAACTGCTCTATCAAAAGAAAGATCCACCGTTGTTAGCTGAGTTCACACATCACAAACAAGTTTATGAGAATGCTTCTGTCTAGTTTTTATTTGAAGATATTTCCTTTCTTACCATAGGCCTGAAAGCCCTTGAAATGTCCGTTTGCAGATACTACAGAAAGAGTTTTTCAAACATGCTCTATGAAAGGGAATGTTCAGTTCTTTGACGTGAATGCAAACATCACAAAGAAGTTCCTGAGAATGCTTCTCTCTAGATTTTATACGTAATCCCGTTTCAACGAAATCCTCAAAGCTATCCAAATATCCACTTTCAGATTCCACAAAAAGAGTGTTTCAAAACTGCTCTGTAAAAAGAAAGGTTCATCTCTGTTAGTTGAATACACACATCACAAACAAGTTTCTGAGAATGCTTCTGTCTAGTTTTTATGGGAAGATATTTCCTTTTTCATCATAGGCCTCAAAGCGCTCCAAATGTCCACTTCCAGATAGTGCAGAAAGAGTGTCTCAAACCTGGTATATAAAAGGGAACATTCTACTCTGTGACTTCAATGAAAACATCACAAAGCAGTTTCTGAGAATGCTTCCGTCTAGATTTTATATGAAGATATTCCCGTTTCCAAGGAACTCTTCCTAGCTATCTAAATATCAACTTGCAGATTCTACTAAAGGAATGTTTCCAAAATGCTGTATCCACACAAAGGTTCAACTCTGTTAATTGAGGACATACAGCACAAAGAAGTTTCTGAGAATGCTTCTGTCTAGATTTTATATGAAGATATCCCGTGTCCAACGAAATCCTCAAAGGTATCAAAATATCCACTTGCAGATTCTACAAAAAGAGTGCTTCAAAACTGCTCTGTCAAAAGGAAGGTTCAACTCTGTTACTTGAGTACACACATCACAAGGAAGTTTCTGAGAATGCTTCTGTCTGGTTTTTAGGAGAAGATATTTCCTTTTTCAACATAGGCCTCAAAGCGCTGCAAATGTCCACTTCCAAATGTTACAAAAAGAGTGTTTCAAACCTGCTGTATGAAGGGAAGTGTTCAACTCTATGAGTTGAATGCAAACATCACAGAGAAGTTTCTGAGAATGCTTCTGTCTTGATTTTATATGAAGATATTCCCGTTTCCAACGAAACCTTCAAAGCTATTCAAATATCCACTTGCAGATTCTACAAAAAGAGTGTTTCCAAAATGTTGTATCAAAAGAAAGGTTCAACTCTGTTAGTTGAGGACACACATCGCAAATAAGTTTCTGAGAATGCTTCTGTCTAGTTTTTATTTGAAGATATTTCCTTTCTCACCATAGGCCTGAAAGCGTTTGAAATGTCCGTTTGGAGATACTACAGAAAGAGTGTTTCAAACATGCTCTATGAAAGGGAATGTTCAGTTCTGTGACGTGAATGCAAACATCACAAAGAAGTTCCTGAGAATGCTTCTCTCTAGATTTTATATGTAATCCCGTTTCCAACGAAATCCTCAAAGCTATCCAAATATCCACTTTCAGATTCCACAAAAAGAGTGTTTCAAAACTGCTCTGTAAAAAGAAAGGTTCATCTCTGTTAGTTGAATACACACATCACAAACAAGTTTCTGAGAATGCTTCTGTCTAGTTTTTATGGGAAGATATTTCCTTTTTCATCATAGGCCTCAAAGCGCTGCAAATGTCCACTTCCAGGTAGTGCAGAAAGAGTGTCTCAAACCTGGTATATAACAGGGAACATTCTACTCTGTGACTTGAATGAAAACATCACAAAGCAGTTTCTGAGAATGCTTCCGTCTAGATTTTATATGAAGATATTCCCGTTTCCAACGAAACCTTCAAAGCTATCCGAATATCCACCTGCAGATTCTACAAAAAGAGTGTTTCCAAAATGCCATATCAAAACAAAGGTTCAACTCTGTTAGTTGAGAACACACATCGCAAATAAGTTTCTGAGAATGCTTCTGTCTAGTTTTTACTTGAAGATATTTCCTTTCTCACCATAGGCCTGAAAGCGCTTGAAACGTCAGCTTGCAGATACTACAGAAAGAGTGTTTCAAACCTGCTCTATGAAAGGGAATGTTCAGTCCTGTGACTTGAAGGCAAACATCACAAAGAAGTTCCTGAGAATGCTTCTCTCTAGGTTTTATATGTAATCCCGTTTCCAACGAAATCCTCAAAGCTATCCAAATATCCACTTTCAGATTCCACAAAAAGAGTGTTTCAAAACTGCTCTGTAAAAAGAAAGGTTCATCTCTGTTAGTTGAATACACACATCACAAACAAGTTTCTGAGAATGCTTCTGTCTAGTTTTTATGGGAAGATATTTCCTTTTTCAACATAGGCCTCAAAGCGCTCCAAATGTCCACTTCCAGGTAGTGCAGAAAGAGTGTTTCAAACCTGCTCTATAAAAGGGAATATTCAACTCTGTGACTTGAATGCAAACATCACAAAGCACTTTCTGAGAATGCTTCCGTCTAGATTTTATATGAAGATATTCCCGTTTCCAAGGAAATCTTCCTAGCTATCTAAATATCAACTTGCAGATTCTACTAAAGGAATGTTTCCAAAATGCTGTATCCACACAAAGGTTCAACTCTGTTAATTGAGGACATACAGCACAAAGAAGTTTCTGAGAATGCTTCTGTCTAGATTTTATATGAAGATATCCCGTGTCCAACGAAATCCTCAAAGGTATCAAAATATCCACTTGCAGATTCTACAAAAAGAGTGCTTCAAAACTGCTCTGTCAAAAGGAAGGTTCAACTCTGTTACTTGAGTACACACATCACAAGGAAGTTTCTGAGAATGCTTCTGTCTGGTTTTTAGGAGAAGATATTTCCTTTTTCATCATAGGCCTCAAAGCGCTGCAAATGTCCACTTCCAAATATTAGAAAAAGAGTGTTTCAAACCTGCTGTATGAAGGGAAGTGTTCAACTCTATGAGTTGAATGCAAACATCACAGAGAAGTTTCTGAGAATGCTTCTGTCTTGATTTTATATGAAGATATTCCCGTTTCCAACGAAACCTTCAAAGCTATCCAAATATCCACTTGCAGATTCCACAAAAAGAGTGTTTCCAAAATGTTGTATCAAAAGAAAGGTTCAACTCTGTTAGTTGAGGACACACATCGCAAATAAGTTTCTGAGAATGCTTCTGTCTAGTTTTTATTTGAAGATATTTCCTTTCTCACCATAGGCCTGAAAGCGTTTGAAATGTCCGTTTGCAGATA
The DNA here is from genome assembly GCF_000001405.40 of Homo sapiens. Taxonomy (NCBI): domain Eukaryota; kingdom Metazoa; phylum Chordata; class Mammalia; order Primates; family Hominidae; genus Homo; species Homo sapiens. Next base: position 44,057,171 of record NC_000009.12, on the reverse strand, counting down.
CTACAGAAAGAGTGTTTCAAACATGCTCTATGAAAGGGAATGTTCAGTTCTGTGACGTGAATGCAAACATCACAAAGAAGTTCCTGAGAATGCTTCTCTCTAGATTTTATATGTAATCCCGTTTCCAACGAAATCCTCAAAGCTATCCAAATATCCACTTTCAGATTCCACAAAAAGAGTGTTTCAAAACTGCTCTGTAAAAAGAAAGGTTCATCTCTGTTAGTTGAATACACACATCACAAACAAGTTTCTGAGAATGCTTCTGTCTAGTTTTTATGGGAAGATATTACCTTTTTCATCATAGGCCTCAAAGCGCTGCGAATGTCCACTTCCAAATATTACAAAAAGAGTGTTTCAAACCTGCTGTATGAAGGGAAGTGTTCAACTCTATGAGTTGAATGCAAACATCACAGAGAAGTTTCTGAGAATGCTTCTGTCTTGATTTTATATGAAGATATTCCCGTTTCCAACGAAACCTTCAAAGCTATTCAAATATCCACTTGCAGATTCTACAAAAAGAGTGTTTCCAAAATGTTGTATCAAAAGAAAGGTTCAACTCTGTTAGTTGAGGACACACATCGCAAATAAGTTTCTGAGAATGCTTCTGTCTAGTTTTTATTTGAAGATATTTCCTTTCTCACCATAGGCCTGAAAGCGCTTGGAATGTCCGTTTGCAGATACTACAGAAACAGTGTTTCAAACCGGCTCTATGAAAGGGAATGTTCAGTTCTGTGACGTGAATGCAAACATCACAAAAAAGTTCCTGAGAATGTTTCTCTCTAGATTTTATATGTAATCCCGTTTCCAACGAAATCCTCAAAGCTATCCAAATATCCACTTTCAGATTCCACAAAAAGAGTGTTTCAAAACTGCTCTGTAAAAAGAAAGGTTCATCTCTGTTAGTTGAATACACACATCACAAACAAGTTTCTGAGAATGCTTCTGTGTAGTTTTTATGGGAAGATATTTCCTTTTTCAACATAGGCCTCAAAGCGCTCCAAATGTCCACTTCCAGGTAGTGCAGAAAGAGTGTTTCAAACCTGCTCTATAAAAGGGAATATTCAACTCTGTGACTTGAATGCAAACATCACAAAGCACTTTCTGAGAATGCTTCCGTCTAGATTTTATATGAAGATATTCCCGTTTCCAACGAACCTTCAAAGCTATCCGAATATCCACCTGCAGATTCTACAAAAAGAGTGTTTCCAAAATGCCATATCAAAACAAAGGTTCAACTCTGTTAGTTGAGAACACACATCGCAAATAAGTTTCTGAGAATGCTCTGTCTAGTTTTTACTTGAAGATATTTCCTTTCTCACCATAGGCCTGAAAGCGCATGAAACGTCAGCTTGCAGATACTACAGAAAGAGTGTTTCAAACCTGCTCTATGAAAGGGAATGTTCAGTCCTGTGACTTGAAGGCAAACATCACAAAGAAGTTCCTGAGAATGCTCTCTCTCTAGGTTTTATATGTAATCCCGTTTCCAACGAAATCCTCAAAGCTATCCAAATATCCACTTTCAGATTCCACAAAAAGAGTGTTTCAAAACTGCTCTGTAAAAAGAAAGGTTCATCTCTGTTAGTTGAATACACACATCACAAACAAGTTTCTGAGAATGCTTCTGTCTAGTTTTTATGGGAAGTATATTTCCTTTTTCAACATAGGTCTCAAAGCGCTCCAAATGTCCACTTCCAGGTAGTGCAGAAAGAGTGTTTCAAACCTGCTCTATAAAAGGGAACATTCTACTCTGTGACTTGAATGAAGACATCACAAAGCACTTTCTGAGAATGCTTCCGTCTAGATTTTATATGAAGATATTCCCGTTTCCAAGGAAATCTTCCTAGCTATCTAAATATCAACTTGCAGATTCTACTAAAGGAATGTTTCCAAAATGCTGTATCCACACAAAGGTTCAACTCTGTTAATTGAGGACATACAGCACAAAGAAGTTTCTGAGAATGCTTCTGTCTAGATTTTATATGAAGATATCCCGTGTCCAACGAAATCCTCAAAGGTATCAAAATATCCACTTGCAGATTCTACAAAAAGAGTGCTTCAAAACTGCTCTGTCAAAAGGAAGGTTCAACTCTGTTACTTGAGTACACACATCACAAGGAAGTTTCTGAGAATGCTTCTGTCTGGTTTTTAGGAGAAGATATTTCCTTTTTCAACATAGGCCTCAAAGCGCTGCAAATGTCCACTTCCAAATATTAGAAAAAGAGTGTTTCAAACCTGCTGTATGAAGGGAAGTGTTCAACTCTATGAGTTGAATGCAAACATCACAGAGAAGTTTCTGAGAATGCTTCTGTCTTGATTTCATATGAAGATATTCCCGTTTCCAACGAAACCTTCAAAGCTATCCAAATATCCACTTGCAGATTCTACAAAAAGAGTGTTTCCAAAATGTTGTATCAAAAGAAAGGTTCAACTCTGTTAGTTGAGGACACACATCGCAAATAAGTTTCTGAGAATGCTTCTGTCTAGTTTTTATTTGAAGATATTTCCTTTCTCACCACAGGCCTGAAAGCGCTTAAAACGTCCGCTTGCAGATACTACAGAAAGAGTGTTTCAAACCTGCTCTATCAAAGGGAATGTTCAGTTCTGTGACTTGAATGCAAACATCACAAAGAAGTTCCTGAGAATGCTTCTCCCTAGATTTTATATGTAATCCCGTTTCCAACGAAATCCGCAAAGCTATCCAAATATCCACTTTCAGATTCCACAAAAAGAGTGTTTCAAAACTGCTCTGTAAAAAGAAAGGTTCATCTCTATTAGTTGAATACACACATCTCAAACCAGTTTCTGAGAATGCTTCTGTCTAGTTTTTATGGGAAGATATTACCTTTTTCATCATAGGCCTCAAAGCGCTGCAAATGTCCACTTCCAAATATTACAAAAAGAGTGTTTCAAACCTGCTGTATGAAGGGAAGTGTTCAACTCTATGAGTTGAATGCAAACATCACAGAGAAGTTTCTGAGAATGCTTCTGTCTTGATTTTATATGAAGATATTCCCGTTTCCAAAGAAACCTTCAAAGCTATCCAAATATCCACTTGCAGATTCTACAAAAAGAGTGTTTCCAAAATGTTGTATCAAAAGAAAGGTTCAACTCTGTTAGTTGAGGAAACACATCGCAAACAAGTTTCTGAGAATGCTTCTGTCTAGTTTTTATTTGAAGATATTTCCTTTCTCACCATAGGCCTGAAAGCGTTTGAAATGTCCGTTTGCAGATACTACAGAAAGAGTGTTTCAAACATGCTCTATGAAAGGGAATGTTCAGTTCTGTGACTTGAATGCAAACATCACAAAGAAGTTCCTGAGAATGCTTCTCTCTAGGTTTTATATGTAATCCCGTTTCCAACGAAATCCTCAAAGCTATCCAAATATCCACTTTCAGATTCCACAAAAAGAGTGTTTCAAAACTGCTCTGTAAAAAGAAAGGTTCATCTCTGTTAGTTGAATACACACATCACAAACAAGTTTCTGAGAATGCTTCTGTCTAGTTTTTATGGGAAGATATTTCCTTTTTCAACATAGGCCTCAAAGCGCTCCAAACGTGCACTTCCAGGTAGTGCAGAAAGAGTGTCTCAAACCTGGTATATAACAGGGAACATTCTACTCTGTGACTTGAATGAAAACATCACAAAGCAGTTTCTGAGAATGCTTCTGTCTTGATTTCATATGAAGATATTCCCGTTTCCAACGAAACCTTCAAAGCTATCCAAATATCCACTTGCAGATTCTACAAAAAGAGTGTTTCCAAAATGTTGTATCAAAAGAAAGGTTCAACTTTGTTAGTTGAGGACACACATCGCAAATAAGTTTCTGAGAATGCTTCTGTCTAGTTTTTATTTGAAGATATTTCCTTTCTCACCACAGGCCTGAAAGCGCTTAAAACGTCCGCTTGCAGATACTACAGAAAGAGTGTTTCAAACCTGCTCTATGAAAGGGAATGTTCAGTTCTGTGACTTGAATGCAAACATCACAAAGAAGTTCCTGAGAATGCTTCTCCCTAGATTTTATATGTAATCCCGTTTCCAACGAAATCCGCAAAGCTATCCAAATATCCACTTTCAGATTCCACAAAAAGAGTGTTTCAAAACTGCTCTGTAAAAAGAAAGGTTCATCTCTGTTAGTTGAATACACACATCAAAAACAAGTTTCTGAGAATGCTTCTGTCTAGTTTTTATGGGAAGATATTTCCTTTTTCATCATAGGCCTCAAAGCGCTGCAAATGTCCACTTCCAGGTAGTGCAGAAAGAGTGTCTCAAACCTCGTATATAACAGGGAACATTCTACTCTGTGACTTGAATGAAAACATCACAAAGCAGTTTCTGAGAATGCTTCCGTCTAGATTTTATATGAAGATATTCCCGTTTCCAACGAAACCTTCAAAGCTATCCGAATATCCACCTGCAGATTCTACAAAAAGAGTGTTTCCAAAATGCCATATCAAAACAAAGGTTCAACTCTGTTAGTTGAGAACACACATCGCAAATAAGTTTCTGAGAATGCTTCTGTCTAGTTTTTACTTGAAGATATTTCCTTTCTCACCATAGGCCTGAAAGCGCTTGAAACGTCAGCTTGCAGATACTACAGAAAGAGTGTTTCAAACCTGCTCTATGAAAGGGAATGTTCAGTTCTGTGACTTGAATGCAAACATCACAAAGAAGTTCCTGAGAATGCTTCTCTCTAGGTTTTATATGTAATCCCGTTTCCAACGAAATCCTCAAAGCTATCCAAATATCCACTTTCAGATTCCACAAAAAGAGTGTTTCAAAACTGCTCTGTAAAAAGAAAGGTTCATCTCTGTTAGTTGAATACACACATCACAAACAAGTTTCTGAGAATGCTTCTGTCTAGTTTTTATGGGAAGATATTTCCTTTTTCAACATAGGCCTCAAAGCGCTCCAAATGTCCACTTCCAGGTAGTGCAGAAAGAGTGTTTCAAACCTGCTCTATAAAAGGGAATATTCAACTCTGTGACTTGAATGCAAACATCACAAAGCACTTTCTGAGAATGCTTCCGTCTAGATTTTATATGAAGATATTCCCGTTTCCAAGGACATCTTCCTAGCTATCTAAATATCAACTTGCAGATTCTACTAAAGGAATGTTTCCAAAATGCTGTATCCACACAAAGGTTCAACTCTGTTAATTGAGGACATACAGCACAAAGAAGTTTCTGAGAATGCTTCTGTCTAGATTTTATATGAAGATATCCCGTGTCCAACGAAATCCTCAAAGGTATCAAAATATCCACTTGCAGATTCTACAAAAAGAGTGCTTCAAAACTGCTCTGTCAAAAGGAAGGTTCAACTCTGTTACTTGAGTACACACATCACAAGGAAGTTTCTGAGAATGCTTCTGTCTGGTTTTTAGGAGAAGATATTTCCTTTTTCAACATAGGCCTCAAAGCGCTGAAAATGTCCACTTCCAAATATTAGAAAAAGAGTGTTTCAAACCTGCTGTATGAAGGGAAGTGTTCAACTCTATGAGTTGAATGCAAACATCACAGAGAAGTTTCTGAGAATGCTTCTGTCTTGATTTCATATGAAGATATTCCCGTTTCCAACGAAACCTTCAAAGCTATCCAAATATCCACTTGCAGATTCTACAAAAAGAGTGTTTCCAAAATGTTGTATCAAAAGAAAGGTTCAACTCTGTTAGTTGAGGACACACATCGCAAATAAGTTTCTGAGAATGCTTCTGTCTAGTTTTTATTTGAAGATATTTCCTTTCTCACCACAGGCCTGAAAGCGCTTAAAACGTCCGCTTGCAGATACTACAGAAAGAGTGTTTCAAACATGCTCTATGAAAGGGAATGTTCAGTTCTGTGACTTGAATGCAAACATCACAAAGAAGTTCCTGAGAATGCTTCTCCCTAGATTTTATATGTAATCCCGTTTCCAACGAAATCCGCAAAGCTATCCAAATATCCACTTTCAGATTCCACAAAAAGAGTGTTTCAAAACTGCTCTGTAAAAAGAAAGGTTCATCTCTGTTAGTTGAATACACACATCACAAACAAGTTTCTGAGAATGCTTCTGTCTAGTTTTTATGGGAAGATATTTCCTTTTTCATCATAGGCCTCAAAGCGCTGAAAATGTCCACTTCCAAATATTACAAAGAGAGTGTTTCAATCCTGCTGTATGAAGGGAAGTGTTCAACTCTATGAGTTGAATGCAAACATCACAGAGAAGTTTCTGAGAATGCTTCTCCCTAGATTTTACATGTAATCCCGTTTCCAACGAAATCCGCAAAGCTATCCAAATATCCACTTTCAGATTCCACAAAAAGAGTGTTTCAAAACTGCTCTGTAAAAAGAAAGGTTCATCTCTGTTAGTTGAATACACACATCACAAACAAGTTTCTGAGAATGCTTCTGTCTAGTTTTTATGGGAAGATATTTCCTTTTTCATCATAGGCCTCAAAGCGCTGCAAATGTCCACTTCCAAATATTACAAAAAGAGTGTTTCAAACCTGCTGTATGAAGGGAAGTGTTCAACTCTATGAGTTGAATGCAAACATCACAGAGAAGTTTCTGAGAATGCTTCCGTCTTGATTTTATATGAAGATATTCCCGTTTCCAACGAAACCTTCAAAGCTATTCAAATATCCACTTGCAGATTCTACAAAAAGAGTGTTTCCAAAATGTTGTATCAAAAGAAAGGTTCAACTCTGTTAGTTGAGGACACACATCGCAAATAAGTTTCTGAGAATGCTTCTGTCTAGTTTTTACTTGAAGATATTTCCTTTCTCACCATAGGCCTGAAAGCGTTTGAAATGTCCGTTTGCAGATACTACAGAAAGAGTGTTTCAAACATGCTCTATGAAAGGGAATGTTCAGTTCTGTGACGTGAATGCAAACATCACAAAGAAGTTCCTGAGAATGCTTCTCTCTAGATTTTATATGTAATCCCGTTTCCAACGAAATCCTCAAAGCTATCCAAATATCCACTTTCAGATTCCACAAAAAGAGTGTTTCAAAACTGCTCTGTAAAAAGAAAGGTTCATCTCTGTTAGTTGAATACACACATCACAAACAAGTTTCTGAGAATGCTTCTGTCTAGTTTTTATGGGAAGATATTTCCTTTTTCATCATAGGCCTCAAAGCGCTCCAAATGTCCACTTCCAGGTAGTGCAGAAAGAGTGTCTCAAACCTGGTATATAACAGGGAACATTCTACTCTGTGACTTGAATGAAAACATCACAAAGCAGTTTCTGAGAATGCTTCCGTCTAGATTTTATATGAAGATATTCCCGTTTCCAACGAAACCTTCAAAGCTATCCGAATATCCACCTGCAGATTCTACAAAAAGAGTGTTTCCAAAATGCCGTATCAAAACAAAGGTTCAACTCTGTTAGTTGAGAACACACATCGCAAATAAGTTTCTGAGAATGCTTCTGTCTAGTTTTTACTTGAAGATATTTCCTTTCTCACCATAGGCCTGAAAGCGCTTGAAACATCAGCTTGCAGATACTACAGAAAGAGTGTTTCAAACCTGCTCTATGAAAGGGAATGTTCAGTTCTGTGACTTGAATGCAAACATCACAAAGAAGTTCCTGAGAATGCTTCTCTCTAGGTTTTATATGTAATCCCGTTTCCAACGAAATCCTCAAAGCTATCCAAATATCCACTTTCAGATTCCACAAAAAGAGTGTTTCAAAACTGTTCTGTAAAAAGAAAGGTTCATCTCTGTTAGTTGAATACACACATCACAAACAAGTTTCTGAGAATGCTTCTGTCTAGTTTTTATGGGAAGATATTTCCTTTTTCAACATAGGCCTCAAAGCGCTCCAAATGTCCACTTCCAGGTAGTGCAGAAAGAGTGTTTCAAACCTGCTCTATAAAAGGGAATATTCAACTCTGTGACTTGAATGCAAACATCACAAAGCACTTTCTGAGAATGCTTCCGTCTAGATTTTATATGAAGATATTCCCGTTTCCAAGGAACTCTTCCTAGCTATCTAAATATCAACTTGCAGATTCTACTAAAGGAATGTTTCCAAAATGCTGTATCCACACAAAGGTTCAACTCTGTTAATTGAGGACATACAGCACAAAGAAGTTTCTGAGAATGCTTCTGTCTAGATTTTATATGAAGATATCCCGTGTCCAACGAAATCCTCAATGGTATCAAAATATCCACTTGCAGATTCTACAAAAAGAGTGCTTCAAAACTGCTCTGTCAAAAGGAAGGTTCAACTCTGTTACTTGAGTACACACATCACAAGGAAGTTTCTGAGAATGCTTCTGTCTGGTTTTTAGGAGAAGATATTTCCTTTTTCAACATAGGCCTCAAAGCGCTGCAAATGTCCACTTCCAAATATTACAAAAAGAGTGTTTCAAACCTGCTGTATGAAGGGAAGTGTTCAACTCTATGAGTTGAATGCAAACATCACAGAGAAGTTTCTGAGAATGCTTCTGTCTTGATTTCATATGAAGATATTCCCGTTTCCAACGAAACCTTCAAAGCTATCCAAATATCCACTTGCAGATTCTACAAAAAGAGTGTTTCCAAAATGTTGTATCAAAAGAAAGGTTCAACTCTGTTAGTTGAGGACACACATCGCAAATAAGTTTCTGAGAATGCTTCTGTCTAGTTTTTATTTGAAGATATTTCCTTTCTCACCACAGGCCTGAAAGCGCTTAAAACGTCCGCTTGCAGATACTACAGAAAGAGTGTTTCAAACATGCTCTATGAAAGGGAATGTTCAGTTCTGTGACTTGAATGCAAACATCACAAAGAAGTTCCTGAGAATGCTTCTAGTCTAGATTTTATATGAAGATATCCCGTGTCCAACGAAATCCTCAAAGGTATCAAAATATCCACTTGCAGATTCTACAAAAAGAGTGCTTCAAAACTGCTCTGTCAAAAGGAAGGTTCAACTCTGTTACTTGAGTACACACATCACAAGGAAGTTTCTGAGAATGCTTCTGTCTGGTTTTTAGGAGAAGATATTTCCTTTTTCAACATAGGCCTCAAAGCGCTGCAAATGTCCACTTCCAAATATTAGAAAAAGAGTGTTTCAAACCTGCTGTATGAAGGGAAGTGTTCAACTCTATGAGTTGAATGCAAACATCACAGAGAAGTTTCTGAGAATGCTTCTGTCTTGATTTCATATGAAGATATTCCCGTTTCCAACGAAACCTTCAAAGCTATCCAAATATCCACTTGCAGATTCTACAAAAAGAGTGTTTCCAAAATGTTGTATCAAAAGAAAGGTTCAACTCTGTTAGTTGAGGACACACATCGCAAATAAGTTTCTGAGAATGCTTCTGTCTAGTTTTTATTTGAAGATATTTCCTTTCTCACCACAGGCCTGAAAGCGCTTAAAACGTCCGCTTGCAGATACTACAGAAAGAGTGTTTCAAACCTGCTCTATGAAAGGGAATGTTCAGTTCTGTGACTTGAATGCAAACATCACAAAGAAGTTCCTGAGAATGCTTCTCTCTAGATTTTATATGTAATCCCGTTTCCAACGAAATCCTCAAAGCTATCCAAATATCCACTTTCAGATTCCACAAAAAGAGTGTTTCAAAACTGCTCTGTAAAAAGAAAGGTTCATCTCTGTTAGTTGAATACACACATCACAAACAAGTTTCTGAGAATGCTTCTGTCTAGTTTTTATGGGAAGATATTTCCTTTTTCAACATAGGCCTCAAAGCGCTCCAAATGTCCACTTCCAAGTAGTGCAGAAAGAGTGTTTCAAACCTGCTCTATAAAAGGGAATATTCAACTCTGTGACTTGAATGCAAACATCACAAAGCACTTTCTGCGAATGCTTCTGTCTTGATTTTATATGAAGATATTCCCGTTTCCAACGAAACCATCAAAGCTATTCAAATATCCACTTGCAGATTCTACAAAAAGAGTGTTTCCAAAATGTTGTATCAAAAGAAAGGTTCAACTCTGTTAGTTGAGGACACACATCGCAAATAAGTTTCTGAGAATGCTTCTGTCTAGTTTTTATTTGAAGATATTTCCTTTCTCACCATAGGCCTGAAAGCGTTTGAAATGTCCGTTTGCAGATACTACAGAAAGAGTGTTTCAAACATGCTCTATGAAAGGGAATGTTCAGTTCTGTGACGTGAATGCAAACATCACAAAGAAGTTCCTGAGAATGCTTCTCTCTAGGTTTTATATGTAATCCCGTTTCCAACGAAATCCTCAAAGCTATCCAAATATCCACTTTCAGATTCCACAAAAAGAGTGTTTCAAAACTGCTCTGTAAAAAGAAAGGTTCATCTCTGTTAGTTGAATACACACATCACAAACAAGTTTCTGAGAATGCTTCTGTCTAGTTTTTATGGGAAGATATTTCCTTTTTCAACATAGGCCTCAAAGCGCTCCAAACGTCCACTTCCATGTAGTGCAGAAAGAGTGTCTCAAACCTGGTATATAACAGGGAACATTCTACTCTGTGACTTGAATGCAAACATCACAAAGCAGTTTCTGAGAATGCTTCCGTCTAGATTTTATATGAAGATATTCCCGTTTCCAACGAAACCTTCAAAGCTATCCGAATATCCACCTGCAGATTCTACAAAAAGAGTGTTTCCAAAATGCCATATCAAAACAAAGGTTCAACTCTGTTAGTTGAGAACACACATCGCAAATAAGTTTCTGAGAATGCTTCTGTCTAGTTTTTACTTGAAGATATTTCCTTTCTCACCATAGGCCTGAAAGCGCTTGAAACGTCAGCTTGCAGATACTACAGAAAGAGTGTTTCAAACCTGCTCTATGAAAGGGAATGTTCAGTTCTGTGACTTGAATGCAAACATCACAAAGCAGTTCCTGAGAATGCTTCTCTCTAGGTTATATATGTAATCCCGTTTCCAACGAAATCCTCAAAGCTATCCAAATATCCACTTTCAGATTCCACAAAAAGAGTGTTTCAAAACTGCTCTGTAAAAAGAAAGGTTCATCTCTGTTAGTTGAATACACACATCACAAACAAGTTTCTGAGAATGCTTCTGTCTAGTTTTTATGGGAAGATATTTCCTTTTTCAACATAGGCCTCAAAGCGCTCCAAACGTCCACTTCCAGGTAGTGCAGAAAGAGTGTCTCAAACCTGGTATATAACAGGGAACATTCTACTCTGTGACTTGAATGAAAACATCACAAAGCAGTTTCTGAGAATGCTTCCGTCTAGATTTTATATGAAGATATTCCCGTTTCCAACGAAACCTTCAAAGCTATCCGAATATCCACCTGCAGATTCTACAAAAAGAGTGTTTCCAAAATGCCATATCAAAACAAAGGTTCAACTCTGTTAGTTGAGAACACACATCGCAAATAAGTTTCTGAGAATGCTTCTGTCTAGTTTTTACTTGAAGATATTTCCTTTCTCACCATAGGCCTGAAAGCGCTTGAAACGTCAGCTTGCAGATACTACAGAAAGAGTGTTTCAAACCTGCTCTATGAAAGGGAATGTTCAGTCCTGTGACTTGAAGGCAAACATCACAAAGAAGTTCCTGAGAATGCTTCTCTCTAGGTTTTATATGTAATCCCGTTTCCAACGAAATCCTCAAAGCTATCCAAATATCCACTTTCAGATTCCACAAAAAGAGTGTTTCAAAACTGCTCTGTAAAAAGAAAGGTTCATCTCTGTTAGTTGAATACACACATCACAAACAAGTTTCTGAGAATGCTTCTGTCTAGTTTTTATGGGAAGATATTTCCTTTTTCAACATAGGCCTCAAAGCGCTCCAAATGTCCACTTCCAGGTAGTGCAGAAAGAGTGTTTCAAACCTGCTCTATAAAAGGGAATATTCAACTCTGTGACTTGAATGCAAACATCACAAAGCACTTTCTGAGAATGCTTCCGGCTAGATTTTATATGAAGATATTCCCGTTTCCAAGGAAATCTTCCTAGCTATCTAAATATCAACTTGCAGATTCTACTAAAGGAATGTTTCCAAAATGCTGTATCCACACAAAGGTTCAACTCTGTTAATTGAGGACATACAGCACAAAGAAGTTTCTGAGAATGCTTCTGTCTAGATTTTATATGAAGATATCCCGTGTCCAACGAAATCCTCAAAGGTATCAAAATATCCACTTGCAGATTCTACAAAAAGAGTGCCTCAAAACTGCTCTGTCAAAAGGAAGGTTCAACTCTGTTACTTGAGTACACACATCACAAGGAAGTTTCTGAGAATGCTTCTGTCTGGTTTTTAGGAGAAGATATTTCCTTTTTCAACATAGGCCTCAAAGCGCTGCAAATGTCCACTTCCAAATATTACAAAAAGAGTGTTTCAAACCTGCTGTATGAAGGGAAGTGTTCAACTCTATGAGTTGAATGCAAACATCACAGAGAAGTTTCTGAGAATGCTTCTGTCTTGATTTTATATGAAGATATTCCCGTTTCCAACGAAACCTTCAAAGCTATGCAAATATCCACTTGCAGATTCTACAAAAAGAGTGTTTCCAAAATGTTGTATCAAAAGAAAGGTTCAACTCTGTTAGTTGAGGACACACATCGCAAATAAGTTTCTGAGAATGCTTCTGTCTAGTTTTTATTTGAAGATATTTCCTTTCTCACCATAGGCCTGAAAGCGTTTGAAATGTCCGTTTGCAGATACTACAGAAAGAGTGTTTCAAACATGCTCTATGAAAGGGAATGTTCAGTTCTGTGACGTGAATGCAAACATCACAAAGAAGTTCCTGAGAATGCTTCTCTCTAGATTTTATATGTAATCCCGTTTCCAACGAAATCCTCAAAGCTATCCAAATATCCACTTTCAGATTCCACAAAAAGAGTGTTTCAAAACTGCTCTGTAAAAAGAAAGGTTCATCTCTGTTAGTTGAATACACACATCACAAACAAGTTTCTGAGAATGCTTCTGTCTAGTTTTTATGGGAAGATATTTCCTTTTTCAACATAGGCCTCAAAGCGCTCCAAACGTCCACTTCCAGGTAGTGCAGAAAGAGTGTCTCAAACCTGGTGTATAACAGGGAACATTCTACTCTGTGACTTGAATGAAAACATCACAAAGCAGTTTCTGAGAATGCTTCTGTCTTGATTTCATATGAAGATATTCCCGTTTCCAACGAAACCTTCAAAGCTATCCAAATATCCACTTGCAGATTCTACAAAAAGAGTGTTTCCAAAATGTTGTATCAAAAGAAAGGTTCAACTCTGTTAGTTGAGGACACACATCGCAAATAAGTTTCTGAGAATGCTTCTGTCTAGTTTTTATTTGAAGATATTTCCTTTCTCACCACAGGCCTGAAAGCGCTTAAAACGTCCGCTTGCAGATACTACAGAAAGAGTGTTTCAAACATGCTCTATGAAAGGGAATGTTCAGTTCTGTGACGTGAATGCAAACATCACAAAGAAGTTCCTGAGAATGCTTCTCTCTAGATTTTATATGTAATCCCGTTTCCAACGAAATCCTCAAAGCTATCCAAATATCCACTTTCAGATTCCACAAAAAGAGTGTTTCAAAACTGCTCTGTAAAAAGAAAGGTTCATCTCTGTTAGTTGAATACACAAATCACAAACAAGTTTCTGAGAATGCTTCTGTCTAGTTTTTATGGGAAGATATTTCCTTTTTCATCATAGGCCTCAAAGCGCTGCAAATGTCCACTTCCAGGTAGTGCAGAAAGAGTGTCTCTAACCTGGTATATAACAGGGAACATTCTACTCTGTGACTTGAATGAAAACATCACAAAGCAGTTTCTGAGAATGCTTCCGTCTAGATTTTATATGAAGATATTCCCGTTTCCAACGAAACCTTCAAAGCTATCCGAATATCCACCTGCAGATTCTACAAAAAGAGTGTTTCCAAAATGCCATATCAAAACAAAGGTTCAACTCTGTTAGTTGAGAACACACATCGCAAATAAGTTTCTGAGAATGCTTCTGTCTGGTTTTCAGGAGAAGATATTCCCTTTTTCAACATAGGCCTCAAAGCGCTGCAAATGTCCACTTCCAAATATTACAAAAAGAGTGTTTCAAACCTGCTCTATGAAGGGAAGTGTTCACCTCTATGAGTTGAATGCAAACATCACAGAGAAGTTTCTGAAAATGCTTCTGTCTTGATTTTATATGAAGATATTCCCGTTTCCAACGAAACCTTCAAAGCTATCCAAATATCCACCTGCAGATCCTACAAAAAGAGTGTTTCCAAAATGCTGTATCAAAACAAAGGTTCAACTCTGTTAGTTGAGAACACACATCGCAAATAAGTTTCTGAGAATGCTTCTGTCTAGTTTTTATTTGAAGATATTTCCTTTTTCACCGCAGGCCTGAAAGCGCTTGAAACGTCCGGTTGCAGATACTACAGAAAGAGTGTTTCAAACCGGCTCTATGAAAGGGAATGTTCAGTTCTGTGACTTGAATGCAAACATCACAAAGAAGTTCCTGAGAATGCTTCTCCCTAGATTTTATATGTAATCCCGTTTCCAACGAAATCCGCAAAGCTATCCAAATATCCACTTTCAGATTCCACAAAAAGAGTGTTTCAAAACTACTCTGTAAAAAGAAAGGTTCATCTCTGTTAGTTGAATACACACATCAGAAACAAGTTTCTGAGAATGCTTCTGTCTAGTTTTTATGGGAAGATATTTCCTTTTTCAACATAGGCCTCAAAGCGCTCCAAATGTCCACTTCCAGATAGTGCAGAAAGAGTGTCTCAAACCTGGTATATAAAAGGGAACATTCTACACTGTGACTTGAATGAAAACATCACAAAGCACTTTCTGAGAATGCTTCTGTCTTGATTTTATATGAAGATATTCCCGTTTCCAACGAAACCTTCAAAGCTATTCAAATATCCACTTGCAGATTCTACAAAAAGAGTGTTTCCAAAATGTTGTATCAAAAGAAAGATTCAACTCTGTTAGTTGAGGACACACATCGCAAATAAGTTTCTGAGAATGCTTCTGTCTAGTTTTTACTTGAAGATATTTCCTTTCTCACCATAGGCCTGAAAGCGCTTGAAACGTCAGCTTGCAGATACTACAGAAAGAGTGTTTCAAACCTGCTCTATGAAAGGGAATGTTCAGTTCTGTGACGTGAATGCAAACATCACAAAGAAGTTCCTGAGAATGCTTCTCTCTAGGTTTTATATGTAATCCCGTTTCCAACGAAATCCTCAAAGCTATCCAAATATCCACTTTCAGATTCCACAAAAAGAGTGTTTCAAAACTGCTCTGTAAAAAGAAAGGTTCATCTCTGTTAGTTGAATACACACATCACAAACAAGTTTCTGAGAATGCTTCTGTCTAGTTTTTATGGGAAGATATTTCCTTTTTCAACATAGGTCTCAAAGCGCTCCAAATGTCCACTTCCAGGTAGTGCAGAAAGAGTGTTTCAAACCTGCTCTATAAAAGGGAACATTCTACTCTGTGACTTGAATGAAGACATCACAAAGCACTTTCTGAGAATGCTTCCGTCTAGATTTTATATGAAGATATTCCCGTTTCCAAGGAAATCTTCCTAGCTATCTAAATATCAACTTGCAGATTCTACTAAAGGAATGTTTCCAAAATGCTGTATCCACACAAAGGTTCAACTCTGTTAATTGAGGACATACAGCACAAAGAAGTTTCTGAGAATGCTTCTGTCTAGATTTTATATGAAGATATCCCGTTTCCAAAGAAATCCTCAAAGGTATCCAAATATCTACTTCCAGATTCTACAAAAAGACTGTTTCAAAACGGCTCTGTCCAAAGGAAGGTTCAACTCTGTTACTTGAGTACACACATCACAAGGAAGTTTCTGAGAATGCTTCTGTCTGGTTTTTAGGAGAAGATATTTCCTTTTTCAACATAGGCCTCAAAGCGCTGCAAATGTCCACTTCCAAATATTACAAAAAGAGTGTTTCAAACCTGCTCTATGAAGGGAAGTGTTCAACTCTATGAGTTGAATGCAAACATCACAGAGAAGTTTCTGAGAATGCTTCTGTCTTGATTTTATATGAAGATATTCCCGTTTCCAACGAAACCTTCAAAGCTATCAAAATATCCACTTGCAGATTCTACAAAAAGAGTGTTTCCAAAATGTTGTATCAAAACAAAGGTTCAACTCTGTTAGTTGAGAACACACATCGCAAATAAGTTTCTGAGAATGCTTCTGTCTAGTTTTTACTTGAAGATATTTCCTTTCTCACCATAGGCCTGAAAGCGCTTGAAACGTCAGCTTGCAGATACTACAGAAAGAGTGTTTCAAACCTGCTCTATGAAAGGGAATGTTCAGTCCTGTGACTTGAAGGCAAACATCACAAAGAAGTTCCTGAGAATGCTTCTCTCTAGGTTTTATATGTAATCCCGTTTCCAACGAAATCCTCAAAGCTATCCAAATATCCACTTTCAGATTCCACAAAAAGAGTGTTTCAAAACTGCTCTGTAAAAAGAAAGGTTCATCTCTGTTAGTTGAATACACACATCACAAACAAGTTTCTGAGAATGCTTCTGTCTAGTTTTTATGGGAAGATATTTCGTTTTTCAACATAGGCCTCAAAGCGCTCCAAATGTCCACTTCCAGGTAGTGCAGAAAGAGTGTTTCAAACCTGCTCTATAAAAGGGAATATTCAACTCTGTGACTTGAATGCAAACATCACAAAGCACTTTCTGAGAATGCTTCCGTCTAGATTTTATATGAAGATATTCCCGTTTCCAACGAAACCTTCAAAGCTATCCGAATATCCACCTGCAGATTATACAAAAAGAGTGTTTCCAAAATGCCGTATCAAAACAAAGGTTCAACTCTGTTAGTTGAGAACACACATGGCAAATAAGTTTCTGAGAATGCTTCTGTCTTGTTTTTACTTGAAGATATTTCCTTTCTCACCATAGGCCTGAAAGCGCTTGAAACGTCAGCTTGCAGATACTACAGAAAGAGTGTTTCAAACCTGCTCTATGAAAGGGAATGTTCAGTTCTGTGACTTGAATGCAAACATCACAAAGCAGTTCCTGAGAATGCTTCTCTCTAGATTTTATATGTAATCCCGTTTCCAACGAAATCCTCAAAGCTATCCAAATATCCACTTTCAGATTCCACAAAAAGAGTGTTTCAAAACTGCTCTGTAAAAAGAAATGTTCATCTCTGTTAGTTGAATACACACATCACAAACAAGTTTCTGAGAATGCTTCTGTCTAGTTTTTATGGGAAGATATTTCCTTTTTCAACATAGGCCTCAAAGCGCTCCAAACGTCCACTTCCAGGTAGTGCAGAAAGAGTGTCTCAAACCTGGTATATAACAGGGAACATTCTACTCTGTGACTTGAATGAAAACATCACAAAGCAGTTTCTGAGAATGCTTCCGTCTAGATTTTATATGAAGATATTCCCGTTTCCAACGAAACCTTCAAAGCTATCCGAATATCCACCTGCAGATTCTACAAAAAGAGTGTTTCCAAAATGCCGTATCAAAACAAAGGTTCAACTCTGTTAGTTGAGAACACACATGGCAAATAAGTTTCTGAGAATGCTTCTGTCTAGTTTTTACTTGAAGATATTTCCTTTCTCACCATAGGCCTGAAAGCGCTTGAAACGTCAGCTTGCAGATACTACAGAAAGAGTGTTTCAAACCTGCTCTATGAAAGGGAATGTTCAGTTCTGTGACTTGAATGCAAACATCACAAAGAAGTTCCTGAGAATGCTTCTCCCTAGATTTTATATGTAATCCCGTTTCCAACGAAATCCGCAAAGCTATCCAAATATCCACTTTCAGATTCCACAAAAACAGTGTTTCAAAACTGCTCTGTAAAAACAAAGGTTCATCTCTGTTAGTTGAATACACACATCACAAACAAGTTTCTGAGAATGCTTCTGTCTAGTTTTTATGGGAAGATATTACCTTTTTCATCATAGGCCTCAAAGCGCTGCAAAAGTCCACTTCCAAATATTACAAAAAGAGTGTTTCAAACCTGCTGTATGAAGGGAAGTGTTCAACTCTATGAGTTGAATGCAAACATCACAGAGAAGTTTCTGAGAATGCTTCTGTCTTGATTTTATATGAAGATATTCCCGTTTCCAACGAAACCTTCAAAGCTATTCAAATATCCACTTGCAGATTCTACAAAAAGAGTGTTTCCAAAATGTTGTATCAAAAGAAAGGTTCAACTCTGTTAGTTGAGGACACACATCGCAAATAAGTTTCTGAGAATGCTTCTGTCTAGTTTTTACTTGAAGATATTTCCTTTCTCACCATAGGCCTGAAAGCGTTTGAAATGTCCGTTTGCAGATACTACAGAAAGAGTGTTTCAAACATGCTCTATGAAAGGGAATGTTCAGTTCTGTGACGTGATTGCAAACATCACAAAGAAGTTCCTGAGAATGCTCTCTAGATTTTATATGTAATCCCGTTTCCAACGAAATCCTCAAAGCTATCCAAATATCCACTTTCAGATTCCACAAAAAGAGTGTTTCAAAACTGCTCTGTAAAAAGAAAGGTTCATCTCTGTTAGTTGAATACACACATCACAAACAAGTTTCTGAGAATGCTTCTGTCTAGTTTTTATGGGAAGATATTTCGTTTTTCAACATAGGCCTCAAAGCGCTCCAAACGTCCACTTCCGGGTAGTGCAGAAAGAGTGTCTCAAACCTGGTATATAACAGGGAACATTCTACTCTGTGACTTGAATGAAAACATCACAAAGCAGTTTCTGAGAATGCTTCCGTCTAGATTTTATATGAAGATATTCCCGTTTCCAACGAAACCTTCAAAGCTATCCGAATATCCACCTGCAGATTCTACAAAAAGAGTGTTTCCAAAATGCCGTATCAAAACAAAGGTTCAACTCTGTTAGTTGAGAACACACATGGCAAATAAGTTTCTGAGAATGCTTCTGTCTAGTTTTTACTTGAAGATATTTCCTTTCTCACCATAGGCCTGAAAGCGCTTGAAACGTCAGCTTGCAGATACTACAGAAAGAGTGTTTCAAACCTGCTCTATGAAAGGGAATGTTCAGTCCTGTGACTTGAAGGGAAACATCACAAAGAAGTTCCTGAGAATGCTTCTCTCTAGGTTTTATATGTAATCCCGTTTCCAACGAAATCCTCAAAGCTATCCAAATATCCACTTTCAGATTCCACAAAAAGAGTGTTTCAAAACTGCTCTGTAAAAAGAAAGGTTCATCTCTGTTAGTTGAATACACACATCACAAACAAGTTTCTGAGAATGCTTCTGTCTAGTTTTTATGGGAAGATATTTCCTTTTTCAACATAGGCCTCAAAGCGCTCCAAATGTCCACTTCCAGGTAGTGCAGAAAGAGTGTTTCAAACCTGCTCTATAAAAGGGAATATTCAACTCTGTGACTTGAATGCAAACATCACAAAGCACTTTCTGAGAATGCTTCCGTCTAGATTTTATATGAAGATATTCCCGTTTCCAAGGAAATCTTCCTAGCTATCTAAATATCAACTTGCAGATTCTACTAAAGGAATGTTTCCAAAATGCTGTATCCACACAAAGGTTCAACTCTGTTAATTGAGGACATACAGCACAAAGAAGTTTCTGAGAATGCTTCTGTCTAGATTTTATATGAAGATATCCCGTGTCCAACGAAATCCTCAAAGGTATCAAAATATCCACTTGCAGATTCTACAAAAAGAGTGCTTCAAAACTGCTCTGTCAAAAGGAAGGTTCAACTCTGTTACTTGAGTACACACATCACAAGGAAGTTTCTGAGAATGCTTCTGTCTGGTTTTTAGGAGAAGATATTTCCTTTTTCAACATAGGCCTCAAAGCGCTGCAAATGTCCACTTCCAAATATTACAAAAAGAGTGTTTCAAACCTGCTGTATGAAGGGAAGTGTTCAACTCTATGAGTTGAATGCAAACATCACAGAGAAGTTTCTGAGAATGCTTCTGTCTTGATTTCATATGAAGATATTCCCGTTTCCAACGAAACCTTCAAAGCTATCCAAATATCCACTTGCAGATTCTACAAAAAGAGTGTTTCCAAAATGTTGTATCAAAAGAAAGGTTCAACTCTGTTAGTTGAGGACACACATCGCAAATAAGTTTCTGAGAATGCTTCTGTCTAGTTTTTATTTGAAGATATTTCTTTTCTCACCACAGGCCTGAAAGCGCTTAAAACGTCCGCTTGCAGATACTACAGAAAGAGTGTTTCAAACCTGCTCTATGAAAGGGAATGTTCAGTTCTGTGACTTGAATGCAAACATCACAAAGAAGTTCCTGAGAATGCTTCTAGTCTAGATTTTATATGAAGATATCCCGTGTCCAACGAAATCCTCAAAGGTATCAAAATATCCACTTGCAGATTCTACAAAAAGAGTGCTTCAAAACTGCTCTGTCAAAAGGAAGGTTCAACTCTGTTACTTGAGTACACACATCACAAGGAAGTTTCTGAGAATGCTTCTGTCTGGTTTTTAGGAGAAGATATCTCCTTTTTCACCATAGGCTTAAAAGCGCTGCCAATGTCCACTTCCAAATATTACAAAAAGAGTATTTCAAACCAGCTCTATGAAAGGAAGTGTTCAACTCTATGAGTTGAATGCAAACATCACAGAGAAGTTTCTGAGAATGCTTCTGTCTTGATTTTATATGAAGATATTCCCGTTTCCAAAGAAACCTTCAAAGCTATCCAAATATCCACCTGCAGATCCTACAAAAAGAGTGTTTCCAAAATGCTGTATCAAAACGAAGGTTCAACTCTGTTAGCTGAGAACACACATCGCAAATAAGTTTCTGAGAATGCTTCTGTCTAGTTTTTATTTGAAGATATTTCCTTTCTCACCACAGGCCTGAAAGCGCTTAAAACGTCCGCTTGCAGATACTACAGAAAGAGTGTTTCAAACCTGCTCTATGAAAGGGAATGTTCAGTTCTGTGACTTGAATGCAAACATCACAAAGAAGTTCCTGAGAATGCTTCTCCCTAGATTTTATATGTAATCCCGTTTATAACGAAATCCGCAAAGCTATCCAAATATCCACTTTCACATTCCACAAAAAGAGTGTTTCAAAACTGCTCTGTAAAAAGGAAGGTTCAACTCTGTTACTTGAGTACACACATCACAAGGAAGTTTCTGAGAATGCTTCTGTCTGGTTTTTAGGAGAAGATATTTCCTTTTTCAACATAGGCCTCAAAGCGCTGCAAATGTCCACTTCCAAATATTACAAAAAGAGTGTTTCAAACCTGCTGTATGAAGGGAAGTGTTCAACTCTATGAGTTGAATGCAAACATCACAGAGAAGTTTCTGAGAATGCTTCTGTCTTGATTTTATATGAAGATATTCCCGTTTCCAACGAAACCTTCAAAGCTATTCAAATATCCACTTGCAGATTCTACAAAAAGAGTGTTTCCAAAATGTTGTATCAAAAGAAAGGTTCAACTCTGTTAGTTGAGGACACACATCGCAAATAAGTTTCTGAGAATGCTTCTGTCTAGTTTTTATTTGAAGATATTTCCTTTCTCACCATAGGCCTGAAAGCGTATGAAATGTCCGTTTGCAAATACTACAGAAAGAGTGTTTCAAACATGCTCTATGAAAGGGAATGTTCAGTTCTGTGACTTGAATGCAAACATCACAAAGAAGTTCTTGAGAATGCTTCTCTCTAGATTTTATATGTAATCCCGTTTGCAACGAAATCCTCAAAGCTATCCAAATATCCACTTTCAGATTCCACAAAAAGAGTGTTTCAAAACTGCTCTGTGAAAAGAAAGGTTCATCTCTGTTAGTTGAATACACACATCACAAACAAGTTTCTGAGAATGCTTCTGTCTGGTTTTTAGGAGAAGATATTTCCTTTTTCAACAAAGGCCTCAAAGCGCTGCAAATGTCCACTTCCAAATATTAGAAAAAGAGTGTTTCAAACCTGCTGTATGAAGGGAAGTGTTCAACTCTATGAGTTGAATGCAAACATCACAGAGAAGTTTCTGAGAATGCTTCTGTCTTGATTTCATATGAAGATATTCCCGTTTCCAACGAAACCTTCAAAGCTATCCAAATATCCACTTGCAGATTCTACAAAAAGAGTGTTTCCAAAATGTTGTATCAAAAGAAAGGTTCAACTCTGTTAGTTGAGGACACACATCGCAAATAAGTTTCTGAGAATGCTTCTGTCTAGTTTTTATTTGAAGATATTTCCTTTCTCACCACAGGCCTGAAAGCGCTTAAAACGTCCGCTTGCAGATACTACAGAAAGAGTGTTTCAAACCTGCTCTATGAAAGGGAATGTTCAGTTCCTGTGACTTGAATGCAAACATCACAAAGAAGTTCCTGAGAATGCTTCTCCCTAGATTTTATATGTAATCCCGTTTCCAACGAAATCCGCAAAGCTATCCAAATATCCACTTTCAGATTCCACAAAAAGAGTGTTTCAAAACTGCTCTGTAAAAAGAAAGGTTCATCTCTGTTAGTTGAATACACACATCACAAACAAGTTTCTGAGAATGCTTCTGTCTAGTTTTTATGGGAAGATATTACCTTTTTCATCATAGGCCTCAAAGCGCTGCAAATGTCCACTTCCAAATATTACAAAAAGAGTGTTTGAAACCTGCTGTATGAAGGGAAGTGTTCAACTCTATGAGTTGAATGCAAACATCACAGAGAAGTTTCTGAGAATGCTTCTGTCTTGATTTTATATGAAGATATTCCCGTTTCCAACGAAACCTTCAAAGCTATTCAAATATCCACTTGCAGATTCTACAAAAAGAGTGTTTCCAAAATGTTGTATCAAAAGAAAGGTTCAACTCTGTTAGTTGAGGACACACATCGCAAATAAGTTTCTGAGAATGCTTCTGTCTAGTTTTTACTTGAAGATATTTCCTTTCTCACCATAGGCCTGAAAGCGTTTGAAATGTCCGTTTGCAGATACTACAGAAAGAGTGTTTCAAACATGCTCTATGAAAGGGAATGTTCAGTTCTGTGACGTGAATGCAAACATCACAAAGAATTTCCTGAGAATGCTTCTCTCTAGATTTTATATGTAATCCCGTTTCCAACGAAATCCTCAAAGCTATCCAAATATCCACTTTCAGATTCCACAAAAAGAGTGTTTCAAAACTGCTCTGTAAAAAGAAAGGTTCATCTCTGTTAGTTGAATACACACATCACAAACAAGTTTCTGAGAATGCTTCTGTCTAGTTTTTATGGGAAGATATTTCCTTTTTCAACATAGGCCTCAAAGCGCTCCAAACGTCCACTTCCGGGTAGTGCAGAAAGAGTGTCTCAAACCTGGTATATAACAGGGAACATTCTACTCTGTGACTTGAATGAAAACATCACAAAGCAGTTTCTGAGAATGCTTCCGTCTAGATTTTATATGAAGATATTCCCGTTTCCAACGAAACCTTCAAAGCTATCCGAATATCCACCTGCAGATTCTACAAAAAGAGTGTTTCCAAAATGCCGTATCAAAACAAAGGTTCAACTCTGTTAGTTGAGAACACACATGGCAAATAAGTTTCTGAGAATGCTTCTGTCTAGTTTTTACTTGAAGATATTTCCTTTCTCACCATAGGCCTGAAAGCGCTTGAAACGTCAGCTTGCAGATACTACAGAAAGAGTGTTTCAAACCTGCTCTATGAAAGGGAATGTTCAGTCCTGTGACTTGAAGGCAAACATCACAAAGAAGTTCCTGAGAATGCTTCTCTCTAGGTTTTATATGTAATCCCGTTTCCAACGAAATCCTCAAAGCTATCCAAATATCCACTTTCAGATTCCACAAAAAGAGTGTTTCAAAACTGCTCTGTAAAAAGAAAGGTTCATCTCTGTTAGTTGAATACACACATCACAAACAAGTTTCTGAGAATGCTTCTGTCTAGTTTTTATGGGAAGATATTTCCTTTTTCAACATAGGCCTCAAAGCGCTCCAAATGTCCACTTCCAGGTAGTGCAGAAAGAGTGTTTCAAACCTGCTCTATAAAAGGGAATATTCAACTCTGTGACTTGAATGCAAACATCACAAAGCACTTTCTGAGAATGCTTCCGTCTAGATTTTATATGAAGATATTCCCGTTTCCAAGGAAATCTTCCTAGCTATCTAAATATCAACTTGCAGATTCTACTAAAGGAATGTTTCCAAAATGCTGTATCCACACAAAGGTTCAACTCTGTTAATTGAGGACATAAAGCACAAAGAAGTTTCTGAGAATGCTTCTGTCTAGATTTTATATGAAGATATCCCGTGTCCAACGAAATCCTCAAAGGTATCAAAATATCCACTTGCAGATTCTACAAAAAGAGTGCTTCAAAACTGCTCTGTCAAAAGGAAGGTTCAACTCTGTTACTTGAGTACACACATCACAAGGAAGTTTCTGAGAATGCTTCTGTCTGGTTTTTAGGAGAAGATATTTCCTTTTTCAACATAGGCCTCAAAGCGCTGCAAATGTCCACTTCCAAATATTAGAAAAAGAGTGTTTCAAACCTGCTGTATGAAGGGAAGTGTTCAACTCTATGAGTTGAATGCAAACATCACAGAGAAGTTTCTGAGAATGCTTCTGTCTTGATTTCATATGAAGATATTCCCGTTTCCAACGAAACCTTCAAAGCTATCCAAATATCCACTTGCAGATTCTACAAAAAGAGTGTTTCCAAAATGTTGTATCAAAAGAAAGGTTCAACTCTGTTAGTTGAGGACACACATCGCAAATAAGTTTCTGAGAATGCTTCTGTCTAGTTTTTATTTGAAGATATTTCCTTTCTCACCACAGGCCTGAAAGCGCTTAAAACGTCCGCTTGCAGATACTACAGAAAGAGTGTTTCAAACCTGCTCTATGAAAGGGAATGTTCAGTTCTGTGACTTGAATGCAAACATCACAAAGAAGTTCCTGAGAATGCTTCTCCCTAGATTTTATATGTAATCCCGTTTCCAACGAAATCCGCAAAGCTATCCAAATATCCACTTTCAGATTCCACAAAAAGAGTGTTTCAAAACTGCTCTGTAAAAAGAAAGGTTCATCTCTGTTAGTTGAATACACACATCACAAACAAGTTTCTGAGAATGCTTCTGTCTAGTTTTTATGGGAAGATATTTCCTTTTTCATCATAGGCCTCAAAGCGCTGCAAATGTCCACTTCCAAATATTACAAAAAGAGTGTTTCAAACCTGCTGTATGAAGGGAAGTGTTCAACTCTATGAGTTGAATGCAAACATCACAGAGAAGTTTCTGAGAATGCTTCTGTCTTGATTTTATATGAAGATATTCCCGTTTCCAACGAAACCTTCAAAGCTATTCAAATATCCACTTGCAGATTCTACAAAAAGAGTGTTTCCAAAATGTTGTATCAAAAGAAAGGTTCAACTCTGTTAGTTGAGGACACACATCGCAAATAAGTTTCTGAGAATGCTTCTGTCTAGTTTTTACTTGAAGATATTTCCTTTCTCACCATAGGCCTGAAAGCGTTTGAAATGTCCGTTTGCAGATACTACAGAAAGAGTGTTTCAAACATGCTCTATGAAAGGGAATGTTCAGTTCTGTGACGTGAATGCAAACATCACAAAGAAGTTCCTGAGAATGCTTCTCTCTAGATTTTATATGTAATCCCGTTTCCAACGAAATCCTCAAAGCTATCCAAATATCCACTTTCAGATTCCACAAAAAGAGTGTTTCAAAACTGCTCTGTAAAAAGAAAGGTTCATCTCTGTTAGTTGAATACACACATCACAAACAAGTTTCTGAGAATGCTTCTGTCTAGTTTTTATGGGAAGATATTTCCTTTTTCAACATTGGCCTCAAAGCGCTCCAAACGTCCACTTCCGGGTAGTGCAGAAAGAGTGTCTCAAACCTGGTATATAACAGGGAACATTCAACTCTGTGACTTGAATGAAAACATCACAAAGCAGTTTCTGAGAATGCTTCCGTCTAGATTTTATATGAAGATATTCCCGTTTCCAACGAAACCTTCAAAGCTATCCGAATATCCACCTGCAGATTCTACAAAAAGAGTGTTTCCAAAATGCCGTATCAAAACAAAGGTTCAACTCTGTTAGTTGAGAACACACATGGCAAATAAGTTTCTGAGAATGCTTCTGTCTAGTTTTTACTTGAAGATATTTCCTTTCTCACCATAGGCCTGAAAGCGCTTGAAACGTCAGCTTGCAGATACTACAGAAAGAGTGTTTCAAACCTGCTCTATGAAAGGGAATGTTCAGTCCTGTGACTTGAAGGCAAACATCACAAAGAAGTTCCTGAGAATGCTTCTCTCTAGGTTTTATATGTAATCCCGTTTCCAACGAAATCCTCAAAGCTATCCAAATATCCACTTTCAGATTCCACAAAAAGAGTGTTTCAAAACTGCTCTGTAAAAAGAAAGGTTCATCTCTGTTAGTTGAATACACACATCACAAACAAGTTTCTGAGAATGCTTCTGTCTAGTTTTTATGGGAAGATATTTCCTTTTTCAACATAGGCCTCAAAGCGCTCCAAATGTCCACTTCCAGGTAGTGCAGAAAGAGTGTTTCAAACCTGCTCTATAAAAGGGAATATTCAACTCTGTGACTTGAATGCAAACATCACAAAGCAGTTTCTGAGAATGCTTCCGTCTAGATTTTATATGAAGATATTCCCGTTTCCAACGAAACCTTCAAAGCTATCCGAATATCCACCTGCAGATTCTACAAAAAGAGTGTTTCCAAAATGCCATATCAAAACAAAGGTTCAACTCTGTTAGTTGAGAACACACATCGCAAATAAGTTTCTGAGAATGCTTCTGTCTAGTTTTTACTTGAAGATATTTCCTTTCTCACCATAGGCCTGAAAGCGCTTGAAACGTCAGCTTGCAGATACTACAGAAAGAGTGTTTCAAACCTGCTCTATGAAAGGGAATGTTCAGTTCTGTGACTTGAATGCAAACATCACAAAGAAGTTCCTGAGAATGCTTCTCTCTAGGTTTTATATGTAATCCCGTTTCCAACGAAATCCTCAAAGCTATCCAAATATCCACTTTCAGATTCCACAAAAAGAGTGTTTCAAAACTGCTCTGTAAAAAGAAAGGTTCATCTCTGTTAGTTGAATACACACATCACAAACAAGTTTCTGAGAATGCTTCTGTCTATTTTCTATGGGAAGATATTTCCTTTTTCAACATAGGCCTCAAAGCGCTCCAAATGTCCACTTCCAGGTAGTGCACTGAGTGTTTCAAACCTGCTCTATAAAAGGGAACATTCTACTCTGTGACTTGAATGAAGACATCACAAAGCAGTTTCTGAGAATGCTTCCGTCTAGATTTTATATGAAGATATTCCCGTTTCCAAGGAAATCTTCCTAGCTATCTAAATATCAACTTGCAGATTCTACTAAAGGAATGTTTCCAAAATGCTGTATCCACACAAAGGTTCAACTCTGTTAATTGAGGACATACAGCACAAAGAAGTTTCTGAGAATGCTTCTGTCTAGATTTTATATGAAGATATCCCGTGTCCAACGAAATCCTCAAAGGTATCAAAATATCCACTTGCAGATTCTACAAAAAGAGTGCTTCAAAACTGCTCTGTCAAAAGGAAGGTTCAACTCTGTTACTTGAGTACACACATCACAAGGAAGTTTCTGAGAATGCTTCTGTCTGGTTTTTAGGAGAAGATATTTCCTTTTTCAACATAGGCCTCAAAGCGCTGCAAATGTCCACTTCCAAATATTACAAAAAGAGTGTTTCAAACCTGCTGTATGAAGGGAAGTGTTCAACTCTATGAGTTGAATGCAAACATCACAGAGAAGTTTCTGAGAATGCTTCTGTCTTGATTTCATATGAAGATATTCCCGTTTCCAACGAAACCTTCAAAGCTATCCAAATATCCACTTGCAGATTCTACAAAAAGAGTGTTTCCAAAATGTTGTATCAAAAGAAAGGTTCAACTCTGTTAGTTGAGGACACACATCGCAAATAAGTTTCTGAGAATGCTTCTGTCTAGTTTTTATTTGAAGATATTTCCTTTCTCACCACAGGCCTGAAAGCGCTTAAAACGTCCGCTTGCAGATACTACAGAAAGAGTGTTTCAAACCTGCTCTATGAAAGGGAATGTTCAGTTCTGTGACTTGAATGCAAACATCACAAAGAAGTTCCTGAGAGTGCTTCTCCCTAGATTTTATATGTAATCCCGTTTCCAACGAAATCCGCAAAGCTATCCAAATATCCACTTTCAGATTCCACAAAAAGAGTGTTTCAAAACTGCTCTGTAAAAAGAAAGGTTCATCTCTGTTAGTTGAATACACACATCACAAACAAGTTTCTGAGAATGCTTCTCTGTCTAGTTTTTATGGGAAGATATTTCCTTTTTCAACATAGGCCTCAAAGCGCTCCAAATGTCCACTTCCAGGTAGTGCAGAAAAAGTGTTTCAAACCTGCTCTATAAAAGGGAATATTCAACTCTGTGACTTGAATGCAAACATCACAAAGCACTTTCTGAGAATGCTTCCGTCTAGATTTTATATGAAGATATTCCCGTTTCCAAGGAAATCTTCCTAGCTATCTAAATATCAACTTGCAGATTCTACTAAAGGAATGTTTCCAAAATGCTGTATCCACACAAAGGTTCAACTCTGTTAATTGAGGACATACAGCACAAAGAAGTTTCTGAGAATGCTTCTGTCTAGATTTTATATGAAGATATCCCGTGTCCAACGAAATCCTCAAAGGTATCAAAATATCCACTTGCAGATTCTACAAAAAGAGTGCTTCAAAACTGCTCTGTCAAAAGGAAGGTTCAACTCTGTTACTTGAGTACACACATCACAAGGAAGTTTCTGAGAATGCTTCTGTCTGGTTTTTAGGAGAAGATATTTCCTTTTTCAACATAGGCCTCAAAGCGCTGCAAATGTCCACTTCCAAATATTACAAAAAGAGTGTTTCAAACCTGCTGTATGAAGGGAAGTGTTCAACTCTATGAGTTGAATGCAAACATCACAGAGAAGTTTCTGAGAATGCTTCTGTCTTGATTTTATATGAAGATATTCCCGTTTCCAAAGAAACCTTCACAGCTATCCAAATATCCACTTGCAGATTCTACAAAAAGAGTGTTTCCAAAATGTTGTATCCAAACAAAGGTTCAACTCTTTTAGTTGAGAACACACATCGCAAATAAGTTTCTGAGAATGCTTCTGTCTAGTTTTTATTTGAAGATATTTCCTTTCTCACCACAGGCCTGAAAGCGCTTAAAACGTCCGCTTGCAGATACTACAGAAAGAGTGTTTCAAACCTGCTCTATGAAAGGGAATGTTCAGTTCTGTGACTTGAATGCAAACATCACAAAGAAGTTCCTGAGAATGCTTCTCCCTAGATTTTATATGTAATCCCGTTTCCAACGAAATCCGCAAAGCTATCCAAATATCCACTTTCAGATTCCACAAAAAGAGTGTTTCAAAACTGCTCTGTAAAAAGAAAGGTTCATCTCTGTTAGTTGAATACACACATCACAAACAAGTTTCTGAGAATGCTTCTGTCTAGTTTTTATGGGAAGATATTACCTTTTTCATCATAGGCCTCAAAGCGCTGCAAATGTCCACTTCCAAATATTTCAAAAAGAGTGTTTCAAACCTGCTGTATGAAGGGAAGTGTTCAACTCTATGAGTTGAATGCAAACATCACAGAGAAGTTTCTGAGAATGCTTCTGTCTTCATTTTATATGAAGATATTCCCGTTTCCAACGAAATCTTCAAAGCTATCCAAATATCCACTTGCAGATTCCACAAAAAGAGTGTTTCCAAAATGTTGTATCAAAAGAAAGGTTCAACTCTGTTAGTTGAGGACACACATCGCAAATAAGTTTCTGAGAATGCTTCTGTCTAGTTTTTATTTGAAGATATTTCCTTTTTCACCACAGGCCTGAAAGCGCTTGAAACGTCCGCTTGCAGATACTACAGAAAGAGTGTTTCAAACCTGCTCTATGAAAGGGAATGTTCAGTTCTGTGACTTGAATGCAAACATCACAAAGAAGTTCCTGAGAATGCTTCTCTCTAGGTTTTATATGTAATCTCGTTTCCAACGAAATCCTCAAAGCTATCCAAATATCCACTTTCAGATTCCACAAAAAGAGTGTTTCAAAACTGCACTGTAATAAGAAAGGTTCATCCCTGTTAGTTGAATACACACATCACAAACAAGTTTCTGAGAATGCTTCTGTCTAGTTTTTATGGGAAGATATTTCCTTTTTCAACATAGGCCTCAAAGCGCTCCAAACGTCCACTTCCAGGTAGTGCAGAAAGAGTGTCTCAAACCTGGTATATAACAGGGAACATTCTACTCTGTGACTTGAATGAAAACATCACAAAGCAGTTTCTGAGAATGCTTCCGTCTAGATTTTATATGAAGATATTCCCGTTTCCAACGAAACCTTCAAAGCTATCCGAATATCCACCTGCAGATTCTACAAAAAGAGTGTTTCCAAAATGCCGTATCAAAACAAAGGTTCAACTCTGTTAGTTGAGAACACACATGGCAAATAAGTTTCTGAGAATGCTTCTGTCTAGTTTTTACTTGAAGATATTTCCTTTCTCACCATAGGCCTGAAAGCGCTTGAAACGTCAGCTTGCAGATAATACAGAAAGAGTGTTTCAAACCTGCTCTATGAAAGGGAATGTTCAGTTCTGTGACTTGAATGCAAACATCACAAAGAAGTTCCTGAGAATGCTTCTCTCTAGGTTTTATATGTAATCCCGTTTCCAACGAAATCCTCAAAGCTATCCAAATATCCACTTTCAGATTCCACAAAAAGAGTGTTTCAAAACTGCTCTGTAAAAAGAAAGGTTCATCTCTGTTAGTTGAATACACACATCACAAACAAGTTTCTGAGAATGCTTCTGTCTGGTTTTTAGGAGAAGATATTTCCTTTTTCAACATAGGTCTCAAAGCGCTGCAAATGTCCACTTCCAAATATTAGAAAAAGAGTGTTTCAAACCTGCTGTATGAAGGGAAGTGTTCAACTCTATGAGTTGAATGCAAACATCACAGAGAAGTTTCTGAGAATGCTTCTGTCTTGATTTCATATGAAGATATTCCCGTTTCCAACGAAACCTTCAAAGCTATCCAAATATCCACTTGCAGATTCTACAAAAAGAGTGTTTCCAAAATGTTGTATCAAAAGAAAGGTTCAACTCTGTTAGTTGAGGACACACATCGCAAATAAGTTTCTGAGAATGCTTCTGTCTAGTTTTTATTTGAAGATATTTCCTTTCTCACCACAGGCCTGAAAGCGCTTAAAACGTCCGCTTGCAGATACTACAGAAAGAGTGTTTCAAACCTGCTCTATGAAAGGGAATGTTCAGTTCTGTGACTTGAATGCAAACATCACAAAGAAGTTCCTGAGAATGCTTCTCCCTAGATTTTATATGTAATCCCGTTTCCAACGAAATCCGCAAAGCTATCCAAATATCCACTTTCAGATTCCACAAAAAGAGTGTTTCAAAACTGCTCTGTAAAAAGAAAGGTTCATCTCTGTTAGTTGAATACACACATCACAAACAAGTTTCTGAGAATGCTTCTGTCTAGTTTTTATGGGAAGATATTTCCTTTTTCATCATAGGCCTCAAAGCGCTGCAAATGTCCACTTCCAAATATTACAAAAAGAGTGTTTCAAACCTGCTGTATGAAGGGAAGTGTTCAACTCTATGAGTTGAATGCAAACATCACAGAGAAGTTTCTGAGAATGCTTCTGTCTTGATTTTATATGAAGATATTCCCGTTTCCAACGAAACCTTCAAAGCTATTCAAATATCCACTTGCAGATTCTACAAAAAGAGTGGTTCCAAAATGTTGTATCAAAAGAAAGGTTCAACTCTGATAGTTGAGGACACACATCGCAAATAAGTTTCTGAGAATGCTTCTGTCTAGTTTTTATTTGAAGATATTTCCTTTCTCACCATAGGCCTGAAAGCGTTTGAAATGTCCGTTTGCAGATACTACAGAAAGAGTGTTTCAAACATGCTCTATGAAAGGGAATGTTCAGTTCTGTGACGTGAATGCAAACATCACAAAGAAGTTCCTGAGAATGCTTCTCTCTAGGTTTTATATGTAATCCCGTTTCCAACGAAATCCTCAAAGCTATCCAAATATCCACTTTCAGATTCCACAAAAAGAGTGTTTCAAAACTGCTCTGTAAAAAGAAAGGTTCATCTCTGTTAGTTGAATACACACATCACAAACAAGTTTCTGAGAATGCTTCTGTCTAGTTTTTATGGGAAGATATTTCCTTTTTCATCATAGGCCTCAAAGCGCTGCAAATGTCCACTTCCAGGTAGTGCAGAAAGAGTGTCTGAAACCTGGTATATAACAGGGAAGATTCTACTCTGTGACTTGAATGAAAACATCACAAAGCAGTTTCTGAGAATGCTTCCGTCAAGATTTTATATGAAGATATTCCCGTTTCCAACGAAACCTTCAAAGCTATCCGAATATCCACCTGCAGATTCTACAAAAAGAGTGTTTCCAAAATGCCGTATCAAAACAAAGGTTCAACTCTGTTAGTTGAGAACACACATGGCAAATAAGTTTCTGAGAATGCTTCTGTCTAGTTTTTACTTGAAGATATTTCCTTTCTCACCATAGGCCTGAAAGCGCTTGAAACGTCAGCTTGCAGATACTACAGAAAGAGTGTTTCAAACCTGCTCTATGAAAGGGAATGTTCAGTCCTGTGACTTGAAGGCAAACATCACAAAGAAGTTCCTGAGAATGCTTCTCTCTAGGTTTTATATGTAATCCCGTTTCCAACGAAATCCTCAAAGCTATCCAAATATCCACTTTCAGATTCCACAAAAAGAGTGTTTCAAAACTGCTCTGTAAAAAGAAAGGTTCATCTCTGTTAGTTGAATACACACATCACAAACAAGTTTCTGAGAATGCTTCTGTCTAGTTTTTAGGGGAAGATATTTCCTTTTTCAACATAGGCCTCAAAGCGCTCCAAATGTCCACTTCCAGGTAGTGCAGAAAGAGTGTTTCAAACCTGCTCTATAAAAGGGAATATTCAACTCTGTGACTTGAATGCAAACATCACAAAGCACTTTCTGAGAATGCTTCCGTCTAGATTTTATATGAAGATATTCCCGTTTCCAAGGAAATCTTCCTAGCTATCTAAATATCAACTTGCAGATTCTACTAAAGGAATGTTTCCAAAATGCTGTATCCACACAAAGGTTCAACTCTGTTAATTGAGGACATACAGCACAAAGAAGTTTCTGAGAATGCTTCTGTCTAGATTTTATATGAAGATATCCCGTGTCCAACGAAATCCTCAAAGGTATCAAAATATCCACTTGCAGATTCTACAAAAAGAGTGCTTCAAAACTGCTCTGTCAAAAGGAAGGTTCAACTCTGTTACTTGAGTACACACATCACAAGGAAGTTTCTGAGAATGCTTCTGTCTGGTTTTTAGGAGAAGATATTTCCTTTTTCAACATAGGCCTCAAAGCGCTGCAAATGTCCACTTCCAAATATTAGAAAAAGAGTGTTTCAAACCTGCTGTATGAAGGGAAGTGTTCAACTCTATGAGTTGAATGCAAACATCACAGAGAAGTTTCTGAGAATGCTTCTGTCTTGATTTCATATGAAGATATTCCCGTTTCCAACGAAACCTTCAAAGCTATCCAAATATCCACTTGCAGATTCTACAAAAAGAGTGTTATCAAAATGTTGTATCAAAAGAAAGGTTCAACTCTGTTAGTTGAGGACACACATCGCAAATAAGTTTCTGAGAATGCTTCTGTCTAGTTTTTATTTGAAGATATTTCCTTTCTCACCACAGGCCTGAAAGCGCTTAAAACGTCCGCTTGCAGATACTACAGAAAGAGTGTTTCAAACCTGCTCTATGAAAGGGAATGTTCAGTTCTGTGACTTGAATGCAAACATCACAAAGAAGTTCCTGAGAATGCTTCTCCCTAGATTTTATATGTAATCCCGTTTCCAACGAAATCCGCAAAGCTATCCAAATATCCACTTTCAGATTCCACAAAAAGAGTGTTTCAAAACTGCTCTGTAAAAAGAAAGGTTCATCTCTGTTAGTTGAATACACACATCACAAACAAGTTTCTGAGAATGCTTCTGTCTAGTTGTTATGGGAAGATATTTCCTTTTTCATCATAGGCCTCAAAGCGCTGCAAATGTCCACTTCCAAATATTACAAAAAGAGTGTTTCAAACCTGCTGTATGAAGGTAAGTGTTCAACTCTATGAGTTGAATGCAAACATCACAGAGAAGTTTCTGAGAATGCTTCTGTCTTGATTTTATATGAAGATATTCCCGTTTCCAAAGAAACCTTCAAAGCTATCCAAATATCCACTTGCAGATTCTACAAAAAGAGTGTTTCCAAAATGTTGTATCAAAAGAAAGGTTCAACTCTGTTAGTTGAGGAAACACATCGCAAACAAGTTTCTGAGAATGCTTCTGTCTAGTTTTTATTTGAAGATATTTCCTTTCTCACCATAGGCCTGAAAGCGTTTGAAATGTCCGTTTGCAGATACTACAGAAAGAGTGTTTCAAACATGCTCTATGAAAGGGAATGTTCAGTTCTGTGACGTGAATGCAAACATCACAAAGAAGTTCCTGAGAATGCTTCTCTCTAGGTTTTATATGTAATCCCGTTTCCAACGAAATCCTCAAAGCTATCCAAATATCCACTTTCAGATTCCACAAAAAGAGTGTTTCAAAACTGCTCTGTAATAAGAAAGGTTCATCCCTGTTAGTTGAATACACACATCACAAACAAGTTTCTGAGAATGCTTCTGTCTAGTTTTTATGGGAAGATATTTCCTTTTTCAACATAGGCCTCAAAGCGCTCCAAACGTCCACTTCCAGGTAGTGCAGAAAGAGTGTCTCAAACCTGGTATATAACAGGGAACATTCTACTCTGTGACTTGAATGAAAACATCACAAAGCAGTTTCTGAGAATGCTTCCGTCTAGATTTTATATGAAGATATTCCCGTTTCCAACGAAACCTTCAAAGCTATCCGAATATCCACCTGCAGATTCTACAAAAAGAGTGTTTCCAAAATGCCGTATCAAAACAAAGGTTCAACTCTGTTAGTTGAGAACACACATGGCAAATAAGTTTCTGAGAATGCTTCTGTCTAGTTTTTATTTGAAGATATTTCCTTTCTCACCACAGGCCTGAAAGCGCTTAAAACGTCCGCTTGCAGATACTACAGAAAGAGTGTTTCAAACATGCTCTATGAAAGGGAATGTTCAGTTCTGTGACTTGAATGCAAACATCACAAAGAAGTTCCTGAGAATGCTTCTCTCTAGGTTTTATATGTAATCCCGTTTCCAACGAAATCCTCAAAGCTATCCAAATATCCACTTTCAGATTCCACAAAAAGAGTGTTTCAAAACTGCTCTGTAAAAAGAAAGGTTCATCTCTGTTAGTTGAATACACACATCACAAACAAGTTTCTGAGAATGCTTCTGTCTAGTTTTTATGGGAAGATATTTCCTTTTTCAACATTGGCCTCAAAGCGCTCCAAACGTCCACTTCCGGGTAGTGCAGAAAGAGTGTCTCAAACCTGGTATATAACAGGGAACATTCTACTCTGTGACTTGAATGAAAACATCACAAAGCAGTTTCTGAGAATGCTTCCGTCTAGATTTTATATGAAGATATTCCCGTTTCCAACGAAACCTTCAAAGCTATCCGAATATCCACCTGCAGATTCTACAAAAAGAGTGTTTCCAAAATGCCATATCAAAACAAAGGTTCAACTCTGTTAGTTGAGAACACACATCGCAAATAAGTTTCTGAGAATGCTTCTGTCTAGTTTTTACTTGAAGATATTTCCGTTCTCACCATAGGCCTGAAAGCGCTTGAAACGTCAGCTTGCAGATACTACAGAAAGAGTGTTTCAAACCTGCTCTATGAAAGGGAATATTCAGTTCTGTGACTTGAATGCAAACATCACAAAGAAGTTCCTGAGAATGCTTCTGTTTAGATTTTACATGAAGATATCCCGTGTCCAACGAAATCCTCAAAGGTATCAAAATATCCACTTGCAGATTCTACAAAAAGAGTGCTTCAAAACTGCTCCGTCAAAAGGAAGGTTCAACTCTGTTACTTGAGTACACACATCACAAGGAAGTTTCTGAGAATGCTTCTGTCTGGTTTTTAGGAGAAGATATTTCCTTTTTCAACATAGGCCTCAAAGCGCTGCAAATGTCCACTTCCAAATATTAGAAAAAGAGTGTTTCAAACCTGCTGTATGAAGGGAAGTGTTCAACTCTATGAGTTGAATGCAAACATCACAGAGAAGTTTCTGAGAATGCTTCTGTCTTGATTTCATATGAAGATATTCCCGTTTCCAACGAAACCTTCAAAGCTATCCAAATATCCACTTGCAGATTCTACAAAAAGAGTGTTTCCAAAATGTTGTATCAAAAGAAAGGTTCAACTCTGTTAGTTGAGGACACACATCGCAAATAAGTTTCTGAGAATGCTTCTGTCTAGTTTTTATTTGAAGATATTTCCTTTCTCACCACAGGCCTGAAAGCGTTTGAAATGTCCGTTTGCAGATACTACAGAAAGAGTGTTTCAAACATGCTCTATGAAAGGGAATGTTCAGTTCTGTGACGTGAATGCAAACATCACAAAGAAGTTCCTGAGAATGCTTCTCTCTAGATTTTATATGTAATCCCGTTTCCAACGAAATCCTCAAAGCTATCCAAATATCCACTTTCAGATTCCACAAAAAGAGTGTTTCAAAACTGCTCTGTAAAAAGAAAGGTTCATCTCTGTTAGTTGAATACACACATCACAAACAAGTTTCTGAGAATGCTTCTGTCTAGTTTGTATGGGAAGATATTTCCTTTTTCAACATAGGCCTCAAAGCGCTCCAAATGTCCACTTCCAGGTAGTGCAGAAAGAGTGTTTCAAACGTGCTGTATAAAAGGGAATATTCAACTCTGTGACTTGAATGCAAACATCACAAAGCACTTTCTGAGAATGCTTCCGTCTAGATTTTATATGAAGATATTCCCGTTTCCAACGAAACCTTCAAAGCTATCCGAATATCCACCTGCAGATTCTACAAAAAGAGTGTTTCCAAAATGCCGTATCAAAACAAAGGTTCAACTCTGTTAGTTGAGAACACACATGGCAAATAAGTTTCTGAGAACGCTTCTGTCTAGTTTTTACTTGAAGATATTTCCTTTCTCACCATAGGCCTGAAAGCGCTTGAAACGTCAGCTTGCAGATACTACAGAAAGAGTGTTTCAAACCTGCTCTATGAAAGGGAATGTTCAGTCCTGTGACTTGAAGGCAAACATCACAAAGAAGTTCCTGAGAATGCTTCTCTCTAGGTTTTATATGTAATCCCGTTTCCAACGAAATCCTCAAAGCTATCCAAATATCCACTTTCAGATTCCACAAAAAGAGTGTTTCAAAACTGCTCTGTAAAAAGAAAGGTTCATCTCTGTTAGTTGAATACACACATCACAAACAAGTTTCTGAGAATGCTTCTGTCTAGTTTTTATGGGAAGATATTTCCTTTTTCAACATAGGCCTCAAAGCGCTCCAAATGTCCACTTCCAGGTAGTGCAGAAAGAGTGTTTCAAACCTGCTCTATAAAAGGGAATATTCAACTCTGTGACTTGAATGCAAACATCACAAAGCACTTTCTGAGAATGCTTCCGTCTAGATTTTATATGAAGATATTCCCGTTTCCAACGAAACCTTCAAAGCTATCCGAATATCCACCTGCAGATTCTACAAAAAGAGTGTTTCCAAAATGCCATATCAAAACAAAGGTTCAACTCTGTTAGTTGAGAACACACATCGCAAATAAGTTTCTTGAGAATGCTTCTGTCTAGTTTTTATTTGAAGATATTTCCTTTCTCACCATAGGCCTGAAAGCGTTTGAAATGTCCGTTTGCAGATACTACAGAAAGAGTGTTTCAAACATGCTCTATGAAAGGGAATGTTCAGTTCTGTGACGTGAATGCAACCATCACAAAGAAGTTCCTGAGAATGCTTCTCTCTAGATTTTACATGTAATCCCGTTTCCAACGAAATCCTCAAAGCTATCCAAATATCCACTTTCAGATTCCACAAAAAGAGTGTTTCAAAACTGCTCTGTAAAAAGAAAGGTTCATCTCTGTTAGTTGAATACACACATCACAAACAAGTTTCTGAGAATGCTTCTGTCTAGTTTTTATGGGAAGATATTTCCTTTTTCAACATAGGCCTCAAAGCGCTCCAAATGTCCACTTCCGGGTAGTGCAGAAAGAGTGTTTCAAACCTGCTCTATAAAAGGGAACATTCTACTCTGTGACTTGAATGAAGACATCACAAAGCACTTTCTGAGAATGCTTCCGTCTAGATTTTATATGAAGATATTCCCGTTTCCAAGGAAATCTTCCTAGCTATCTAAATATCTACTTGCAGATTCTACTAAAGGAATGTTTCCAAAATGCTGTATCCACACAAAGGTTCAACTCTGTTAATTGAGGACATACAGCACAAAGAAGTTTCTGAGAATGCTTCTGTCTAGATTTTATATGAAGATATCCCGTGTCCAACGAAATCCTCAAAGGTATCAAAATATCCACTTGCAGATTCTACAAAAAGAGTGCTTCAAAACTGCTCTGTCAAAAGGAAGGTTCAACTCTGTTACTTGAGTACACACATCACAAGGAAGTTTCTGAGAATGCTTCTGTCTGGTTTTTAGGAGAAGATATTTCCTTTTTCAACATAGGCCTCAAAGCGCTGCAAATGTCCACTTCCAAATATTAGAAAAAGAGTGTTTCAAACCTGCTGTATGAAGGGAAGTGTTCAACTCTATGAGTTGAATGCAAACATCACAGAGAAGTTTCTGAGAATGCTTCTGTCTTGATTTCATATGAAGATATTCCCGTTTCCAACGAAACCTTCAAAGCTATCCAAATATCCACTTGCAGATTCTACAAAAAGAGTGTTTCCAAAATGTTGTATCAAAAGAAAGGTTCAACTCTGTTAGTTGAGGACACACATCGCAAATAAGTTTCTGAGAATGCTTCTGTCTAGTTTTTATTTGAAGATATTTCCTTTCTCACCACAGGCCTGAAAGCGCTTAAAACGTCCGCTTGCAGATACTACAGAAAGAGTGTTTCAAACCTGCTCTATGAAAGGGAATGTTCAGTTCTGTGACTTGAATGCAAACATCACAAAGAAGTTCCTGAGAATGCTTCTCCCTAGATTTTATATGTAATCCCGTTTCCAACGAAATCCGCAAAGCTATCCAAACATCCACTTTCAGATTCCACAAAAAGAGTGTTTCAAAACTGCTCTGTAAAAAGAAAGGTTCATCTCTGTTAGTTGAATACACACATCACAAACAAGTTTCTGAGAATGCTTCTGTCTAGTTTTTATGGGAAGATATTACCTTTTTCATCATAGGCCTCAAAGCGCTGCAAATGTCCACTTCCAAATATTACAAAAAGAGTGTTTCAAACCTGCTGTATGAAGGGAAGTGTTCAACTCTATGAGTTGAATGCAAACATCACAGAGAAGTTTCTGAGAATGCTTCTGTCTTGATTTTATATGAAGATATTCCCGTTTCCAACGAAACCTTCAAAGCTATCCAAATATCCACTTGCAGATTCTACAAAAAGAGTGTTTCCAAAATGTTGTATCAAAAGAAAGGTTCAACTCTGTTAGTTGAGGACACACATCGCAAATAAGTTTCTGAGAATGCTTCTGTCTAGTTTTTATTTGAAGATATTTCCTTTCTCACCATAGGCCTGAAAGCGTTTGAAATGTCCGTTTGCAGATACTACAGAAAGAGTGTTTCAAACATGCTCTATGAAAGGGAATGTTCAGTTCTGTGACTTGAATGCAAACATCACAAAGAAGTTCCTGAGAATGCTTCTGCCTAGATTTTATATGAAGATATCCCGTGTCCAACGAAATCCTCAAAGGTATCAAAATATCCACTTGCAGATTCTACAAAAAGAGTGCTTCAAAACTGCTCCGTCAAAAGGAAGGTTCAACTCTGTTATTTGAGTACACACATCACAAGGAAGTTTCTGAGAATGCT
The DNA here is from genome assembly GCF_000001405.40 of Homo sapiens. NCBI lineage: Eukaryota > Metazoa > Chordata > Mammalia > Primates > Hominidae > Homo > Homo sapiens. Next base: position 44,017,265 of record NC_000009.12, on the reverse strand, counting down.
TCTGTCTGGTTTTTAGGAGAAGATATTTCCTTTTTCAACATAGGCCTCAAAGCGCTGCAAATGTCCACTTCCAAATATTAGAAAAACAGTGTTTCAAACCTGCTGTATGAAGGGAAGTGTTCAACTCTATGAGTTGAATGCAAACATCACAGAGAAGTTTCTGAGAATGCTTCTGTCTTGATTTCATATGAAGATATTCCCGTTTCCAACGAAACCTTCAAAGCTATCCAAATATCCACTTGCAGATTCTACAAAAAGAGTGTTTCCAAAATGTTGTATCAAAAGAAAGGTTCAACTCTGTTAGTTGAGGACACACATCGCAAATAAGTTTCTGAGAATGCTTCTGTCTAGTTTTTATTTGAAGATATTTCCTTTCTCACCACAGGCCTGAAAGCGCTTAAAACGTCCGCTTGCAGATACTACAGAAAGAGTGTTTCAAACCTGCTCTATGAAAGGGAATGTTCAGTTCTGTGACTTGAATGCAAACATCACAAAGAAGTTCCTGAGAATGCTTCTCCCTAGATTTTATATGTAATCCCGTTTCCAACGAAATCCGCAAAGCTATCCAAATATCCACTTTCAGATTCCACAAAAAGAGTGTTTCAAAACTGCTCTGTAAAAAGAAAGGTTCATCTCTGTTAGTTGAATACACACATCACAAACAAGTTTCTGAGAATGCTTCTGTCTAGTTTTTATGGGAAGATATTACCTTTTTCATCATAGGCCTCAAAGCGCTGCAAATGTCCACTTCCAAATATTACAAAAAGAGTGTTTCAAACCTGCTGTATGAAGGGAAGTGTTCAACTCTATGAGTTGAATGCAAACATCACAGAGAAGTTTCTGAGAATGCTTCTGTCTTGATTTTATATGAAGATATTCCCGTTTCCAACGAAACCTTCAAAGCTATTCAAATATCCACTTGCTGATTCTACAAAAAGAGTGTTTCCAAAATGTTGTATCAAAAGAAAGGTTCAACTCTGTTATTTGAGGACACACATCGCAAATAAGTTTCTGAGAATGCTTCTGTCTAGTTTTTATTTGAAGATATTTCCTTTCTCACCATAGGCCTGAAAGCGTTTGAAATGTCCGCTTGCAGATACTACAGAAAGAGTGTTTCAAACATGCTCTATGAAAGGGAATGTTCAGTTCTGTGACGTGAATGCAAACATCACAAAGAAGTTCCTGAGAATGCTTCTCTCTAGATTTTATATGTAATCCCGTTTCCAACGAAATCCTCAAAGCTATCCAAATATCCACTTTCAGATTCCACAAAAAGAGTGTTTCAAAACTGCTCTGTAAAAAGAAAGGTTCATCTCTGTTAGTTGAATACACACATCACAAACAAGTTTCTGAGAATGCTTCTGTCTAGTTTTTATGGGAAGATATTTCCTTTTTCAACATAGGCCTCAAAGCGCTCCAAACGTCCACTTCCAGGTAGTGCAGAAAGAGTGTCTCAAACCTGGTATATAACAGGGAACATTCTACTCTGTGACTTGAATGAAAACATCACAAAGCAGTTTCTGAGAATGCTTCCGTCTAGATTTTATATGAAGATATTCCCGTTTCCAACGAAACCTTCAAAGCTATCCGAATATCCACCTGCAGATTCTACAAAAAGAGTGTTTCCAAAATGCCATATCAAAACAAAGGTTCAACTCTGTTAGTTGAGAACACACATCGCAAATAAGTTTCTGAGAATGCTTCTGTCTGGTTTTTAGGAGAAGATATTTCCTTTCTCAACATAGGCCTCAAAGCGCTGCAAATGTCCACTTCCAAATATTAGAAAAAGAGTGTTTCAAACCTGCTGTATGAAGGGAAGTGTTCAACTCTATGAGTTGAATGCAAACATCACAGAGAAGTTTCTGAGAATGCTTCTGTCTTGATTTCATATGAAGATATTCCCGTTTCCAACGAAACCTTCAAAGCTATCCAAATATCCACTTGCAGATTCTACAAAAAGAGTGTTTCCAAAATGTTGTATCAAAAGAAAGGTTCAACTCTGTTAGTTGAGGACACACATCGCAAATAAGTTTCTGAGAATGCTTCTGTCTAGTTTTTATTTGAAGATATTTCCTTTCTCACCACAGGCCTGAAAGCGCTTAAAACGTCCGCTTGCAGATACTACAGAAAGAGTGTTTCAAACCTGCTCTATGAAAGGGAATGTTCAGTTCTGTGACTTGAATGCAAACATCACAAAGAAGTTCCTGAGAATGCTTCTGTCTAGATTTTATATGAAGATATCCCGTTTCCAAAGAAATCCTCAAAGGTGTCCAAATATCTACTTCCAGATTCTACAAAAAGACTGTTTCAAAACGGCTCTGTCAAAGGTAAGGTTCAACTCTGTTACTTGAGTACACACATCACAAGGAAGTTTCTGAGAATGCTTCTGTCTGGTTTTTAGGAGAAGATATTTCCTTTTTCAACATAGGCCTCAAAGCGCTGCAAATGTCCACTTCCAAATATTACAAAAAGAGTGTTTCAAACCTGCTCTATGAAGGGAAGTGTTCAACTCTATGAGTTGAATGCAAACATCACAGAGAAGTTTCTGAGAATGCTTCTGTCTTGATTTTATATGAAGATATTCCCGTTTCCAACGAAACCTTCAAAGCTATCCAAATATCCACTTGCAGATTCTACACAAAGAGTGTTTCCAAAATGTTGTATCAAAACAAAGGTTCAACTCTGTTAGTTGAGGACACACATCACAAATAAGTTTCTGAGAATGCTTCTGTCTAGTTTTTATTTGAAGATATTTCCTTTCTTACCATAGGCCTGAAAGCGCTTGAAATGTCCGTTTGCAGATACTACAGAAAGAGTGTTTCAAACATGCTCTATGAAAGGGAATGTTCAGTTCTGTGACTTGAATGCAAACATCACAAAGAAGTTCCTGAGAATGCTTCTCTCTAGATCTTAAATGTAATCCCGTTTCCAACGAAATCCTCAAAGCTATCCAAATATCCACTTTCAGATTCCACAAAAAGAGTGTTTCAAAACTGCTCTGTAAAAAGAAAGGTTCATCTCTGTTAGTTGAATACACACATCACAAACAAGTTTCTGAGAATGCTTCTGTCTTGTTTTTATGGGAAGATATTTCCTTTTTCATCATAGGCCTCAAAGCGCTCCAAATGTCCACTTCCAGATAGTGCAGAAAGAGTGTCTCAAACCTGGTATATAAAAGGGAACATTCTACTCTGTGACTTGAATGAAAACATCACAAAGCAGTTTCTGAGAATGCTTCTGTCTTGATTTTATATGAAGATATTCCCGTTTCCAACGAAACCTTCAAAGCTATTCAAATATCAACTTGCTGATTCTACAAAAAGAGTGTTTCCAAAATGTTGTATCAAAAGAAAGGTTCAACTCTGTTAGTTGAGGACACACATCGCAAATAAGTTTCTGAGAATGCTTCTGTCTAGTTTTTATTTGAAGATATTTCCTTTCTCACCATAGGCCTGAAAGCGTTTGAAATGTCCGTTTGCAGATACTACAGAAAGAGTGTTTCAAACATGCTCTATGAAAGGGAATGTTCAGTTCTGTGACGTGAATGCAAACATCACAAAGAAGTTCCTGAGAATGCTTCTCTCTAGATTTTATATGTAATCCCGTTTCCAACGAAATCCTCAAAGCTATCCAAATATCCACTTTCAGATTCCACAAAAAGAGTGTTTCAAAACTGCTCTGTAAAAAGAAAGGTTCATCTCTGTTAGTTGAATACACACATCACAAACAAGTTTCTGAGAATGCTTCTGTCTAGTTTTTATGGGAAGATATTTCCTTTTTCATCATAGGCCTCAAAGCGCTCCAAATGTCCACTTCCAGGTAGTGCAGAAAGAGTGTCTCAAACCTGGTATATAACAGGGAACATTCTACTCTGTGACTTGAATGAAAACATCACAAAGCAGTTTCTGAGAATGCTTCCGTCTAGATTTTATATGAAGATATTCCCGTTTCCAACGAAACCTTCAAAGCTATCCGAATATCCACCTGCAGATTCTACAAAAAGAGTGTTTCCAAAATGCCATATCAAAACAAAGGTTCAACTCTGTTAGTTGAGAACACACATCGCAAATAAGTTTCTGAGAATGCTTCTGTCTGGTTTTTAGGAGAAGATATCTCCTTTTTCACCATAGGCTTCAAAGCGCTGCCAATGTCCACTTCCAAATATTACAAAAAGAGTATTTCAAACCAGCTCTATGAAAGGAAGTGTTCAACTCTATGAGTTGAATGCAAACATCACAGAGAAGTTTCTGAGAATGCTTCTGTGTTGATTTTATATGAAGATATTCCCGTTTCCAACGAAACCTTCAAATCTATCCAAATATCCACCTGCAGATCCTACAAAAAGAGTGTTTCCAAAATGCTGTATCAAAACAAAGGTTCAACTCTGTTAGTTGAGAACACACATCGCAAATAAGTTTCTGAGAATGCTTCTGTCTAGTTTTTATTTGAAGATATTTCCCTTTTCACCACAGGCCTGAAAGCGCTTGAAACGTCCGCTTTCAGATACTACAGAAAGAGTGTTTCAAACCTGCTCTATGAAAGGGAATGTTCAGTTCTGTGACTTCAATGCAAACATCACAAAGAAGTTCCTGAGAATGCTTCTCCCTAGATTTTATATGTAATCCCGTTTCCAACGAAATCCTCAAAGCTATCCAAATATCCACTTTCAGATTCCACAAAAAGAGTGTTTCAAAACTGCTCTGTAAAAAGAAAGGTTCATCTCTGTTAGTTGAATACACACATCACAAACAAGTTTCTGAGAATGCTTCTGTCTAGTTTTTATGGGAAGATATTTCCTTTTTCAACATAGGCCTCAAAGCGCTCCAAATGTCCACTTCCACGTAGTGCAGAAAGAGTGTTTCAAACCTGCTCTATAAAAGGGAATATTCAACTCTGTGACTTGAATGCAAACATCACAAAGCACTTTCTGAGAATGCTTCCGTCTAGATTTTATATGAAGATATTCCCGTTTCCAAGGAAATCTTCCTAGCTATCTAAATATCAACTTGCAGATTCTACTAAAGGAATGTTTCCAAAATGCTGTATCCACACAAAGGTTCAACTCTCTTAATTGAGGACATACAGCACAAAGAAGTTTCTGAGAATGCTTCTGTCTAGATTTTATATGAAGATATCCCGTTTCCAAAGAAATCCTCAAAGGTGTCCAAATATCTACTTCCAGATTCTACAAAAAGACTGTTTCAAAACGGCTCTGTCAAAAGGAAGGTTCAACTGTGTTACTTGAGTACACACATCACAAGGAAGTTTCTGAGAATGCTTCTGTCTGGTTTTTAGGAGAAGATATTTCCTTTTTCAACATAGGCCTCAAAGCGCTGCAAATGTCCACTTCCAAATATTACAAAAAGAGTGTTTCAAACCTGCTCTATGAAGGGAAGTGTTCAACTCTATGAGTTGAATGCAAACATCACAGAGAAGTTTCTGAGAATGCTTCTGTCTTGATTTTATATGAAGATATTCCCGTTTCCAAAGAAACCTTCAAAGCTATCCAAATATCCACTTGCAGATTCTACAAAAAGAGTGTTTCCAAAATGTTGTATCAAAACAAAGGTTCAACTCTGTTAGTTGAGGACACACATCGCAAATAAGTTTCTGAGAATGCTTCTGTCTAGTTTTTATTTGAAGATATTTCCTTTCTTACCATAGGCCTGAAAGCGCTTGAAATGTCCGTTTGCAGATACTACAGAAAGAGTGTTTCAAACATGCTCTATGAAAGGGAATGTTCAGTTCTGTGACGTGAATGCAAACATCACAAAGAAGTTCCTGAGAATGCTTCTCTCTAGATTTTATATGTAATCCCGTTTCCAACGAAATCCTCAAAGCTATCCAAATATGCACTTTCAGATTCCACAAAAAGAGTGTTTCAAAACTGCTCTGTAAAAAGAAAGGTTCATCTCTGTTAGTTGAATACACACATCACAACCAAGTTTCTGAGAATGCTTCTGTCTAGTTTTTATGGGAAGATATTTCCTTTTTCATCATAGGCCTCAAAGCGCTCCAAATGTCCACTTCCAGATAGTGCAGAAAGAGTGTCTCAAACCTGGTATATAAAAGGGAACATTCTACTCTGTGACTTGAATGAAAACATCACAAAGCAGTTTCTGAGAATGCTTCCGTCTAGATTTTATATGAAGATATTCCCGTTTCCAACGAAACCTTCAAAGCTATCCGAATATCCACCTGCAGATTCTACAAAAAGAGTGTTTCCAAAATGCCGTATCCAAACAAAGGTTCAACTCTGTTAGTTGAGAACACACATGGCAAATAAGTTTCTGAGAATGCTTCTGTCTAGTTTTTACTTGAAGATATTTCCTTTCTCACCATAGGCCTGAAAGCGCTTGAAACGTCCGCTTGCAGATACTACAGAAAGAGTGTTTCAAACATGCTCTATGAAAGGGAATGTTCAGTTCTGTGACTTGAATGCAAACATCACAAAGAAGTTCCTGAGAATGCTTCTCTCTAGGTTTTATATGTAATCCCGTTTCCAACGAAATCCTCAAAGCTATCCAAATATCCACTTTCAGATTCCACAAAAAGAGTGTTTCAAAACTGCTCTGTAAAAAGAAAGGTTCATCTCTGTTAGTTGAATACACACATCACAAACAAGTTTCTGAGAATGCTTCTGTCTAGTTTTTATGGGAAGATATTTCCTTTTTCAACATAGGCCTCAAAGCGCTAAAAACGTCCACTTCCGGGTAGTGCAGAAAGAGTGTCTCAAACCTGGTATATAACAGGGAACATTCTACTCTGTGACTTGAATGAAAACATCACAAAGCAGTTTCTGAGAATGCTTCCGTCTAGATTTTATATGAAGATATTCCCGTTTCCAACGAAACCTTCAAAGCTATCCGAATATCCACCTGCAGATTCTACAAAAAGAGTGTTTCCAAAATGCCGTATCAAAACAAAGGTTCAACTCTGTTAGTTGAGAACACACATGGCAAATAAGTTTCTGAGAATGCTTCTGTCTAGTTTTTACTTGAAGATATTTCTTTTCTCACCATAGGCCTGAAAGCACTTGAAACGTCAGCTTGCAGATACTACAGAAAGAGTGTTTCAAACCTGCTCTATGAAAGGGAATGTTCAGTTCTGTGACTTGAATGCAAACATCACAAAGAAGTTCCTGAGAATGCTTCTCCCTAGATTTTATATGTAATCCCGTCTCCAACGAAATCCGCAAAGCTATCCAAATATCCACTTTCAGATTCCACAAAAAGAGTGTTTCAAAACTGCTCTGTAAAAAGAAAGGTTCATCTCTGTTAGTTGAATACACACATCACAAACAAGTTTCTGAGAATGCTTCTGTCTAGTTTTTATGGGAAGATATTACCTTTTTCATCATAGGCATCAAAGCGCTGAAAATGTCCACTTCCAAATATTACAAAAAGAGTGTTTCAAGCCTGCTGTATGAAGGGAAGTGTTCAACTCTATGAGTTGAATGCAAACATAACAGAGAAGTTTCTGAGAATGCTTCTGTCTTGATTTTATATGAAGATATTCCCGTTTCCAACGAAACCTTCAAAGCTATTCAAATATCCACTTGCAGATTCTACAAAAAGAGTGTTTCCAAAATGTTGTATCAAAAGAAAGGTTCAACTCTGTTAGTTGAGGACACACATCGCAAATAAGTTTCTGAGAATGCTTCTGTCTAGTTTTTATTTGAAGATATTTCCTTTCTCACCATAGGCCTGAAAGCGTTTGAAATGTCCGTTTGCAGATACTACAGAAAGAGTGTTTCAAACATGCTCTATGAAAGGGAATGTTCAGTTCTGTGACGTGAATGCAAACATCACAAAGAAGTTCCTGAGAATGCTTCTCTCTAGATTTTATATGTAATCCCGTTTCCAACGAAATCCTCAAAGCTATCCAAATATCCACTTTCAGATTCCACAAAAAGAGTGTTTCAAAACTGCTCTGTAAAAAGAAAGGTTCATCTCTGTTAGTTGAATACACACATCACAAACAAGTTTCTGAGAATGCTTCTGTCTAGTTTTTATGGGAAGATATTTCCTTTTTCATCATAGGCCTCAAAGCGCTACAAATGTCCACTTCCAGGTAGTGCAGAAAGAGTGTCTCAAACCTGGTATATAACAGGGAACATTCTACTCTGTGACTTGAATGAAAACATCACAAAGCAGTTTCTGACAATGCTTCCGTCTAGATTTTATATGAAGATATTCCCGTTTCCAACGAAACCTTCAAAGCTATCCGAATATCCACCTGCAGATTCTACAAAAAGAGTGTTTCCAAAATGCCGTATCAAAACAAAGGTTCAACTCTGTTAGTTGAGAACACACATGGCAAATAAGTTTCTGAGAATGCTTCTGTCTAGTTTTTACTTGAAGATATTTCCTTTCTCACCATAGGCCTGAAAGCGCTTGAAACGTCAGCTTGCAGATACTACAGAAAGAGTGTTTCAAACCTGCTCTATGAAAGGGAATGTTCAGTCCTGTGACTTGAAGGCAAACATCAAAAAGAAGTTCCTGAGAATGCTTCTCTCTAGGTTTTATATGTAATCCCGTTTCCAACGAAATCCTCAAAGCTATCCAAATATCCACTTTCAGATTCCACAAAAAGAGTGTTTCAAAACTGCTCTGTAAAAAGAAAGGTTCATCTCTGTTAGTTGAATACACACATCACAAACAAGTTTCTGAGAATGCTTCTGTCTAGTTTTTATGGGAAGATATTTCCTTTTTCAACATAGGCCTCAAAGCGCTCCAAACGTCCACTTCCAGGTAGTGCAGAAAGAGTGTCTCAAACCTGGTATATAACAGGGAACATTCTACTCTGTGACTTGAATGCAAACATCACAAAGCAGTTTCTGACAATGCTTCTGTCTAGATTTTATATGAAAATATTCCCGTTTCCAACGAAACCTTCAAAGCTATCCGAATATCCACCTGCAGATTCTACAAAAAGAGTGTTTCCAAAATGCCGTATCAAAACAAAGGTTCAACTCTGTTAGTTGAGAACACACATGGCAAATAAGTTTCTGAGAATGCTTCTGTCTAGATTTTATATGAAGATATCCCGTGTCCAACGAAATCCTCAAAGGTATCAAAATATCCACTTGCAGATTCTACAAAAAGAGTGCTTCAAAACTGCTCTGTCAAAAGGAAGGTTCAACTCTGTTACTTGAGTACACACATCACAAGGAAGTTTCTGAGAATGCTTCTGTCTGGTTTTTAGGAGAAGATATTTCCTTTTTCAACATAGGCCTCAAAGCGCTGCAAATGTCCACTTCCAAATATTAGAAAAAGAGTGTTTCAAACCTGCTGTATGAAGGGAAGTGTTCAACTCTATGAGTTGAATGCAAACATCACAGAGAAGTTTCTGAGAATGCTTCTGTCTTGATTTCATATGAAGATATTCCCGTTTCCAACGAAACCTTCAAAGCTATCCAAATATCCACTTGCAGATTCTACAAAAAGAGTGTTTCCAAAATGTTGTATCAAAAGAAAGGTTCAACTCTGTTAGTTGAGGACACACATCGCAAATAAGTCTCTGAGAATGCTTCTGTCTAGTTTTTATTTGAAGATATTTCCTTTCTCACCACAGGCCTGAAAGCGCTTAAAACGTCCGCTTGCAGATACTACAGAAAGAGTGTTTCAAACCTGCTCTATGAAAGGGAATGTTCAGTTCTGTGACTTGAATGCAAACATCACAAAGAAGTTCCTGAGAATGCTTCTCTCTAGGTTTTATATGTAATCCCGTTTCCAACGAAATCCTCAAAGCTATCCAAATATCCACTTTCAGATTCCACAAAAAGAGTGTTTCAAAACTGCTCTGTAATAAGAAAGGTTCATCCCTGTTAGTTGAATATACACATCACAAACAAGTTTCTGAGAATGCTTCTGTCTAGTTTTTATGGGAAGATATTTCCTTTTTCAACATAGGCCTCAAAGCGCTCCAAACGTCCACTTCCAGGTAGTGCAGAAAGAGTGTCTCAAACCTGGTGTATAACAGGGAACATTCTACTCTGTGACTTGAATGAAAACATCACAAAGCAGTTTCTGAGAATGCTTCCGTCTAGATTTTATATGAAGATATTCCCGTTTCCAACGAAACCTTCAAAGCTATCCGAATATCCACCTGCAGATTCTACAAAAAGAGTGTTTCCAAAATGCCGTATCAAAACAAAGGTTCAACTCTGTTAGTTGAGAACACACATGGCAAATAAGTTTCTGAGAATGCTTCTGTCTAGTTTTTACTTGAAGATATTTCCTTCCTCACCATAGGCCTGAAAGCGCTTGAAACGTCAGCTTGCAGATACTACAGAAAGAGTGTTTCAAACCTGCTCTATGAAAGGGAATGTTCAGTCCTGTGACTTGAAGGCAAACATCACAAAGAAGTTCCTGAGAATGCTTCTCTCTAGGTTTTATATGTAATCCCGTTTCCAACGAAATCCTCAAAGCTATCCAAATATCCACTTTCAGATTCCACAAAAAGAGTGTTTCAAAACTGCTCTGTAAAAAGAAAGGTTCATCTCTGTTAGTTGAATACACACATCACAAACAAGTTTCTGAGAATGCTTCTGTCTAGTTTTTATTTGAAGATATTTCCTTTCTCACCACAGGCCTGAAAGCGCTTAAAACGTCCGCTTGCAGATACTACAGAAAGAGTGTTTCAAACCTGCTCTATGAAAGGGAATGTTCAGTTCTGTGACTTGAATGCAAACATCACAAAGAAGTTCCTGAGAATGCTTCTCCCTAGATTTTATATGTAATCCCGTTTCCAACGAAATCCGCAAAGCTATCCAAATATCCACTTTCAGATTCCACAAAAAGAGTGTTTCAAAACTGCTCTGTAAAAAGAAAGGTTCATCTCTGTTAGTTGAATACACACATCACAAACAAGTTTCTGAGAATGCTTCTGTCTAGTTTTTATGGGAAGATATTACCTTTTTCATCATAGGCCTCAAAGCGCTGCAAATGTCCACTTCCAAATATTACAAAAAGAGTGTTTCAAACCTGCTGTATGAAGGGAAGTGTTCAACTCTATGAGTTGAATGCAAACATCACAGAGAAGTTTCTGAGAATGCTTCTGTCTTGATTTTATATGAAGATATTCCCGTTTCCAACGAAACCTTCAAAGCTATTCAAATATCCACTTGCAGATTCTACAAAAAGAGTGTTTCCAAAATGTTGTATCAAAAGAAAGGTTCAACTCTGTTAGTTGAGGACACACATCGCAAATAAGTTTCTGAGAATGCTTCTGTCTAGTTTTTACTTGAAGATATTTCCTTTCTCACCATAGGCCTGAAAGCGTTTGAAATGTCCGTTTGCAGATACTACAGAAAGAGTGTTTCAAACATGCTCTATGAAAGGGAATGTTCAGTTCTGTGACGTGAATGCAAACATCACAAAGAAGTTCCTGAGAATGCTTCTCTCTAGATTTTATATGTAATCCCGTTTCCAACGAAATCCCCAAAGCTATCCAAATATCCACTTTCAGATTCCACAAAAAGAGTGTTTCAAAACTGCTCTGTAAAAAGAAAGGTTCATCTCTGTTAGTTGAATACACACATCACAAACAAGTTTCTGAGAATGCTTCTGTCTAGTTTTTATGGGAAGATATTTCCTTTTTCAACATAGGCCTCAAAGCGCTCCAAACGTCCACTTCCGGGTAGTGCAGAAAGAGTGTCTCAAACCTGGTATATAACAGGGAACATTCTACTCTGTGACTTGAATGAAAACATCACAAAGCAGTTTCTGAGAATGCTTCTGTCTTGATTTTATATGAAGATATTCCCGTTTCCAAAGAAACCTTCAAAGCTATCCAAATATCCACCTGCAGATCCTCCAAAAAGAGTGTTTCCAAAATGCTGTATCAAAACAAAGGTTCAACTCTGTTAGCTGAGAACACACATCGCAAATAAGTTTCTGAGAATGCTTCTGTCTAGTTTTTATTTGAAGATATTTCCTTTTTCACCACAGGCCTGAAAGCGCTTGAAACGTCCACTTGCAGATACTACAGAAAGAGTGTTTCAAACCTGCTCTATGAAAGGGAATGTTCAGTTCTGTGACTTAAATGCAAACATCACAAAGAAGTTCCTGAGAATGCTTCTCCCTAGATTTTATATGTAATCCCGTTTCCAACGAAATCCGCAAAGCTATCCAAATATCCACTTTCAGATTCCACAAAAAGAGTGTTTCAAAACTGCTCTGTAAAAAGAAAGGTTCATCTCTGTTAGTTGAATACACACATCACAAACAAGTTTCTGAGAATGCTTCTGTCTAGTTTTTATGGGAAGATATTTCCTTTTTCAACATAGGCCTCAAAGCGCTCCAAACGTCCACTTCCAGGTAGTGCAGAAAGAGTGTCTCAAACCTGGTATATAACAGGGAACATTCTACTCTGTGACTTGAATGAAAACATCACAAAGCAGTTTCTGAGAATGCTTCCGTCTAGATTTTATATGAAGATATTCCCGTTTCCAACGAAACCTTCAAAGCTATCCGAATATCCACCTGCAGATTCTACAAAAAGAGTGTTTCCAAAATGCCATATCAAAACAAAGGTTCAACTCTGTTAGTTGAGAACACACATCGCAAATAAGTTTCTGAGAATGCTTCTGTCTAGTTTTTACTTGAAGATATTTCCTTTCTCACCATAGGCCTGAAAGCGCTTGAAACGTCAGCTTGCAGATACTACAGAAAGAGTGTTTCAAACCTGCTCTATGAAAGGGAATGTTCAGTCCTGTGACTTGAAGGCAAACATCACAAAGAAGTTCCTGAGAATGCTTCTCTCTAGGTTTTATATGTAATCCCGTTTCCAACGAAATCCTCAAAGCTATCCAAATATCCACTTTCAGATTCCACAAAAAGAGTGTTTCAAAACTGCTCTGTAAAAAGAAAGGTTCATCTCTGTTAGTTGAATACACACATCACAAACAAGTTTCTGAGAATGCTTCTGTCTAGTTTTTATGGGAAGATATTTCCTTTTTCAACATAGGCCTCAAAGCGCTCCAAACGTCCACTTCCAGGTAGTGCAGAAAGAGTGTCTCAAACCTGGTATATAACAGGGAAGATTCTACTCTGTGACTTGAATGAAAACATCACTAAGCAGTTTCTGAGAATGCTTCCGTCAAGATTTTATATGAAGATATTCCCGTTTCCAACGAAACCTTCAAAGCTATCCGAATATTCACCTGCAGATTCTACAAAAAGAGTGTTTCCAAAATGCCGTATCAAAACAAAGGTTCAACTCTGTTAGTTGAGAACACACATGGCAAATAAGTTTCTGAGAATGCTCTGTCTAGTTTTTACTTGAAGATATTTCCTTTCTCACCATAGGCCTGAAAGCGCTTGAAACGTCAGCTTGCAGATACTACAGAAAGAGTGTTTCAAACCTGCTCTATGAAAGGGAATGTTCAGTCCTGTGACTTGAAGGCAAACATCACAAAGAAGTTCCTGAGAATGCTTTCTCTCTAGGTTTTATATGTAATCCCGTTTCCAACGAAATCCTCAAAGCTATCCAAATATCCACTTTCAGATTCCACAAAAAGAGTGTTTCAAAACTGCTCTGTAAAAAGAAAGGTTCATCTCTGTTAGTTGAATACACACATCACAAACAAGTTTCTGAGAATGCTTCTGTCTAGTTTTTATGGGAAGATATTTCCTTTTTCAACATAGGCCTCAAAGCGCTCCAAATGTCCACTTCCAGGTAGTGCAGAAAGAGTGTTTCAAACCTGCTCTATAAAAGGGAATATTCAACTCTGTGACTTGAATGCAAACATCACAAAGCACTTTCTGAGAATGCTTCCGTGTAGATTTTATATGAAGATATTCCCGTTTCCAAGGAAATCTTCCTAGCTATCTAAATATCAACTTGCAGATTCTACTAAAGGAATGTTTCCAAAATGCTGTATCCACACAAAGGTTCAACTCTGTTAATTGAGGACATACAGCACAAAGAAGTTTCTGAGAATGCTTCTGTCTAGATTTTATATGAAGATATCCCGTGTCCAACGAAATCCTCAAAGGTATCAAAATATCCACTTGCAGATTCTACAAAAAGAGTGCTTCAAAACTGCTCTGTCAAAAGGAAGGTTCAACTCTGTTACTTGAGTACACACATCACAAGGAAGTTTCTGAGAATGCTTCTGTCTGGTTTTTAGGAGAAGATATTTCCTTTTTCAACATAGGCCTCAAAGCGCTGCAAATGTCCACTTCCAAATATTACAAAAAGAGTGTTTCAAACCTGCTGTATGAAGGGAAGTGTTCAACTCTATGAGTTGAATGCAAACATCACAGAGAAGTTTCTGAGAATGCTTCTGTCTTGATTTCATATGAAGATATTCCCGTTTCCAACGAAACCTTCAAAGCTATCCAAATATCCACTTGCAGATTCTACAAAAAGAGTGTTTCCAAAATGTTGTATCAAAAGAAAGGTTCAACTCTGTTAGTTGAGGACACACATCGCAAATAAGTTTCTGAGAATGCTTCTGTCTAGTTTTTATTTGAAGATATTTCCTTTCTCACCACAGGCCTGAAAGCGCTTAAAACGTCCGCTTGCAGATACTACAGAAAGAGTGTTTCAAACCTGCTCTATGAAAGGGAACGTTCAGTCCTGTGACTTGAATGCAAACATCACAAAGAAGTTCTTGAGAATGCTTCTGTCTAGATTTTATATGAAGATATCCCGTGTCCAACGAAATCCTCAAAGGTATCAAAATATCCACTTGCAGATTCTACAAAAAGAGTGCTTCAAAACTGCTCCGTCAAAAGGAAGGTTCAACTCTGTTACTTGAGTACACACATCACAAGGAAGTTTCTGAGAATGCTTCTGTCTGGTTTTTAGGAGAAGATATTTCCTTTTTCAACATAGGTCTCAAAGCGCTGCAAATGTCCACTTCCAAATATTAGAAAAAGAGTGTTTCAAACCTGCTGTATGAAGGGAAGTGTTCAACTCTATGAGTTGAATGCAAACATCACAGAGAAGTTTCTGAGAATGCTTCTGTCTTGATTTCATATGAAGATATTCCCGTTTCCAACGAAACCTTCAAAGCTATCCAAATATCCACTTGCAGATTCTACAAAAAGAGTGTTTCCAAAATGTTGTATCAAAAGAAAGGTTCAACTCTGTTAGTTGAGGACACACATCGCAAATAAGTTTCTGAGAATGCTTCTGTCTAGTTTTTATTTGAAGATATTTCCTTTCTCACCACAGGCCTGAAAGCGCTTAAAACGTCCGCTTGCAGATACTACAGAAAGAGTGTTTCAAACCTGCTCTATGAAAGGGAATGTTCAGTTCTGTGACTTGAATGCAAACATCACAAAGAAAGTTCCTGAGAATGCTTCTGTCTAGATTTTATATGAAGATATCCCGTGTCCAACGAAATCCTCAAAGGTATCAAAATATCCACTTGCAGATTCTACAAAAAGAGTGCTTCAAAACTGCTCCGTCAAAAGTAAGGTTCAACTCTGTTACTTGAGTACACACATCACAAGGAAGTTTCTGAGAATGCTTCTGTCTGGTTTTTAGGAGAAGATATTTCCTTTTTCAACATAGGCCTCAAAGCGCTGCAAATGTCCACTTCCAAATATTACAAAAAGAGTGTTTCAAACCTGCTGTATGAAGGGAAGTGTTCAACTCTATGAGTTGAATGCAAACATCACAGAGAAGTTTCTGAGAATGCTTCTGTCTTGATTTCATATGAAGATATTCCCGTTTCCAACGAAACCTTCAAAGCTATCCAAATATCCACTTGCAGATTCTACAAAAAGAGTGTTTCCAAAATGTTGTATCAAAAGAAAGGTTCAACTCTGTTAGTTGAGGACACACATCGCAAATAAGTTTCTGAGAATGCTTCTGTCTAGTTTTTATTTGAAGATATTTCCTTTCTCACCACAGGCCTGAAAGCGCTTAAAACGTCCGCTTGCAGATACTACAGAAAGAGTGTTTCAAACCTGCTCTATGAAAGGGAATGTTCAGTTCTGTGACTTGAATGCAAACATCACAAAGAAGTTCCTGAGAATGCTTCTCCCTAGATTTTATATGTAATCCCGTTTCCAACGAAATCCGCAAAGCTATCCAAATATCCACTTTCAGATTCCACAAAAAGAGTGTTTCAAAACTGCTCTGTAAAAAGAAAGGTTCATCTCTGTTAGTTGAATACACACATCACAAACAAGTTTCTGAGAATGCTTCTGTCTGGTTTTTAGGAGAAGATATTTCCTTTTTCAACATAGGCCTCAAAGCGCTGCAAATGTCCACTTCCAAATATTACAAAAAGAGTGTTTCAAACCTGCTGTATGAAGGGAAGTGTTCAACTCTATGAGTTGAATGCAAACATCACAGAGAAGTTTCTGAGAATGCTTCTGTCTTGATTTCATATGAAGATATTCCCGTTTCCAACGAAACCTTCAAAGCTATCCAAATATCCACTTGCAGATTCTACAAAAAGAGTGTTTCCAAAATGTTGTATCAAAAGAAAGGTTCAACTCTGTTAGTTGAGGACACACATCGCAAATAAGTTTCTGAGAATGCTTCTGTCTAGTTTTTACATGAAGATATTTCCTTTCTCACCATAGGCCTGAAAGCGTTTGAAATGTCCGTTTGCAGATACTACAGAAAGAGTGTTTCAAACATGCTCTATGAAAGGGAATGTTCAGTTCTGTGACGTGAATGCAAACATCACAAAGAAGTTCCTGAGAATGCTTCTCTCTAGGTTTTATATGTAATCCCGTTTCCAACGAAATCCTCAAAGCTATCCAAATATCCACTTTCAGATTCCACAAAAAGAGTGTTTCAAAACTGCTCTGTAAAAAGAAAGGTTCATCTCTGTTAGTTGAATACACACATCACAAACAAGTTTCTGAGAATGCTTCTGTCTAGTTTTTATGGGAAGATATTTCCTTTTTCAACATAGGCCTCAAAGCGCTCCAAACGTCCACTTCCAGGTAGTGCAGAAAGAGTGTCTCAAACCTGGTATATAACAGGGAACATTCTACTCTGTGACTTGAATGAAAACATCACAAAGCAGTTTCTGAGAATGCTTCCGTCTAGATTTTATATGAAGATATTCCCGTTTCCAAGGAACTCTTCCTAGCTATCTAAATATCAACTTGCAGATTCTACTAAAGGAATGTTTCCAAAATGCTGTATCCACACAAAGGTTCAACTCTGTTAATTGAGGACATACAGCACAAAGAAGTTTCTGAGAATGCTTCTGTCTAGTTTTTATTTGAAGATATTTCCTTTCTCACCATAGGCCTGAAAGCGCTTGAAATGTCCGCTTGCAGGTAGTATAGAAAGAGTGTTTCAAACATGCTCTATGAAAAGGAAAGTTCAGTTCTGTGACGTGAATGCAAACATCACAAAGAAGTTCCTGAGAATGCTTCTGTCTAGATTTTATATGAAGATATCCCGTGTCCAACGAAATCCTCAAAGGTATCAAAATATCCACTTGCAAATTCTACAAAAAGAGTGCTTCAAAACTGCTCTGTCAAAAGGAAGGTTCAACTCTGTTACTTGAGTACACACATCACAAGGAAGATTCTGAGAATGCTTCTGTCTGGTTTTTAGGAGAAGATATCTCCTTTTTCACCATAGGTCTCAAACCGCTGCAAATGTCCAATTCCAAATATTACAAAAAGAGTATTTCAAACCAGCTCTATGAAAGGAAGTGTTCAACTCTATGAGTTGAATGCAAACATCACAGAGAAGTTTCTGAGAATGCTTCTGTCTTGATTTTATATGAAGATATTCCCGTTTCCAACGAAACCTTTAAAGCTATCCAAATATCCACCTGCAGATCCTACAAAAATAGTGTTTCCAAAATGCTGTATCAAAGCAAAGGTTCAACTCTGTTAGTTGGAAACACACATCGCAAATAAGTTTCTGAGAATACATCTGTCTAGTTTTTATTTGAAGATATTTCCTTTTTCACCACAGGCCTGAAAGCGCTTGAAACGTCAGCTTGCAGATACTACAGAAAGAGTGTTTCAAAGCTGCACTATGAAAGGGAATGTTCAGTTCTGTGACTTGAATGCAAACATCACAAAGAAGTTCCTGAGAATGCTTCTCCCTAGATTTTATATGTAATCCCGTTTCCAACGAAATCCTCAAAGCTATCCAAATATCCACTTTCAGATTCCACAAAAAGAGTGTTTCAAAACTGCTCTGTAAAAAGAAAGGTTCATCTCTGTTAGTTGAATACACACATCACAAACAAGTTTCTGAGAATGATTCTTTCTAGTTTTTATGGGAAGATATTACCTTTTTCATCATAGGCTTCAAAGCGCTGCAAAAGTCCACTTCCAAATATTAGAAAAAGAGTGTTTCAAACCTGCTGTATGAAGGGAAGTGTTCAACTCTATGAGTTGAATGCAAACATCACAGAGAAGTTTCTGAGAATGCTTCTGTCTTGATTTTATATGAAGATATTCCCGTTTCCAACGAAACCTTCAAAGCTATCCAAATATCCACTTGCAGATTCCACAAAAAGAGTGTTTCCAAAATGTTGTATCAAAAGAAAGGTTCAACTCTGTTAGTTGAGGACACACATCGCAAATAAGTTTCTGAGAATGCTTCTGTCTAGTTTTTAGTTGAAGATATTTCCTTTCTCACCATAGGCCTGAAAGCGTTTGAAATGTCCGTTTGCAGATACTACAGAAAGAGTGTTTCAAACATGCTCTATGAAAGGGAATGTTCAGTTCTGTGACGTGAATGCAAACATCACAAAGAAGTTCCTGAGAATGCTTCTCTCTAGGTTTTATATGTAATCCCGTTTCCAACGAAATCCTCAAAGCTATCCAAATATCCACTTTCAGATTCCACAAAAAGAGTGTTTCAAAACTGCTCTGTAAAAAGAAAGGTTCATCTCTGTTAGTTGAATACACACATCACAAACAAGTTTCTGAGAATGCTTCTGTCTAGTTTTTATGGGAAGATATTTCCTTTTTCATCATAGGCCTCAAAGCGCTGCAAATGTCCACTTCCAGGTAGTGCAGAAAGAGTGTCTGAAACCTGGTATATAACAGGGAAGATTCTACTCTGTGACTTGAATGAAAACATCACAAAGCAGTTTCTGAGAATGCTTCTGTCTTGATTTTATATGAAGATATTCCCGTTTCCAACGAAACCTTAAAAGCTATCCAAATATCCACCTGCAGATCCTACAAAAAGAGTGTTTCCAAAATGCTGTATCAAAACAAAGGTTCAACTCTGTTAGTTGAGGACACACATCGCAAATAAGTTTCTGAGAATGCTTCTGTCTAGTTTTTACTTGAAGATATTTCCTTTCTCACCATAGGCCTGAAAGCGCTTGAAACGTCAGCTTGCAGATACTACAGAAAGAGTGTTTCAAACCTGCTCTATGAAAGGGAATGTTCAGTTCTGTGACTTGAATGCAAACATCACAAAGAAGTTCCTGAGAATGCTTCTCTCTAGGTTTTATATGTAATCACGTTTCCAACGAAATCCTCAAAGCTATCCAAATATCCACTTTCAGATTCCACAAAAAGAGTGTTTCAAAACTGCTCTGTAAAAAGAAAGGTTCATCTCTGTTAGTTGAATACACACATCACAAACAAGTTTCTGAGAATGCTTCTGTCTAGTTTTTATGGGAAGATATTTCCTTTTTCAACATAGGCCTCAAAGCGCTCCAAATGTCCACTTCCAGGTAGTGCAGAAAGAGTGTTTCAAACCTGCTCTATAAAAGGGAATATTCAACTCTGTGACTTGAATGCAAACATCACAAAGCACTTTCTGAGAATGCTTCCGTCTAGATTTTATATGAAGATATTCCCGTTTCCAAGGAAATCTTCCTAGCTATCTAAATATCAACTTGCAGATTCTACTAAAGGAATGTTTCCAAAATGCTGTATCCACACAAAGGTTCAACTCTGTTAATTGAGGACATACAGCACAAAGAAGTTTCTGAGAATGCTTCTGTCTAGATTTTATATGAAGATATCCCGTGTCCAACGAAATCCTCAAAGGTATCAAAATATCCACTTGCAGATTCTACAAAAAGAGTGCTTCAAAACTGCTCTGTCAAAAGGAAGGTTCAACTCTGTTACTTGAGTACACACATCACAAGGAAGTTTCTGAGAATGCTTCTGTCTGGTTTTTAGGAGAAGATATTTCCTTTTTCAACATAGGCCTCAAAGCGCTGCAAATGTCCACTTCCAAATATTAGAAAAAGAGTGTTTCAAACCTACTGTATGAAGGGAAGTGTTCAACTCTATGAGTTGAATGCAAACATCACAGAGAAGTTTCTGAGAATGCTTCTGTCTTGATTTCATATGAAGATATTCCCGTTTCCAACGAAACCTTCAAAGCTATCCAAATATCCACTTGCAGATTCTACAAAAAGAGTGTTTCCAAAATGTTGTATCAAAAGAAAGGTTCAACTCTGTTAGTTGAGGACACACATCGCAAATAAGTTTCTGAGAATGCTTCTGTCTAGTTTTTATTTGAAGATATTTCCTTTCTCACCACAGGCCTGAAAGCGCTTAAAACGTCCGCTTGCAGATACTACAGAAAGAGTGTTTCAAACATGCTCTATGAAAGGGAATGTTCAGTTCTGTGACTTGAATGCAAACATCACAAAGAAGTTCCTGAGAATGCTTCTCCCTAGATTTTATATGTAATCCCGTTTCCAACGAAATCCGCAAAGCTATCCAAATATCCACTTTCAGATTCCACAAAAAGAGTGTTTCAAAACTGCTCTGTAAAAAGAAAGGTTCATCTCTGTTAGTTGAATACACACATCACAAACAAGTTTCTGAGAATGCTTCCTGTCTAGTTTTTATGGGAAGATATTTCCTTTTTCATCATAGGCCTCAAAGCGCTGCAAATGTCCACTTCCAAATATTACAAAAAGAGTGTTTCAAACCTGCTGTATGAAGGGAAGTGTTCAACTCTATGAGTTGAATGCAAACATCACAGAGAAGTTTCTGAGAATGCTTCCGTCTAGATTTTATGTGAAGATATTCCCGTTTCCAAGGAAATCTTCCTAGCTATCTAAATATCAACTTGCAGATTCTACTAAAGGAGTGTTTCCAAAATACTGTATCCACACAAAGTTTCAACTCTGTTAATTGAGGACATACAGCACAAAGAAGTTTCTGAGAATGCTTCTGTCTAGATTTTATATGAAGATATCCCGTTTCCAACGAAATCCTCAAAGCTATCCAAATATCCACTTTCAGATTCCACAAAAAGAGTGTTTCAAAACTGCTCTGTAAAAAGAAAGGTTCATCTCTGTTAGTTGAATACACACATCACAAACAAGTTTCTGAGAATGCTTCTCTCTAGATTTTATATGTAATCCCGTTTCCAACGAAATCCTCAAAGCTATCCAAATATCCACTTTCAGATTCCACAAAAAGAGTGTTTCAAAACTGCTCTGTAAAAAGAAAGGTTCATCTCTGTTAGTTGAATACACACATCACAAACAAGTTTCTGAGAATGCTTCTGTCTAGTTTTTATGGGAAGATATTTCCTTTTTCAACATAGGCCTCAAAGCGCTCCAAACGTCCACTTCCAGGTAGTGCAGAAAGAGTGTCTCAAACCTGGTATATAACAGGGAACATTCTACTCTGTGACTTGAATGAAAACATCACAAAGCAGTTTCTGAGAATGCTTCTGTCTTGATTTCATATGAAGATATTCCCGTTTCCAATGAAACCTTCAAAGCTATCCAAATATCCACTTGCAGATTCTACAAAAAGAGTGTTTCCAAAATGTTGTATCAAAAGAAAGGTTCAACTCTGTTAGTTGAGGACACACATCGCAAATAAGTTTCTGAGAATGCTTCTGTCTAGTTTTTATTTGAAGATATTTCCTTTCTCACCACAGGCCTGAAAGCGCTTAAAACGTCCGCTTGCAGATACTACAGAAAGAGTGTTTCAAACCTGCTCTATGAAAGGGAATGTTCAGTTCTGTGACTTGAATGCAAACATCACAAAGAAGTTCCTGAGAATGCTTCTCCCTAGATTTTATATGTAATCCCGTTTCCAACGAAATCCGCAAAGCTATCCAAATATCCACTTTCAGATTCCACAAAAAGAGTGTTTCAAAACTGCTCTGTAAAAAGAAAGGTTCATCTCTGTTAGTTGAATACACACATCACAAACAAGTTTCTGAGAATGCTTCTTTCTAGTTTTTATGGGAAGATATTACCTTTTTCATCATAGGCTTCAAAGCGCTGCAAAAGTCCACTTCCAAATATTAGAAAAAGAGTGTTTCAAACCTGCTGTATGAAGGGAAGTGTTCAACTCTATGAGTTGAATGCAAACATCACAGAGAAGTTTCTGAGAATGCTTCTGTCTTGATTTTATATGAAGATATTCCCGTTTCCAACGAAACCTTCAAAGCTATCCAAATATCCACTTGCAGATTCCACAAAAAGAGTGTTTCCAAAATGTTGTATCAAAAGAAAGGTTCAACTCTGTTAGTTGAGGACACACATCGCAAATAAGTTTCTGAGAATGCTTCTGTCTAGTTTTTATTTGATGATATTTCCTTTCTCACCATAGGCCTGAAAGCGTTTGAAATGTCCGTTTGCAGATACTACAGAAAGAGTGTTTCAAACATGCTCTATGAAAGGGAATGTTCAGTTCTGTGACGTGAATGCAAACATCACAAAGAAGTTCCTGAGAATGCTTCTCTCTAGATTTTATATGTAATCCCGTTTCCAACGAAATCCTCAAAGCTATCCAAATATCCACTTTCAGATTCCACAAAAAGAGTGTTTCAAAACTGCTCTGTAAAAAGAAAGGTTCATCTCTGTTAGTTGAATACACACATCACAAACAAGTTTCTGAGAATGCTTCTGTCTAGTTTTTATGGGAAGATATTTCCTTTTTCAACATAGGCCTCAAAGCGCTCCAAACGTCCACTTCCAGGTAGTGCAGAAAGAGTGTCTCCAACCTGGTATATAACAGGGAACATTCTACTCTGTGACTTGAATGAAAACATCACAAAGCAGTTTCTGAGAATGCTTCCGTCTAGATTTTATATGAAGATATTCCCGTTTCCAACGAAACCTTCAAAGCTATCCGAATATCCACCTGCAGATTCTACAAAAAGAGTGTTTCCAAAATGCCATATCAAAACAAAGGTTCAACTCTGTTAGTTGAGAACACACATCGCAAATAAGTTTCTGAGAATGCTTCTGTCTAGTTTTTACTTGAAGATATTTCCTTTCTCACCATAGGCCTGAAAGCGCTTGAAACGTCAGCTTGCAGATACTACAGAAAGAGTGTTTCAAACCTGCTCTATGAAAGGGAATGTTCAGTCCTGTGACTTGAAGGCAAACATCACAAAGAAGTTC
Source organism: Homo sapiens (assembly GCF_000001405.40). Taxonomy (NCBI): domain Eukaryota; kingdom Metazoa; phylum Chordata; class Mammalia; order Primates; family Hominidae; genus Homo; species Homo sapiens. Next base: position 43,993,960 of record NC_000009.12, on the reverse strand, counting down.
CTGAGAATGCTTCTGTCTAGATTTTATATGAAGATATACCGTTTCCAAAGAAATCCTCAAAGGTGTCCAAATATCTACTTCCAGATTCTACAAAAAGACTGTTTCAAACAGGCTCTGTCAAAAGTAAGGTTCCACTCTGTTACTTGAGTACACACATCACAAGGAAGTTTCTGAGAATGCTTCTGTCTGGTTTTTAGGAGAAGATATTTCCTTTTTCAACATAGGCCTCAAAGCGCTGCAAATGTCCACTTCCAAATATTACAAAAAGAGTGTTTCAAACCTGCTCTATGAAGGGAAGTGTTCAACTCTATGAGTTGAATGCAAACATCACAGAGAAGTTTCTGAGAATGCTTCTGTCTTGATTTTATATGAAGATATTCCCGTTTCCAACGAAACCTTCAAAGCTATCCAAATATCCACTTGCAGATTCTACAAAAAGAGTGTTTCCAAAATGTTGTATCAAAACAAAGGTTCAACTCTGTTAGTTGAGGACACACATCGCAAATAAGTTTCTGAGAATGCTTCTGTCTAGTTTTTATTTGAAGATATTTCCTTTCTTACCATAGGCCTGAAAGCGCTTGAAATGTCCGTTTGCAGATACTACAGAAAGAGTGTTTCAAACATGCTCTATGAAAGGGAATGTTCAGTTCTGTGACGTGAATGCAAACATCACAAAGAAGTTCCTGAGAATGCTTCTCTCTAGATTTTATATGTAATCCCGTTTCCAACGAAATCCTCAAAGCTATCCAAATATGCACTTTCAGATTCCACAAAAAGAGTGTTTCAAAACTGCTCTGTAAAAAGAAAGGTTCATCTCTGTTAGTTGAATACACACATCACAACCAAGTTTCTGAGAATGCTTCTGTCTAGTTTTTATGGGAAGATATTACCTTTTTCATCATAGGCCTCAAAGCGCTGCAAATGTCCACTTCCAAATATTACAAAAAGAGTGTTTCAAACCTGCTGCATGAAGGGAAGTGTTCAACTCTATGAGTTGAATGCAAACATCACAGAGAAGTTTCTGAGAATGCGTTCTGTCTTGATTTTATATGAAGATATTCCCGTTTCCAACGAAACCTTCAAAGCTATTCAAATATCCACTTGCAGATTCTACAAAAAGAGTGTTTCCAAAATGTTGTATCAAAAGAAAGGTTCAACTCTGTTAGTTGAGGACACACATCGCAAATAAGTTTCTGAGAATGCTTCTGTCTAGTTTTTATTTGAAGATATTTCCTTTCTCACCATAGGCCTGAAAGCGTTTGAAATGTCCGTTTGCAGATACTACAGAAAGAGTGTTTCAAACATGCTCTATGAAAGGGAATGTTCAGTTCTGTGACGTGAATGCAAACATCACAAAGAAGTTCCTGAGAATGCTTCTCTCTAGATTTTATATGTAATCCCGTTTCCAATGAAATCCTCAAAGCTATCCAAATATCCACTTTCAGATTCCACAAAAAGAGTGATTCAAAACTGCTCTGTAAAAAGAAAGGTTCATACTCTGTTAGTTGAATACACACATCACAAACGAGTTTCTGAGAATGCTTCTGTCTAGTTTTTATGGGAAGATATTTCCTTTTTCATCATAGGCCTCAAAGCGCTGCAAATGTCCACTTCCAGGTAGTGCAGAAAGAGTGTCTCAAACCTGGTATATAACAGGGAACATTCTACTCTGTGACTTGAATGAAAACATCACAAAGCAGTTTCTGAGAATGCTTCCGTCTAGATTTTATATGAAGATATTCCCGTTTCCAACGAAACCTTCAAAGCTATCCGAATATCCACCTGCAGATTCTACAAAAAGAGTGTTTCCAAAATGCCATATCAAAACAAAGGTTCAACTCTGTTAGTTGAGAACACACATGGCAAATAAGTTTCTGAGAATGCTTCTGTCTAGTTTTTACTTGAAGATATTTCCTTTCTCACCATAGGCCTGAAAGCGCTTGAAACGTCAGCTTGCAGATACTACAGAAAGAGTGTTTCAAACCTGCTCTATGAAAGGGAATGTTCAGTTCTGTGACTTGAATGCAAACATCACAAAGAAGTTCCTGAGAATGCTTCTCTCTAGGTTTTATATGTAATCCAGTTTCCAACGAAATCCTCAAAGCTATCCAAATATCCACTTTCAGATTCCACAAAAAGAGTGTTTCAAAACTGCTCTGTAAAAAGAAAGGTTCATCTCTGTTAGTTGAATACACACATCACAAACAAGTTTCTGAGAATGCTTCTGTCTAGTTTTTATGGGAAGATATTTCCTTTTTCAACATAGGCCTCAAAGCGCTCCAAATGTCCACTTCCAGGTAGTGCAGAAAGAGTGTTTCAAACCTGCTCTATAAAAGGGAACATTCAACTCTGTGACTTGAATGCAAACATCACAAAGCACTTTCTGAGAATGCTTCCGTCTAGATTTTATATGAAGATATTCCCGTTTCCAACGAAACCTTCAAAGCTATCCGAATATACACCTGCAGATTCTACAAAAAGAGTGTTTCCAAAATGCCGTATCAAAACAAAGGTTCAACTCTGTCAGTTGAGAACACACATGGCAAATAAGTTTCTGAGAATGCTTCTGTCTAGATTTTATATGAAGATATCCCGTGTCCAACGAAATCCTCAAAGGTATCAAAATATCCACTTGCAGATTCTACAAAAAGAGTGCTTCAAAACTGCTCTGTCAAAAGGAAGGTTCAACTCTGTTACTTGAGTACACACATCACAAGGAAGTTTCTGAGAATGCTTCTGTCTGGTTTTTAGGAGAAGATATTTCCTTTTTCAACATAGGCCTCAAAGCGCTGCAAATGTCCACTTCCAAATATTACAAAAAGAGTGTTTCAAACCTGCTGTATGAAGGGAAGTGTTCAACTCTATGAGTTGAATGCAAACATCACAGAGAAGTTTCTGAGAATGCTTCTGTCTTGATTTCATATGAAGATATTCCCGTTTCCAACGAAACCTTCAAAGCTATCCAAATATCCACTTGCAGATTCTACAAAAAGAGTGTTTCCAAAATGTTGTATCAAAAGAAAGGTTCAACTCTGTTAGTTGAGGACACACATCGCAAATAAGTTTCTGAGAATGCTTCTGTCTAGTTTTTATTTGAAGATATTTCCTTTCTCACCACAGGCCTGAAAGCGCTTAAAACGTCCGCTTGCAGATACTACAGAAAGAGTGTTTCAAACCTGCTCTATGAAAGGGAATGTTCAGTTCTGTGACTTGAATGCAAACATCACAAAGAAGTTCCTGAGAATGCTTCTCCCTAGATTTTATATGTAATCCCGTTTCCAACGAAATCCGCAAAGCTATCCAAATATCCACTTTCAGATTCCACAAAAAGAGTGTTTCAAAACTGCTCTGTAAAAAGAAAGGTTCATCTGTTAGTTGAATACACACATCACAAACAAGTTTCTGAGAATGCTTCTGTCTAGTTTTTATGGGAAGATATTTCCTTTTTCATCATAGGCCTCAAAGCGCTGCAAATGTCCACTTCCAAATATTACAAAAAGAGTGTTTCAAACCTGCTGTATGAAGGGAAGTGTTCAACTCTATGAGTTGAATGCAAACATCACAGAGAAGTTTCTGAGAATGCTTCTGTCTTGATTTTATATGAAGATATTCCCGTTTCCAACGAAACCTTCAAAGCTATTCAAATATCCACTTGCAGATTCTACAAAAAGAGTGTTTCCAAAATGTTGTATCAAAAGAAAGGTTCAACTCTGTTAGTTGAGGACACACATCGCAAATATGTTTCTGAGAATGCTTCTGTCTAGTTTTTATTTGAAGATATTTCCTTTCTCACCATAGGCCTGAAAGCGTTTGAAATGTCCGTTTGCAGATACTACAGAAAGAGTGTTTCAAACATGCTCTATGAAAGGGAATGTTCAGTTCTGTGACGTGAATGCAAACATCACAAAAAAGTTCCTGAGAATGCTTCTCTCTAGATTTTATATGTAATCCCGTTTCCAACGAAATCCTCAAAGCTATCCAAATATCCACTTTCAGATTCCACAAAAAGAGTGTTTCAAAACTGCTCTGTAAAAAGAAAGTTTCATCTCTGTTAGTTGAATACACACATCACAAACAAGTTTCTGAGAATGCTTCTGTCTAGTTTTTATGGGAAGATATTTCCTTTTTCATCATAGGCCTCAAAGCGCTGCAAATGTCCACTTCCAAATATTACAAAAAGAGTGTTTCAAACCTGCTGTATGAAGGGAAGTATTCAACTCTATGAGTTGAATGTAAACATCACAGAGAAGTTTCTGAGAATGCTTCTGTCTTGATTTTATATGAAGATATTCCCGTTTCCAACGAAACCTTCAAAGCTATCCTAATATCCACTTGCAGATTCTACAAAAAGAGTGTTTCCAAAATGTTGTATCAAAAGAAAGGTTCAACTCTGTTAGTTGAGGACACACATCGCAAATAAGTTTCTGAGAATGCTTCTGTCTAGTTTTTATTTGAAGATATTTCCTTTCTCACCATAGGCCTGAAAGCGTTTGAAATGTCCGTTTGCAGATACTACAGAAAGAGTGTTTCAAACATGCTCTATGAAAGGGAATGTTCAGTTCTGTGACGTGAATGCAAACATCACAAAGAAGTTCCTGAGAATGCTTCTCTCTAGATTTTATATGTAATCCCGTTTCCAACGAATTCCTCAAAGCTATCCAAATATCCACTTTCAGATTCCACAAAAAGAGTGTTTCAAAACTGCTCTGTAAAAAGAAAGGTTCATCTCTGTTAGTTGAATACACACATCAAAAACAAGTTTCTGAGAATGCTTCTGTCTAGTTTTTATGGGAAGATATTTCCTTTTTCATCATAGGCCTCAAAGCGCTGCAAATGTCCACTTCCAGGTAGTGCAGAAAGAGTGTCTCAAACCTGGTATATAACAGGGAACATTCTACTCTGTGACTTGAATGAAAACATCACAAAGCAGTTTCTGAGAATGCTTCCGTCTAGATTTTATATGAAGATATTCCCGTTTCCAACGAAACCTTCAAAGCTATCCGAATATCCACCTGCAGATTCTACAAAAAGAGTGTTTCCAAAATGCCATATCAAAACAAAGGTTCAACTCTGTTAGTTGAGAACACACATCGCAAATAAGTTTCTGAGAATGCTTCTGTCTAGTTTTTACTTGAAGATATTTCCTTTCTCACCATAGGCCTGAAAGCGCTTGAAACGTCAGCTTGCAGATACTACAGAAAGAGTGTTTCAAACCTGCTCTATGAAAGGGAATGTTCAGTTCTGTGACTTGAATGCAAACATCACAAAGAAGTTCCTGAGAATGCTTCTCTCTAGGTTTTATATGTAATCCCGTTTCCAACGAAATCCTCAAAGCTATCCAAATATCCACTTTCAGATTCCACAAAAAGAGTGTTTCAAAACTGCTCTGTAAAAAGAAAGGTTCATCTCTGTTAGTTGAATACACACATCACAAACAAGTTTCTGAGAATGCTTCTGTCTAGTTTTTATGGGAAGATATTTCCTTTTTCATCATAGGCCTCAAAGCGCTGCAAATGTCCACTTCCAGGTAGTGCAGAAAGAGTGTCTGAAACCTGGTATATAACAGGGAAGATTCTACTCTGTGACTTGAATGAAAACATCACAAAGCAGTTTCTGAGAATGCTTCCGTCTAGATTTTATATGAAGATATTCCCGTTTCCAACGAAACCTTCAAAGCTATCCGAATATCCACCTGCAGATTCTACAAAAAGAGTGTTTCCAAAATGCCATATCAAAACAAAGGTTCAACTCTGTTAGTTGAGAACACACATCGCAAATAAGTTTCTGAGAATGCTTCTGTCTAGTTTTTACTTGAAGATATTTCCTTTCTCACCATAGGCCTGAAAGCGCTTGAAACGTCAGCTTGCAGATACTACAGAAAGAGTGTTTCAAACCTGCTCTATGAAAGGGAATGTTCAGTTCTGTGACTTGAATGCAAATATCACAAAGAAGTTCCTGAGAATGCTTCTCCCTAGATTTTATATGTAATCGCGTTTCCAACGAAATCCGCAAAGCTATCCAAATATCCACTTTCAAATTCCACAAAAAGAGTGTTTCAAAACTGCTCTGTAAAAAGAAAGGTTCATCTCTGTTAGTTGAATACACACATCACAAACAAGTTTCTGAGAATGCTTCTGTCTAGTTTTTATGGGAAGATATTACCTTTTTCATCATAGCCCTCAAAGCGCTGCAAATGTCCACTTCCAAATATTACAAAAAGAGTGTTTCAAACCTGCTGTATGAAGGGAAGTGTTCAACTCTATGAGTTGAATGCAAACATCACAGAGAAGTTTCTGAGAATGCTTCTGTCTTGATTTTATATGAAGATATTCCCGTTTCCAACGAAATCTTCAAAGCTATCCAAATATCCACTTGCAGATTCCACAAAAAGAGTGTTTCCAAAATGTTGTATCAAAAGAAAGGTTCAACTCTGTTAGTTGAGGACACACATCGCAAATAAGTTTCTGAGAATGCTTCTGTCTAGTTTTTAGTTGAAGATATTTCCTTTCTCACCATAGGCCTGAAAGCGTTTGAAATGTCCGTTTGCAGATACTACAGAAAGAGTGTTTCAAACATGCTCTATGAAAGGGAATGTTCAGTTCTGTGACGTGAATGCAAACATCACAAAGAAGTTCCTGAGAATGCTTCTCTCTAGGTTTTATATGTAATCCCGTTTCCAACGAAATCCTCAAAGCTATCCAAATATCCACTTTCAGATTCCACAAAAAGAGTGTTTCAAAACTGCTCTGTAAAAAGAAAGGTTCATCTCTGTTAGTTGAATACACACATCACAAACAAGTTTCTGAGAATGCTTCTGTCTAGTTTTTATGGGAAGATATTTCCTTTTTCATCATAGGCCTCAAAGCGCTGCAAATGTCCACTTCCAGGTAGTGCAGAAAGAGTGTCTGAAACCTGGTATATAACAGGGAAGATTCTACTCTGTGACTTGAATGAAAACATCACAAAGCAGTTTCTGAGAATGCTTCCGTCTAGATTTTATATGAAGATATTCCCGTTTCCAACGAAACCTTCAAAGCTATCCGAATATCCACCTGCAGATTCTACAAAAAGAGTGTTTCCAAAATGCCGTATCAAAACAAAGGTTCAACTCTGTTAGTTGAGAACACACATGGCAAATAAGTTTCTGAGAATGCTTCTGTCTAGTTTTTACTTGAAGATATTTCCTTTCTCACCATAGGCCTGAAAGCGCTTGAAACGTCAGCTTGCAGATACTACAGAAAGAGTGTTTCAAACCTGCTCTATGAAAGGGAATGTTCAGTTCTGTGACTTGAATGCAAACATCACAAAGAAGTTCCTGAGAATGCTTCTCTCTAGGTTTTATATGTAATCCCGTTTCCAACGAAATCCTCAAAGCTATCCAAATATCCACTTTCAGATTCCACAAAAAGAGTGTTTCAAAAATGCTCTGTAAAAAGAAAGGTTCATCTCTGTTAGTTGAATACACACATCACAAACAAGTTTCTGAGAATGCTTCTGTCTAGTTTTTATGGGAAGATATTTCCTTTTTCAACATAGGCCTCAAAGCGCTCCAAATGTCCACTTCCAGGTAGTGCAGAAAGAGTGTTTCAAACCTGCTCTATAAAAGGGAACATTCAACTCTGTGACTTGAATGCAAACATCACAAAGCACTTTCTGAGAATGCTTCCGTCTAGATTTTATATGAAGATATTCCCGTTTCCAAGGAAATCTTCCTAGCTATCTAAATATCAACTTGCAGATTCTACTAAAGGAATGTTTCCAAAATGCTGTATCCACACAAAGGTTCAACTCTGTTAATTGAGGACATACAGCACAAAGAAGTTTCTGAGAATGCTTCTAGTCTAGATTTTATATGAAGATATCCCGTGTCCAACGAAATCCTCAAAGGTATCAAAATATCCACTTGCAGATTCTACAAAAAGAGTGCTTCAAAACTGCTCTGTCAAAAGGAAGGTTCAACTCTGTTACTTGAGTACACACATCACAAGGAAGTTTCTGAGAATGCTTCTGTCTGGTTTTTAGGAGAAGATATTTCCTTTTTCAACATAGGCCTCAAAGCGCTGCAAATGTCCACTTCCAAATATTAGAAAAAGAGTGTTTCAAACCTGCTGTATGAAGGGAAGTGTTCAACTCTATGAGTTGAATGCAAACATCACAGAGAAGTTTCTGAGAATGCTTCTGTCTTGATTTCATATGAAGATATTCCCGTTTCCAACGAAACCTTCAAAGCTATCCAAATATCCACTTGCAGATTCTACAAAAAGAGTGTTTCCAAAATGTTGTATCAAAAGAAAGGTTCAACTCTGTTAGTTGAGGACACACATCGCAAATAAGTTTCTGAGAATGCTTCTGTCTAGTTTTTATTTGAAGATATTTCCTTTCTCACCACAGGCCTGAAAGCGCTTAAAACGTCCGCTTGCAGATACTACAGAAAGAGTGTTTCAAACCTGCTCTATGAAAGGGAATGTTCAGTTCTGTGACTTGAATGCAAACATCACAAAGAAGTTCCTGAGAGTGCTTCTCCCTAGATTTTATATGTAATCCCGTTTCCAACGAAATCCGCAAAGCTATCCAAATATCCACTTTCAGATTCCACAAAAAGAGTGTTTCAAAACTGCTCTGTAAAAAGAAAGGTTCATCTCTGTTAGTTGAATACACACATCACAAACAAGTTTCTGAGAATGCTTCTGTCTAGTTTTTATGGGAAGATATTACCTTTTTCATCATAGGCCTCAAAGCGCTGCTAATGTCCACTTCCAGGTAGTGCAGAAAGAGTGTTTCAAACCTGCTCTATAAAAGGGAATATTCAACTCTGTGACTTGAATGCAAACATCACAAAGCACTTTCTGAGAATGCTTCCGTCTAGATTTTATATGAAGATATTCCCGTTTCCAAGGAAATCTTCCTAGCTATCTAAATATCAACTTGCAGATTCTACTAAAGGAATGTTTCCAAAATGCTGTATCCACACAAAGGTTCAACTCTGTTAATTGAGGACATACAGCACAAAGAAGTTTCTGAGAATGCTTCTAGTCTAGATTTTATATGAAGATATCCCGTGTCCAACGAAATCCTCAAAGGTATCAAAATATCCACTTGCAGATTCTACAAAAAGAGTGCTTCAAAACTGCTCTGTCAAAAGGAAGGTTCAACTCTGTTACTTGAGTACACACATCACAAGGAAGTTTCTGAGAATGCTTCTGTCTGGTTTTTAGGAGAAGATATTTCCTTTTTCAACATAGGCCTCAAAGCGCTGCAAATGTCCACTTCCAAATATTAGAAAAAGAGTGTTTCAAACCTGCTGTATGAAGGGAAGTGTTCAACTCTATGAGTTGAATGCAAACATCACAGAGAAGTTTCTGAGAATGCTTCTGTCTTGATTTCATATGAAGATATTCCCGTTTCCAACGAAACCTTCAAAGCTATCCAAATATCCACTTGCAGATTCTACAAAAAGAGTGTTTCCAAAATGTTGTATCAAAAGAAAGGTTCAACTCTGTTAGTTGAGGACACACATCGCAAATAAGTTTCTGAGAATACTTCTGTCTAGTTTTTATTTGAAGATATTTCCTTTCTCACCACAGGCCTGAAAGCGCTTAAAACGTCCGCTTGCAGATACTACAGAAAGAGTGTTTCAAACCTGCTCTATGAAAGGGAATGTTCAGTTCTGTGACTTGAATGCAAACATCACAAAGAAGTTCCTGAGAATGCTTCTCCCTAGATTTTATATGTAATCCCGTTTCCAACGAAATCCGCAAAGCTATCCAAATATCCACTTTCAGATTCCACAAAAAGAGTGTTTCAAAACTGCTCTGTAAAAAGAAAGGTTCATCTCTGTTAGTTGAATACACACATCACAAACAAGTTTCTGAGAATGCTTCTGTCTAGTTTTTATGGGAAGATATTTCCTTTTTCATCATAGGCCACAAAGCGCTCCAAATGTCCACTTCCAGATAGTGCAGAAAGAGTGTCTCAAACCTGGTATATAAAAGGGAACATTCTACTCTGTGACTTGAATGAAAACATCACAAAGCAGTTTCTGAGAATGCTTCTGTGTTGATTTCATATGAAGATATTCCCGTTTCCAACGAAACCTTCAAAGCTATCCAAATATCCACTTGCAGATTCTACAAAAAGAGTGTTTCCAAAATGTTGTATCAAAAGAAAGGTTCAACGCTGTTAGTTGAGGACACACATCGCAAATAAGTTTCTGAGAATGCTTCTGTCTAGTTTTTATTTGAAGATATTTCCTTTCTCACCACAGGCCTGAAAGCGCTTAAAACGTCCGCTTGCAGATACTACAGAAAGAGTGTTTCAAACCTGCTCTATGAAAGGGAATGTTCAGTTCTGTGACTTGAATGCAAACATCACAAAGAAGTTCCTGAGAATGCTTCTCCCTAGATTTTATATGTAATCCCGTTTCCAACGAAATCCGCAAAGCTATCCAAATATCCACTTTCAGATTCCACAAAAAGAGTGTTTCAAAACTGCTCTGTAAAAAGAAAGGTTCATCTCTGTTAGTTGAATACACACATCACAAACAAGTTTCTGAGAATGCTTCTGTCTAGTTTTTATGGGAAGATATTACCTTTTTCATCATAGGCCTCAAAGCGCTGCAAATGTCCACTTCCAAATATTACAAAAAGAGTGTTTCAAACCTGCTGTATGAAGGGAAGTGTTCAACTCTATGAGTTGAATGCAAACATCACAGAGAAGTTTCTGAGAATGCTTCTGTCTTGATTTTATATAAAGATATTCCCGTTTCCAACGAAACCTTCAAAGCTATTCAAATATCCACTTGCTGATTCTACAAAAAGAGTGTTTCCAAAATGTTGTATCAAAAGAAAGGTTCAACTCTGTTAGTTGAGGACACACATCGCAAATAAGTTTCTGAGAATGCTTCTGTCTAGTTTTTACTTGAAGATATTTCCTTTCTCACCATAGGCCTGAAAGCGTTTGAAATGTCCGTTTGCAGATACTACAGAAAGAGTGTTTCAAACATGCTCTATGAAAGGGAATGTTCAGTTCTGTGACGTGAATGCAAACATCACAAAGAAGTTCCTGAGAATGCTTCTCTCTAGATTTTATATGTAATCCCGTTTCCAACGAAATCCTCAAAGCTATCCAAATATCCACTTTCAGATTCCACAAAAAGAGTGTTTCAAAACTGCTCTGTAAAAAGAAAGGTTCATCTCTGTTAGTTGAATACACACATCACAAACAAGTTTCTGAGAATGCTTCTGTCTAGTTTTTATGGGAAGATATTTCCTTTTTCAACATAGGCCTCAAAGCGCTCCAAACGTCCACTTCCGGGTAGTGCAGAAAGAGTGTCTCAAACCTGGTATATAACAGGGAACATTCTACTCTGTGACTTGAATGAAAACATCACAAAGCAGTTTCTGAGAATGCTTCCGTCTAGATTTTATATGAAGATATTCCCGTTTTCCAACGAAACCTTCAAAGCTATCCGAATATCCACCTGCAGATTCTACAAAAAGAGTGTTTCCAAAATGCCGTATCAAAACAAAGGTTCAACTCTGTTAGTTGAGAACACACATGGCAAATAAGTTTCTGAGAATGCTTCTGTCTAGTTTTTACTTGAAGATATTTCCTTTCTCACCATAGGCCTGAAAGCGCTTGAAACGTCAGCTTGCAGATACTACAGAAAGAGTGTTTCAAACCTGCTCTATGAAAGGGAATGTTCAGTCCTGTGACTTGAAGGCAAACATCACAAAGAAGTTCCTGAGAATGCTTCTCCTTAGATTTTATATGTAATCCCGTTTCCAACGAAATCCGCAAAGCTCTCCAAATATCCACTTTCAGATTCCACAAAAAGAGTGTTTCAAAACTGCTCTGTAAAAAGAGAGGTTCATCTCTGTTAGTTGAATACACACATCACAAACAAGTTTCTGAGAATGCTTCTGTCTAGTTTTTATGGGAAGATATTTCCTTTTTCAACATAGGCCTCAAAGCGCTCCAAATGTCCACTTCCAGGTAGTGCAGAAAGAGTGTTTCAAACCTGCTCTATAAAAGGGAATATTCAACTCTGTGACTTGAATGCAAACATCACAAAGCACTTTCTGAGAATGCTTCCGTCTAGATTTTATATGAAGATATTCCCGTTTCCAAGGAAATCTTCCTAGCTATCTAAATATCAACTTGCAGATTCTACTAAAGGAATGTTTCCAAAATGCTGTATCCACACAAAGGTTCAACTCTGTTAATTGAGGACATACAGCACAAAGAAGTTTCTGAGAATGCTTCTGTCTAGATTTTATATGAAGATATCCCGTGTCCAACGAAATCCTCAAAGGTATCAAAATATCCACTTGCAGATTCTACAAAAAGAGTGCTTCAAAACTGCTCTGTCAAAAGGAAGGTTCAACTCTGTTACTTGAGTACACACATCACAAGGAAGTTTCTGAGAATGCTTCTGTCTGGTTTTTAGGAGAAGATATTTCCTTTTTCAACATAGGCCTCAAAGCGCTGCAAATGTCCACTTCCAAATATTACAAAAAGAGTGTTTCAAACCTGCTGTATGAAGGGAAGTGTTCAACTCTATGAGTTGAATGCAAACATCACAGAGAAGTTTCTGAGAATGCTTCTGTCTTGATTTCATATGAAGATATTCCCGTTTCCAACGAAACCTTCAAAGCTATCCAAATATCCACTTGCAGATTCTACAAAAAGAGTGTTTCCAAAATGTTGTATCAAAAGAAAGGTTCAACTCTGTTAGTTGAGGACACACATCGCAAATAAGTTTCTGAGAATGCTTCTGTCTAGTTTTTATTTGAAGATATTTCCTTTCTCACCACAGGCCTGAAAGCGCTTAAAACGTCCGCTTGCAGATACTACAGAAAGAGTGTTTCAAACATGCTCTATGAAAGGGAATGTTCAGTTCTGTGACTTGAATGCAAACATCACAAAGAAGTTCCTGAGAATGCTTCTCCCTAGATTTTATATGTAATCCCGTTTCCAACGAAATCCGCAAAGCTATCCAAATATCCACTTTCAGATTCCACAAAAAGAGTGTTTCAAAACTGCTCTGTAAAAAGAAAGGTTCATCTCTGTTAGTTGAATACACACATCACAAACAAGTTTCTGAGAATGCTTCTGTCTAGTTTTTATGGGAAGATATTACCTTTTTCATCATAGGCCTCAAAGCGCTGCAAATGTCCACTTCCAAATATTAGAAAAAGAGTGTTTCAAACCTGCTGTATGAAGGGAAGTGTTCAACTCTATGAGTTGAATGCAAACATCACAGAGAAGTTTCTGAGAATGCTTCCGTCTAGATTTTATATGAAGATATTCCCGTTTCCAACGAAACCTTCAATGCTATCCGAATATCCACCTGCAGATTCTACAAAAAGAGTGTTTCCAAAATGCCGTATCAAAACAAAGGTTCAACTCTGTTAGTTGAGAACACACATGGCAAATAAGTTTCTGAGAATGCTTCTGTCTAGTTTTTACTTGAAGATATTTCCTTTCTCACCATAGGCCTGAAAGCGCTTGAAACGTCAGCTTGCAGATACTACAGAAAGAGTGTTTCAAACCTGCTCTATGAAAGGGAATGTTCAGTCCTGTGACTTGAAGGCAAACATCACAAAGAAGTTCCTGAGAATGCTTCTCTCTAGGTTTTATATGTAATCCCGTTTCCAACGAAATCCTCAAAGCTATCCAAATATCCACTTTCAGATTCCACAAAAAGAGTGTTTCAAAACTGCTCTGTAAAAAGAAAGGTTCATCTCTGTTAGTTGAATACACACATCACAAACAAGTTTTGAGAATGCTTCTGTCTAGTTTTTATGGGAAGATATTTCCTTTTTCAACATAGGCCTCAAAGCGCTCCAAATGTCCACTTCCAGGTAGTGCAGAAAGAGTGTTTCAAACCTACTCTATAAAAGGGAATATTCAACTCTGTGACTTGAATGCAAACATCAAAAAGCACTTTCTGAGAATGCTTCCGTCTAGATTTTATATGAAGATATTCCCGTTTCCAAGGAACTCTTCCTAGCTATCTAAATATCAACTTGCAGATTCTACTAAAGGAATGTTTCCAAAATGCTGTATCCACACAAAGGTTCAACTCTGTTAATTGAGGACATACAGCACAAAGAAGTTTCTGAGAATGCTTCTGTCTAGATTTTATATGAAGATATCCCGTGTCCAACGAAATCCTCAATGGTATCAAAATATCCACTTGCAGATTCTACAAAAAGAGTGCTTCAAAACTGCTCTGTCAAAAGGAAGGTTCAACTCTGTTACTTGAGTACACACATCACAAGGAAGTTTCTGAGAATGCTTCTGTCTGGTTTTTAGGAGAAGATATTTCCTTTTTCAACATAGGCCTCAAAGCGCTGCAAATGTCCACTTCCAAATATTACAAAAAGAGTGTTTCAAACCTGCTGTATGAAGGGAAGTGTTCAACTCTATGAGTTGAATGCAAACATCACAGAGAAGTTTCTGAGAATGCTTCTGTCTTGATTTCATATGAAGATATTCCCGTTTCCAACGAAACCTTCAAAGCTATCCAAATATCCACTTGCAGATTCTACAAAAAGAGTGTTTCCAAAATGTTGTATCAAAAGAAAGGTTCAACTCTGTTAGTTGAGGACACACATCGCAAATAAGTTTCTGAGAATGCTTCTGTCTAGTTTTTATTTGAAGATATTTCCTTTCTCACCACAGGCCTGAAAGCGCTTAAAACGTCCGCTTGCAGATACTACAGAAAGAGTGTTTCAAACCTGCTCTATGAAAGGGAATGTTCAGTTCTGTGACTTGAATGCAAACATCACAAAGAAGTTCCTGAGAATGCTTCTCCCTAGATTTTATATGTAATCCCGTTTCCAACGAAATCCGCAAAGCTATCCAAATATCCACTTTCAGATTCCACAAAAAGAGTGTTTCAAAACTGCTCTGTAAAAAGAAAGGTTCATCTCTGTTAGTTGAATACACACATCACAAACAAGTTTCTGAGAATGCTTCTGTCTAGTTTTTATGGGAAGATATTTCCTTTTTCATCATAGGCCTCAAAGCGCTGCAAATGTCCACTTCCAGGTAGTGCAGAAAGAGTGTCTGAAACCTGGTATATAACAGGGAAGATTCTACTCTGTGACTTGAATGAAAACATCACAAAGCAGTTTCTGAGAATGCTTCCGTCTAGATTTTATATGAAGATATTCCCGTTTCCAACGAAACCTTCAAAGCTATCCGAATATCCACCTGCAGATTCTACAAAAAGAGTGTTTCCAAAATGCCGTATCAAAACAAAGGTTCAACTCTGTTAGTTGAGAACACACATGGCAAATAAGTTTCTGAGAATGCTTCTGTCTAGTTTTTACTTGAAGATATTTCCTTTGTCACCATAGGCCTGAAAGCGCTTGAAACGTCAGCTTGCAGATACTACAGAAAGAGTGTTTCAAACCTGCTCTATGAAAGGGAATGTTCAGTCCTGTGACTTGAAGGCAAACATCACAAAGAAGTTCCTGAGAATGCTTCTCTCTAGGTTTTATATGTAATCCCGTTTCCAACGAAATCCTCAAAGCTATCCAAATATCCACTTTCATATTCCACAAAAAGAGTGTTTCAAAACTGCTCTGTAAAAAGAAAGGTTCATCTCTGTTAGTTGAATACACACATCACAAACAAGTTTCTGAGAATGCTTCTGTCTGGTTTTTAGGAGAAGATATTTCCTTTTTCAACATAGGCCTCAAAGCGCTGCAAATGTCCACTTCCAAATATTACAAAAAGAGTGTTTCAAACCTGCTGTATGAAGGGAAGTGTTCAACTCTATGAGTTGAATGCAAACATCACAGAGAAGTTTCTGAGAATGCTTCTGTCTTGATTTCATATGAAGATATTCCCGTTTCCAACGAAACCTTCAAAGTTATCCAAATATCCACTTGCAGATTCTACAAAAAGAGTGTTTCCAAAATGTTGTATCAAAAGAAAGGTTCAACTCTGTTAGTTGAGGACACACATCGCAAATAAGTTTCTGAGAATGCTTCTGTCTAGTTTTTATTTGAAGATATTTCCTTTCTCACCACAGGCCTGAAAGCGCTTAAAACGTCCGCTTGCAGATACTACAGAAAGAGTGTTTCAAACCTGCTCTATGAAAGGGAATGTTCAGTTCTGTGACTTGAATGCAAACATCACAAAGAAGTTCCTGAGAATGCTTCTCCCTAGATTTCATATGTAATCCCGTTTCCAACGAAATCCGCAAAGCTATCCAAATATCCACTTTCAGATTCCACAAAAAGAGTGTTTCAAAACTGCTCTGTAAAAAGAAAGGTTCATCTCTGTTAGTTGAATACACACATCACAAACAAGTTTCTGAGAATGCTTCTGTCTAGTTTTTATGGGAAGATATTTCCTTTTTCATCATAGGCCTCAAAGCGCTGCAAATGTCCACTTCCAAATATTACAAAAAGAGTGTTTCAAACCTGCTGTATGAAGGGAAGTGTTCAACTCTATGAGTTGAATGCAAACATCACAGAGAAGTTTCTGAGAATGCTTCTCTCTAGATTTTATATGTAATCCCGTTTCCAACGAAATCCTCAAAGCTATCCAAATATCCACTTTCAGATTCCACAAAAAGAGTGCTTTAAAACTGCTCTGTAAAAAGAAAGGTTCATCTCTGTTAGTTGAATACACACATCACAAACAAGTTTCTGAGAATGCTTCTGTCTGGTTTTTATGGGAAGATATTTCCTTTTTCAACGTAAGCCACAAAGCGCAACAAATGACCACTTTCAGATACTATAAAAAGAGTGTTTCAAACTTTCTCTATGAATGGGAATGTTCACCTCTGTGACTTGAATGCAAACATCACAAAGAAGTTTCTGAGAATGCTTCTGTCTAGATTTTATATGAAGATATCCCGTGTCCAACGAAATCCTCAAAGGTATCAAAATATCCACTTGCAGATTCTACAAAAAGAGTGCTTCAAAACTGCTCTGTCAAAAGGAAGGTTCAACTGTGTTACTTGAGTACACACATCACAAGGAAGTTTCTGAGAATGCTTCTGTCTGGTTTTTAGGAGAAGATATTTCCTTTTTCAACATAGGCCTCAAAGCGCTGCAAATGTCCACTTCCAAATATTACAAAAAGAGTGTTTCAAACCTGCTGTATGAAGGGAAGTGTTCAACTCTATGAGTTGAATGCAAACATCACAGAGAAGTTTCTGAGAATGCTTCTGTCTTGATTTCATATGAAGATATTCCCGTTTCCAACGAAACCTTCAAAGCTATCCAAATATCCACTTGCAGATTCTACAAAAAGAGTGTTTCCAAAATGTTGTATCAAAAGAAAGGTTCAACTCTGTTAGTTGAGGACACACATCGCAAATAAGTTTCTGAGAATGCTTCTGTCTAGTTTTTATTTGAAGATATTTCCTTTCTCACCACAGGCCTGAAAGCGCTTAAAACGTCCGCTTGCAGATACTACAGAAAGAGTGTTTCAAACCTGCTCTATGAAAGGGAATGTTCAGTTCTGTGACTTGAATGCAAACATCACAAAGAAGTTCCTGAGAATGCTTCTCCCTAGATTTTATATGTAATCCCGTTTCCAACGAAATCCTCAAAGCTATCCAAATATCCACTTTCAGATTCCACAAAAAGAGTGTTTCAAAACTGCTCTGTAATAAGAAAGGTTCATCCCTGTTAGTTGAATACACACATCACAAACAAGTTTCTGAGAATGCTTCTGTCTAGTTTTTATGGGAAGATATTTCCTTTTTCAACATAGGCCTCAAAGCGCTCCAAACGTCCACTTCCAGGTAGTGCAGAAAGAGTGTCTCAAACCTGGTATATAACAGGGAACATTCTACTCTGTGACTTGAATGAAAACATCACAAAGCAGTTTCTGAGAATGCTTCCGTCTAGATTTTATATGAAGATATTCCCGTTTCCAACGAAACCTTCAAAGCTATCCGAATATCCACCTGCAGATTCTACAAAAAGAGTGTTTCCAAAATGCCGTATCAAAACAAAGGTTCAACTCTGTTAGTTGAGAACACACATGGCAAATAAGTTTCTGAGAATGCTTCTGTCTAGTTTTTATTTGAAGATATTTCCTTTCTCACCATAGGCCTGAAAGCGCTTGAAATGTCCGTTTGCAGATACTACAGAAAGAGTGTTTCAAACATGCTCTATGAAAGGGAATGTTCAGTTCTGTGACGTGAATGCAAACATCACAAAGAAGTTCCTGAGAATGCTTCTCTCTAGATTTTACATGTAATCCCGTTTCCAACGAAATCCTCAAAGCTCTCCAAATATCCACTTTCAGATTCCACAAAAAGAGTGTTTCAAAACTGCTCTGTAAAAAGAAAGGTTCATCTCTGTTAGTTGAATACACACATCACAAACAAGTTTCTGAGAATGCTTCTGTCTAGTTTTTATGGGAAGATATTTCGTTTTTCAACATACGCCTCAAAGCGCTCCAAACGTCCACTTCCGGGTAGTGCAGAAAGAGTGTCTCAAACCTGGTATATAACAGGGAACATTCTACTCTGTGACTTGAATGAAAACATCACAAAGCAGTTTCTGAGAATGCTTCCGTCTAGATTTTATATGAAGATATTCCCGTTTCCAACGAAACCTTCAAAGCTATCCGAATATCCACCTGCAGATTCTACAAAAAGAGTGTTTCCAAAATGCCGTATCAAAACAAAGGTTCAACTCTGTTAGTTGAGAACACACATGGCAAATAAGTTTCTGAGAATGCTTCTGTCTAGTTTTTACTTGAAGATATTTCCTTTCTCACCATAGGCCTGAAAGCGCTTGAAACGTCAGCTTGCAGATACTACAGAAAGAGTGTTTCAAACCTGCTCTATGAAAGGGAATGTTCAGTCCTGTGACTTGAAGGCAAACATCACAAAGAAGTTCCTGAGAATGCTTCTCTCTAGGTTTTATATGTAATCCCGTTTCCAACGAAATCCTCAAAGCTATCCAAATATCCACTTTCAGATTCCACAAAAAGAGTGTTTCAAAACTGCTCTGTAAAAAGAAAGGTTCATCTCTGTTAGTTGAATACACACATCACAAACAAGTTTCTGAGAATGCTTCTGTCTAGTTTTTATGGGAAGATATTTCCTTTTTCAACATAGGCCTCAAAGCGCTCCAAATGTCCACTTCCAGGTAGTGCAGAAAGAGTGTTTCAAAGCTGCTCTATAAAAGGGAATATTCAACTCTGTGACTTGAATGCAAACATCACAAAGCACTTTCTGAGAATGCTTCCGTCTAGATTTTATATGAAGATATTCCCGTTTCCAAGGAAATCTTCCTAGCTATCTAAATATCAACTTGCAGATTCTACTAAAGGAATGTTTCCAAAATGCTGTATCCACACAAAGGTTCAACTCTGTTAATTGAGGACATACAGCACAAAGAAGTTTCTGAGAATGCTTCTGTCTAGATTTTATATGAAGATATCCCGTGTCCAACGAAATCCTCAAAGGTATCAAAATATCCACTTGCAGATTCTACAAAAAGAGTGCTTCAAAACTGCTCTGTCAAAAGGAAGGTTCAACTCTGTTACTTGAGTACACACATCACAAGGAAGTTTCTGAGAATGCTTCTGTCTGGTTTTTAGGAGAAGATATTTCCTTTTTCAACATAGGCCTCAAAGCGCTGCAAATGTCCACTTCCAAATATTAGAAAAAGAGTGTTTCAAACCTGCTGTATGAAGGGAAGTGTTCAACTCTATGAGTTGAATGCAAACATCACAGAGAAGTTTCTGAGAATGCTTCTGTCTTGATTTCATATGAAGATATTCCCGTTTCCAACGAAACCTTCAAAGCTATCCAAATATCCACTTGCAGATTCTACAAAAAGAGTGTTTCCAAAATGTTGTATCAAAAGAAAGGTTCAACTCTGTTAGTTGAGGACACACATCGCAAATAAGTTTCTGAGAATGCTTCTGTCTAGTTTTTATTTGAAGATATTTCCTTTCTCACCACAGGCCTGAAAGCGCTTAAAACGTCCGCTTGCAGATACTACAGAAAGAGTGTTTCAAACCTGCTCTATGAAAGGGAATGTTCAGTTCTGTGACTTGAATGCAAACATCACAAAGAAGTTCCTGAGAATGCTTCTCTCTAGGTTTTATATGTAATCCCGTTTCCAACGAAATCCTCAAAGCTATCCAAATATCCACTTTCAGATTCCACAAAAAGAGTGTTTCAAAACTGCTCTGTAAAAAGAAAGGTTCATCTCTGTTAGTTGAATACACACATCACAAACAAGTTTCTGAGAATGCTTCTGTCTAGTTTTTATGGGAAGATATTTCCTTTTTCAACATAGGCCTCAAAGCGCTCCAAACGTCCACTTCCAGGTAGTGCAGAAAGAGTGTCTCAAACCTGGTATATAACAGGGAACATTCTACACTGTGACTTGAATGAAAACATCACAAAGCAGTTTCTGAGAATGCTTCCGTCTAGATTTTATATGAAGATATTCCCGTTTCCAAGGATATCTTCCTAGCTATCTAAATATCAACTTGCAGATTCTACTAAAGGAATGTTTCCAAAATGCTGTATCGAAACAAAGGCTCAACTCTGTTAATTGAGGACATACAGCACAAAGAAGTTTCTGAGAATGCTTCTGTCTAGATTTTATATGAAGATATCCCGTGTCCAACGAAATCCTCAAAGGTATCAAAATATCCACTTGCAAATTCTACAAAAAGAGTGCTTCAAAACTGCTCTGTCAAAAGGAAGGTTCAACTCTGTTACTTGAGTACACACATCACAAGGAAGATTCTGAGAATGCTTCTGTCTGGTTTTTAGGAGAAGATATCTCCTTTTTCACCATAGGCTTCAAAGCGCTGCAAATGTCCACTTCCAAATATTACAAAAAGAGTATTTCAAACCAGCTCTATGAAAGGAAGTGTTCAACTCTATGAGTTGAATGCAAACATCACAGAGAAGTTTCTGAGAATGCTTCTGTCTTGATTTTATATGAAGATATTCCCGTTTCCAACGAAACCTTAAAAGCTATCCAAATATCCACCTGCAGATCCTACAAAAAGAGTGTTTCCAAAATGCTGTATCAAAACAAAGGTTCAACTCTGTTAGTTGAGGACACACATCGCAAATAAGTTTCTGAGAATGCTTCTGTCTAGTTTTTATTTGAAGATATTTCTTTTCTCACCACAGGCCTGAAAGCGCTTAAAACGTCCGCTTGCAGATACTACAGAAAGAGTGTTTCAAACCTGCTCTATGAAAGGGAATGTTCAGTTCTGTGACTTGAATGCAAACATCACAAAGAAGTTCCTGATAATGCTTCTCCCTAGATTTTATATGTAATCCCGTTTCCAACGAAATCCGCAAAGCTATCCAAATATCCACTTTCAGATTCCACAAAAAGAGTGTTTCAAAACTGCTCTGTAAAAAGAAAGGTTCATCTCTGTTAGTTGAATACACACATCACAAACAACTTTCTGAGAATGCTTCTGTCTAGTTTTTATGGGAAGATATTACCTTTTTCATCATAGGCCTCAAAGCGCTGCAAATGTCCACTTCCAAATATTACAAAAAGAGTGTCTCAAACCTGGTATATAACAGGGAACATTCTACTCTGTGACTTGAATGAAAACATCACAAAGCAGTTTCTGAGAATGCTTCCGTCTAGATTTTATATGAAGATATTCCCGTTTCCAACGAAACCTTCAAAGCTATCCGAATATCCACCTGCAGATTCTACAAAAAGAGTGTTTCCAAAATGCCATATCAAAACAAAGGTTCAACTCTGTTAGTTGAGAACACACATCGCAAATAAGTTTCTGAGAATGCTTCTGTCTAGTTTTTACTTGAAGATATTTCCTTTCTCACCATAGGCCTGAAAGCGCTTGAAACGTCAGCTTGCAGATACTACAGAAAGAGTGTTTCAAACCTGCTCTATGAAAGGGAATGTTCAGTTCTGTGACTTGAATGCAAACATCACAAAGAAGTTCCTGAGAATGCTTCTCTCTAGGTTTTATCTGTAATCCCGTTTCCAACGAAATCCTCAAAGCTATCCAAATATCCACTTTCAGATACCACAAAAAGAGTGTTTCAAAACTGCTCTGTAAAAAGAAAGGTTCATCTCTGTTAGTTGAATACACACATCACAAACAAGTTTCTGAGAATGCTTCTGTCTAGTTTTTATGGGAAGATATTTCCTTTTTCAACATAGGCCTCAAAGCGCTCCAATCGTCCACTTCCAGGTAGTGCAGA
The DNA here is from genome assembly GCF_000001405.40 of Homo sapiens. Classification (NCBI taxonomy): domain Eukaryota; kingdom Metazoa; phylum Chordata; class Mammalia; order Primates; family Hominidae; genus Homo; species Homo sapiens. The sequence continues at coordinate 43,971,750 of NC_000009.12, read as the reverse complement.
AAGAGTGTCTCAAACCTGGTATATAACAGGGAACATTCTACTCTGTGACTTGAATGAAAACATCACAAAGCAGTTTCTGAGAATGCTTCCGTCTAGATTTTATATGAAGATATTCCCGTTTCCAACGAAACCTTCAAAGCTATCCGAATATCCACCTGCAGATTCTACAAAAAGAGTGTTTCCAAAATGCCGTATCAAAACAAAGGTTCAACTCTGTTAGTTGAGAACACACATGGCAAATAAGTTTCTGAGAATGCTTCTGTCTAGTTTTTACTTGAAGATATTTCCTTTCTCACCATAGGCCTGAAAGCGCTTGAAACGTCAGCTTGCAGATACTACAGAAAGAGTGTTTCAAACCTGCTCTATGAAAGGGAATGTTCAGTTCTGTGACTTGAATGCAAACATCACAAAGAAGTTCCTGAGAATGCTTCTCTCTAGGTTTTATCTGTAATCCCGTTTCCAACGAAATCCTCAAAGCTATCCAAATATCCACTTTCAGATTCCACAAAAAGAGTGTTTCAAAACTGCTCTGTAAAAAGAAAGGTTCATCTCTGTTAGTTGAATACACACATCACAAACAAGTTTCTGAGAATGCTTCTGTCTAGTTTTTATGGGAAGATATTTCCTTTTTCAACAAAGGCCTCAAAGCGCTCCAAACGTCCACTTCCAGGTAGTGCAGAAAGAGTGTCTCAAACCTGGTATATAACAGGGAACATTCTACTCTGTGACTTGAATGAAAACATCACAAAGCAGTTTCTGAGAATGCTTCCGTCTAGATTTTATATGAAGATATTCCCGTTTCCAAGGAAATCTTCCTAGCTATCTAAATATCAACTTGCAGATTCTTCTAAAGGAATGTTTCCAAAATGCTGTATCCACACAAAGGTTCAACTCTGTTAATTGAGGACATACAGCACAAAGAAGTTTCTGAGAATGCTTCTGTCTAGATTTTATATGAAGATATCCCGTGTCCAACGAAATCCTCAAAGGTATCAAAATATCCACTTGCAGATTCTACAAAAAGAGTGCTTCAAAACTGCTCTGTCAAAAGGAAGGTTCAACTCTGTTACTTGAGTACACACATCACAAGGAAGTTTCTGAGAATGCTTCTGTCTGGTTTTTAGGAGAAGATATTTCCTTTTTCAACATAGGCCTCAAAGCGCTGCAAATGTCCACTTCCAAATATTAGAAAAAGAGTGTTTCAAACCTGCTGTATGAAGGGAAGTGTTCAACTCTATGAGTTGAATGCAAACATCACAGAGAAGTTTCTGAGAATGCTTCTGTCTTGATTTCATATGAAGATATTCCCGTTTCCAACGAAACCTTCAAAGCTATCCAAATATCCACTTGCAGATTCTACAAAAAGAGTGTTTCCAAAATGTTGTATCAAAAGAAAGGTTCAACTCTGTTAGTTGAGGACACACATCGCAAATAAGTTTCTGAGAATGCTTCTGTCTAGTTTTTATTTGAAGATATTTCCTTTCTCACCACAGGCCTGAAAGCGCTTAAAACGTCCGCTTGCAGATACTACAGAAAGAGTGTTTCAAACCTGCTCTATGAAAGGGAATGTTCAGTTCTGTGACTTGAATGCAAACATCACAAAGAAGTTCCTGAGAATGCTTCTCCCTAGATTTTATATGTAATCCCGTTTCCAACGAAATCCGCAAAGCTATCCAAATATCCACTTTCAGATTCCACAAAAAGAGTGTTTCAAAACTGCTCTGTAAAAAGAAAGGTTCATCTCTGTTAGTTGAATACACACATCACAAACAAGTTTCTGAGAATGCTTCTGTCTAGTTTTTATGGGAAGATATTTCCTTTTTCATCATAGGCCTCAAAGCGCTGCAAATGTCCACTTCCAAATATTACAAAAAGAGTGTTTCAAACCTGCTGTATGAAGGGAAGTGTTCAACTCTATGAGTTGAATGCAAACATCACAGAGAAGTTTCTGAGAATGCTTCTGTCTTGATTTTATATGAAGATATTCCCGTTTCCAACGAAACCTTCAAAGCTATTCAAATATCCACTTGCAGATTCTACAAAAAGAGTGTTTCCAAAATGTTGTATCAAAAGAAAGGTTCAACTCTGTTAGTTGAGGACACACATCGCAAATAAGTTTCTGAGAATGCTTCTGTCTAGTTTTTACTTGAAGATATTTCCTTTCTCACCATAGGCCTGAAAGCGTTTGAAATGTCCGTTTGCAGATACTACAGAAAGAGTGTTTCAAACATGCTCTATGAAAGGGAATGTTCAGTTCTGTGACGTGAATGCAAACATCACAAAGAAGTTCCTGAGAATGCTTCTCTCTAGATTTTATATGTAATCCCGTTTCCAACGAAATCCTCAAAGCTATCCAAATATCCACTTTCAGATTCCACAAAAAGAGTGTTTCAAAACTGCTCTGTAAAAAGAAAGGTTCATCTCTGTTAGTTGAATACACACATCACAAACAAGTTTCTGAGAATGCTTCTGTCTAGTTTTTATGGGAAGATATTTCCTTTTTCAACATAGGCCTCAAAGCGCTCCAAACGTCCACTTCCAGGTAGTGCAGAAAGAGTGTCTCAAACCTGGTGTATAACAGGGAACATTCTACTCTGTGACTTGAATGAAAACATCACAAAGCAGTTTCTGAGAATGCTTCCGTCTAGATTTTATATGAAGATATTCCCGTTTCCAACGAAACCTTCAAAGCTATCCGAATATCCACCTGCAGATTCTACAAAAAGAGTGTTTCCAAAATGCCGTATCAAAACAAAGGTTCAACTCTGTTAGTTGAGAACACACATGGCAAATAAGTTTCTGAGAATGCTTCTGTCTAGTTTTTACTTGAAGATATTTCCTTTCTCACCATAGGCCTGAAAGCGCTTGAAACGTCAGCTTGCAGATACTACAGAAAGAGTGTTTCAAACCTGCTCTATGAAAGGGAATGTTCAGTTCTGTGACTTGAATGCAAACATCACAAAGAAGTTCCTGAGAATGCTTCTCTCTAGGTTTTATATGTAATCCCGTTTCCAACGAAATCCTCAAAGCTATCCAAATATCCACTTTCAGATTCCACAAAAAGAGTGTTTCAAAACTGCTCTGTAAAAAGAAAGGTTCATCTCTGTTAGTTGAATACACACATCACAAACAAGTTTCTGAGAATGCTTCTGTCTAGTTTTTATGGGAAGATATTTCCTTTTTCAACATAGGCCTCAAAGCGCTCCAAACGTCCACTTCCAGGTAGTGCAGAAAGAGTGTCTCAAACCTGGTGTATAACAGGGAACATTCTACTCTGTGACTTGAATGAAAACATCACAAAGCAGTTTCTGAGAATGCTTCCGTCTAGATTTTATATGAAGATATTCCCGTTTCCAACGAAACCTTCAAAGCTATCCGAATATCCACCTGCAGATTCTACAAAAAGAGTGTTTCCAAAATGCCGTATCAAAACAAAGGTTCAACTCTGTTAGTTGAGAACACACATGGCAAAGAAGTTTCTGAGAATGCTTCTGTCTAGTTTTTACTTGAAGATATTTCCTTTCTCACCATAGGCCTGAAAGCGCTTGAAACGTCAGCTTGCAGATACTACAGAAAGAGTGTTTCAAACCTGCTCTATGAAAGGGAATGTTCAGTCCTGTGACTTGAAGGCAAACATCACAAAGAAGTTCCTGAGAATGCTTCTCTCTAGGTTTTATATGTAATCCCGTTTCCACCGAAATCCTCAAAGCTATCCAAATATCCACTTTCAGATTCCACAAAAAGAGTGTTTCAAAACTGCTCTGTAAAAAGAAAGGTTCATCTCTGTTAGTTGAATACACACATCACAAACAAGTTTCTGAGAATGCTTCTGTCTAGTTTTTATGGGAAGATATTTCCTTTTTCAACATAGGCCTCAAAGCGCTCCAAACGTCCACTTCCAGGTAGTTCAGAAAGAGTGTCTCAAACCTGGTATATAACAGGGAACATTCTACTCTGTGACTTGAATGAAAACATCACAAAGCAGTTTCTGAGAATGCTTCCGTCTAGATTTTATATGAAGATATTCCCGTTTCCAAGGAAATCTTCCTAGCTATCTAAATATCAACTTGCAGATTCTACTAAAGGAATGTTTCCAGAATGCTGTATCAAAACAAAGGTTCAACTCTGTTAATTGAGGACATACAGCACAAAGAAGTTTCTGAGAATGCTTCTGTCTAGATTTTATATGAAGATATCCCGTGTCCAACGAAATCCTCAAAGGTATCAAAATATCCACTTGCAGATTCTACAAAAAGAGTGTTTCAAAACTGCTCTGTCAAAAGGAAAGTTCATCTCTGTTACTTGAGTACACACATCACAAGGAAGTTTCTGAGAATGCTTCTGTCTGGTTTTTAGGAGAAGATATTTCGTTTTTCACCATAGGCCTCAAAGCGCTGCCAATGTCCACTTCCAAATATTACAAAAAGAGTGTTTCAAACCTGCTCTATGAAAGGAAGTGTTCCACTCTATGAGTTGAATGCAAACATCACAGAGAAGTTTCTGAGAATGCTTCTCTCTAGATTTTATATGTAATCCCGTTTCCAACGAAATCCTCAAAGCTATCCAAATATCCACTTTCAGATTCCACAAAAAGAGTGTTTCAAAACTGCTCTGTAAAAAGAAAGGTTCATCTCTGTTCGTTGAATACACACATCACAAACAAGTTTCTGAGAATGCTTCTGTCTAGTTTTTATGGGAAGATATTTCCTTTTTCAACATAGGCCTCAAAGCGCTCCAAACGTCCACTTCCAGGTAGTGCAGAAAGAGTGTCTCAAACCTGGTATATAACAGGGAACATTCTACTCTGTGACTTGAATGAAAACATCACAAAGCAGTTTCTGAGAATGCTTCCGTCTAGATTTTATATGAAGATATTCCCGTTTCCAACGAAACCTTCAAAGCTATCCGAATATCCACCTGCAGATTCTACAAAAAGAGTGTTTCCAAAATGCCGTATCAAAACAAAGGTTCAACTCTGTTAGTTGAGAACACACATGGCAAATAAGTTTCTGAGAATGCTTCTTTCTAGTTTTTACTTGAAGATATTTCCTTTCTCACCATAGGCCTGAAAGCGCTTGAAACGTCCGCTTGCAGATACTACAGAAAGAGTGTTTCAAACCTGCTCTATGAAAGGGAATGTTCAGTTCTGTGACTTGAAGGCAAACATCACAAAGAAGTTCCTGAGAATTCTTCTCTCTAGGTTTTATATGTAATCCCGTTTCCAACGAAATCCTCAAAGCTATCCAAATATCCACTTTCAGATTCCACAAAAAGAGTGTTTCAAAACTGCTCTGTAAAAAGAAAGGTTCATCTCTGTTAGTTGAATACACACATCACAAACAAGTTTCTGAGAATGCTTCAGTCTAGTTTTTATGGGAAGATATTACCTTTTTCATCATAGGCCTCAAAGCGCTGCGAATGTCCACTTCCAAATATTACAAAAAGAGTGTTTCAAACCTGCTGTATGAAGGGAAGTGTTCAACTCTATGAGTTGAATGCAAACATCACAGAGAAGTTTCTGAGAATGCTTCTGTCTTGATTTTATATGAAGATATTCCCGTTTCCAACGAAACCTTCAAAGCTATTCAAATATCCACTTGCAGATTCTACAAAAAGAGTGTTTCCAAAATGTTGTATCAAAAGAAAGGTCCAACTCTGTTAGTTGAGGACACACATCGCAAATAAGTTTCTGAGAATGCTTCTGTCTAGTTTTTACTTGAAGATATTTCCTTTCTCACCATAGGCCTGAAAGCGTTTGAAATGTCCGTTTGCAGATACTACAGAAAGAGTGTTTCAAACATGCTCTATGAAAGGGAATGTTCAGTTCTGTGACGTGAATGCAAACATCACAAAGAAGTTCCTGAGAATGCTTCTCTCTAGATTTTATATGTAATCCCGTTTCCAACGAAATCCTCAAAGCTATCCAAATATCCACTTTCAGATTCCACAAAAAGAGTGTTTCAAAACTGCTCTGTAAAAAGAAAGGTTCATCTCTGTTAGTTGAATACACACATCACAAACAAGTTTCTGAGAATGCTTCTGTCTAGTTTTTATGGGAAGATATTTCCTTTTTCAACATAGGCCTCAAAGCGCTCCAAACGTCCACTTCCAGGTAGTGCAGAAAGAGTGTCTCAAACCTGGTGTATAACAGGGAACATTCTACTCTGTGACTTGAATGAAAACATCACAAAGCAGTTTCTGAGAATGCTTCCGTCTAGATTTTATATGAAGATATTCCCGTTTCCAACGAAACCTTCAAAGCTATCCGAATATCCACCTGCAGATTCTACAAAAAGAGTGTTTCCAAAATGCCATATCAAAACAAAGGTTCAACTCTGTTAGTTGAGAACACACATCGCAAATAAGTTTCTGAGAATGCTTCTGTCTAGTTTTTACTTGAAGATATTTCCTTTCTCACCATAGGCCTGAAAGCGCTTGAAACGTCAGCTTGCAGATACTACAGAAAGAGTGTTTCAAACCTGCTCTATGAAAGGGAATGTTCAGTCCTGTGACTTGAAGGCAAACATCACAAAGAAGTTCCTGAGAATGCTTCTCTCTAGGTTTTATATGTAATCCCGTTTCCAACGAAATCCTCAAAGCTATCCAAATATCCACTTTCAGATTCCACAAAAAGAGTGTTTCAAAACTGCTCTGTAAAAAGAAAGGTTCATCTCTGTTAGTTGAATACACACATCACAAACAAGTTTGCTGAGAATGCTTCTGTCTAGTTTTTATGGGAAGATATTTCCTTTTTCAACATAGGCCTCAAAGCGCTCCAAATGTCCACTTCCAGGTAGTGCAGAAAGAGTGTTTCAAACCTGCTCTATAAAAGGGAATATTCAACTCTGTGACTTGAATGCAAACATCACAAAGCACTTTCTGAGAATACTTCCGTCTAGATTTTATATGAAGATATTCCCGTTTCCAAGGAAATCTTCCTAGCTATCTAAATATCAACTTGCAGATTCTACTAAAGGAATGTTTCCAAAATGCTGTATCCACACAAAGGTTCAACTCTGTTAATTGAGGACATACAGCACAAAGAAGTTTCTGAGAATGCTTCTGTCTAGATTTTATATGAAGATATCCCGTGTCTAACGAAATCCTCAAAGGTATCAAAATATCCACTTGCAGATTCTACAAAAAGAGTGCTTCACAACTGCTCTGTCAAAATGAAGGTACACCTCTGTTACTTGAGTACACACATCACAAGAAAGATTCTGAGAATGCTTCTGTCTGGTTTTTAGGAGAAGATATCTCCTTTTTCACCATAGGCTTCAAAGCGCTGCCAATGTCCACTTCCAAATATTACAAAAAGAGTATTTCAAACCAGCTCTATGAAAGGAAGTGTTCAACTCTATGAGTTGAATGCAAACATCACAGAGAAGTTTCTGAGAATGCTTCTCCCTAGATTTTATATGTAATCGCGTTTCCAACGAAATCCGCAAAGCTATCCAAATATCCACTTTCAGATTCCACAAAAAGAGTGTTTCAAAACTGCTCTGTAAAAAGAAAGGTTCATCTCTGTTAGTTGAATACACACATCACAAACAAGTTTCTGAGAATGCTTCTGTCTAGTTTTTATGGGAAGATATTACCTTTTTCATCATAGGCCTCAAAGCGCTGCAAATGTCCACTTCCAAATATTACAAAAAGAGTGTTCCAAACCTGCTGTATGAAAGGAAGTGTTCAACTCTATGAGTTGAATGCAAACATCACAGAGAAGTTTCTGAGAATGCTTCTGTCTTGATTTTATATGAAGATATTCCCGTTTCCAACGAAACCTTCAAAGCTATTCAAATATCCACTTGCAGATTCTACAAAAAGAGTGTTTCCAAAATGTTGTATCAAAAGAAAGGTTCAACTCTGTTAGTTGAGGACACACATCGCAAATAAGTTTCTGAGAATGCTTCTGTCTAGTTTTTACATGAAGATATTTCCTTTCTCACCATAGGCCTGAAAGCGTTTGAAATGTCCGTTTGCAGATACTACAGAAAGAGTGTTTCAAACATGCTCTATGAAAGGGAATGTTCAGTTCTGTGACGTGAATGCAAACATCACAAAGAAGTTCCTGAGAATGCTTCTCTCTAGATTTTATATGTAATCCCGTTTCCAACGAAATCCTCAAAGCTATCCAAATATCCACTTTCAGATTCCACAAAAAGAGTGTTTCAAAACTGCTCTGTAAAAAGAAAGGTTCATCTCTGTTAGTTGAATACACACATCACAAACAAGTTTCTGAGAATGCTTCTGTCTAGTTTTTATGGGAAGATATTTCCTTTTTCAACATACGCCTCAAAGCGCTCCAAACGTCCACTTCCGGGTAGTGCAGAAAGAGTGTCTCAAACCTGGTATATAACAGGGAACATTCTACTCTGTGACTTGAATGAAAACATCACAAAGCAGTTTCTGAGAATGCTTCCGTCTAGATTTTATATGAAGATATTCCCGTTTCCAACGAAACCTTCAAAGCTATCCGAATATCCACCTGCAGATTCTACAAAAAGAGTGTTTCCAAAATGCCGTATCAAAACAAAGGTTCAACTCTGTTAGTTGAGAACACACATGGCAAATAAGTTTCTGAGAATGCTTCTGTCTAGTTTTTACTTGAAGATATTTCCTTTCTCACCATAGGCCTGAAAGCGCTTGAAACGTCAGCTTGCAGATACTACAGAAAGAGTGTTTCAAACCTGCTCTATGAAAGGGAATGTTCAGTCCTGTGACTTGAAGGCAAACATCACAAAGAAGTTCCTGAGAATGCTTCTGTCTAGATTTTATATGAAGATATCCCGTGTCCAACGAAATCCTCAAAGGTATCAAAATATCCACTTGCAGATTCTACAAAAAGAGTGTTTCAAAACTGCTCTGTAAAAAGAAAGGTTCATCTCTGTTAGTTGAATACACACATCACAAACAAGTTTTCTGAGAATGCTTCTGTCTAGTTTTTATGGGAAGATATTTCCTTTTTCATCATAGGCCTCAAAGCGCTGCAAATGTCCACTTCCAGGTAGTGCAGAAAGAGTGCCTGAAACCTGGTATATAACAGGGAAGATTCTACTCTGTGACTTGAATGAAAACATCACAAAGCAGTTTCTGAGAATGCTTCCGTCAATATTTTATATGAAGATATTCCCGTTTCCAACGAAATCTTCAAAGCTATCCGAATATCCACCTGCAGATTCTACAAAAAGAGTGTTTCCAAAATGCCGTATCAAAACAAAGGTTCAACTCTGTTAGTTGAGAACACACATGGCAAATAAGTTTCTGAGAATGCTTCTGTCTAGTTTTTACTTGAAGATATTTCCTTTCTCACCATAGGCCTGAAAGCGCTTGAAACGTCAGCTTGCAGATACTACAGAAAGAGTGTTTCAAACCTGCTCTATGAAAGGGAATGTTCAGTCCTGTGACTTGAAGGCAAACATCACAAAGAAGTTCCTGAGAATGCTTCTCTCTAGGTTTTATATGTAATCCCGTTTCCAACGAAATCCTCAAAGCTATCCAAATATCCACTTTCAGATTCCACAAAAAGAGTGTTTCAAAACTGCTCTGTAAAAAGAAAGGTTCATCTCTGTTAGTTGAATACACACATCACAAACAAGTTTCTGAGAATGCTTCTGTCTAGTTTTTATGGGAAGATATTACCTTTTTCATCATAGGCCTCAAAGCGCTGCAAATGTCCACTTCCAAATATTACAAAAAGAGTGTTTCAAACCTGCTGTATGAAGGGAAGTGTTCAACTCTATGAGTTGAATGCAAACATCACAGAGAAGTTTCTGAGAATGCTTCTGTCTTGATTTTATATGAAGATATTCCCGTTTCCAACGAAACCTTCAAAGCTATCCAAATATCCACTTGCAGATTCCACAAAAAGAGTGTTTCCAAAATGTTGTATCAAAAGAAAGGTTCAACTCTGTTAGTTGAGGACACACATCGCAAATAAGTTTGCTGAGAATGCTTCTGTCTAGTTTTTATTTGAAGATATTTCCTTTCTCACCACAGGCCTGAAAGCGCTTAAAACGTCCGCTTGCAGATACTACAGAAAGAGTGTTTCAAACCTGCTCTATGAAAGGGAATGTTCAGTTCTGTGACTTGAATGCGAACATCACAAAGAAGTTCCTGAGAATGCTTCTCCCTAGATTTTATATGTAATCCCGTTTCCAACGAAATCCGCAAAGCTATCCAAATATCCACTTTCAGATTCCACAAAAAGAGTGTTTCAAAACTGCTCTGTAAAAAGAAAGGTTCATCTCTGTTAGTTGAATACACACATCACAAACAAGTTTCTGAGAATGCTTCTGTCTAGTTTTTATGGGAAGATATTACCTTTTTCATCATAGGCCTCAAAGCGCTGCAAATGTCCACTTCCAAATATTACAAAAAGAGTGTTTCAAACCTGCTGTATGAAGGGAAGTGTTCAACTCTATGAGTTGAATGCAAACATCACAGAGAAGTTTCTGAGAATGCTTCTGTCTTGATTTTATATGAAGATATTCCCGTTTCCAACGAAATCTTCAAAGCTATCCAAATATCCACTTGCAGATTCCACAAAAAGAGTGTTTCCAAAATGTTGTATCAAAAGAAAGGTTCAACTCTGTTAGTTGAGGACACACATCGCAAATAAGTTTCTGAGAATGCTTCTGTCTAGTTTTTATTTGAAGATATTTCCTTTCTCACCATAGGCCTGAAAGCGTTTGAAATGTCCGTTTGCAGATACTACAGAAAGAGTGTTTCAAACATGCTCTATGAAAGGGAATGTTCAGTTCTGTGACGTGAATGCAAACATCACAAAGAAGTTCCTGAGAATGCTTCTGTCTAGATTTTATATGAAGATATCCCGTGTCCAACGAAATCCTCAAAGGTATCAAAATATCCACTTGCAGATTCTACAAAAAGACTGCTTCAAAACTGCTCTGTCAAAAGGAAGGTTCAACTCTGTTACTTGAGTACACACATCACAAGGAAGTTTCTGAGAATGCTTCTGTCTGGTTTTTAGGAGAAGATATTTCCTTTTTCAACATAGGCCTCAAAGCGCTGCAAATGTCCACTTCCAAATATTAGAAAAAGAGTGTTTCAAACCTGCTGTATGAAGGGAAGTGTTCAACTCTATGAGTTGAATGCAAACATCACAGAGAAGTTTCTGAGAATGCTTCTGTCTTGATTTCATATGAAGATATTCCCGTTTCCAACGAAACCTTCAAAGCTATCCAAATATCCACTTGCAGATTCTACAAAAAGAGTGTTTCCAAAATGTTGTATCAAAAGAAAGGTTCAACTCTGTTAGTTGAGGACACACATCGCAAATAAGTTTCTGAGAATGCTTCTGTCTAGTTTTTATTTGAAGATATTTCCTTTCTCACCACAGGCCTGAAAGCGCTTAAAACGTCCGCTTGCAGATACTACAGAAAGAGTGTTTCAAACCTGCTCTATGAAAGGGAATGTTCAGTTCTGTGACTTGAATGCAAACATCACAAAGAAGTTCCTGAGAATGCTTCTCTCTAGATTTTATATGTAATCCCGTTTCCAACGAAATCCTCAAAGCTATCCAAATATCCACTGTCAGATTCCACAAAAAGAGTGTTTCAAAACTGCTCTGTTAAAAGAAAGGTTCATATCTGTTAGTTGAATACACACATCACAAACAAGTTTCTGAGAATGCTTCTGTCTAGTTTTTATGGGAAGATATTTCCTTTTTCATCATAGGCCTCAAAGCGCTCCAAATGTCCACTTCCAGATAGTGCAGAAAGAGTGTCTCAAACCTGGTATATAAAAGGGAACATTCTACTCTGTGACTTCAATGAAAACATCACAAAGCAGTTTCTGAGAATGCTTCCGTCTAGATTTTATATGAAGATATTCCCGTTTCCAACGAAACCTTCAAAGCTATCCGAATATCCACCTGCAGATTCTACAAAAAGAGTGTTTCCAAAATGCCGTATCAAAACAAAGGTTCAACTCTGTTAGTTGAGAACACACATGGCAAATAAGTTTCTGAGAATGCTTCTGTCTAGTTTTTACTTGAAGATATTTCCTTTCTCACCATAGGCCTGAAAGCGCTTGAAACGTCAGCTTGCAGATACTACAGAAAGAGTGTTTCAAACCTGCTCTATGAAAGGGAATGTTCAGTCCTGTGACTTGAAGGCAAACATCACAAAGAAGTTCCTGAGAATGCTTCTCTCTAGGTTTTATATGTAATCCCGTTTCCAACGAAATCCTCAAAGCTCTCCAAATATCCACTTTCAGATTCCACAAAAAGAGTGTTTCAAAACTGCTCTGTAAAAAGAAAGGTTCATCTCTGTTAGTTGAATACACACATCACAAACAAGTTTCTGAGAATGCTTCTGTCTAGTTTTTATGGGAAGATATTTCCTTTTTCAACATAGGCCTCAAAGCGCTCCAAATGTCCACTTCCAGGTAGTGCAGAAAGAGTGTTTCAAACCTGCTCTATAAAAGGGAATATTCAACTCTGTGACTTGAATGCAAACATCACAAAGCACTTTCTGAGAATGCTTCCGTCTAGATTTTATATGAAGATATTCCCGTTTCCAAGGAAATCTTCCTAGCTATCTAAATATCAACTTGCATATCCTACTAAAGGAGTGTTTCCAAAATGCTGTATCCACACAAAGGTTCAACTCTGTTAATTGAGGACATACAGCACAAAGAAGTTTCTGAGAATGCTTCTGTCTAGATTTTATATGAAGATATCCCGTTTCCAAAGAAATCCTCAAAGGTGTCCAAATATCTACTTCCAGATTCTACAAAAAGACTGTTTCAAAACGGCTCTGTCAAAAGTAAGGTTCAACTCTGTTACTTGAGTACACACATCACAAGGAAGTTTCTGAGAATGCTTCTGTCTGGTTTTTAGGAGAAGATATTTCCTTTTTCAACATAGGCCTCAAAGCGCTGCAAATGTCCACTTCCAAATATTACAAAAAGAGTGTTTCAAACCTGCTCTATGAAGGGAAGTGTTCACCTCTATGAGTTGAATGCAAACATCACAGAGAAGTTTCTGAGAATGCTTCTGTCTTGATTTTATATGAAGATATTCCCGTTTCCAACGAAACCTTCAAAGCTATCCAAATATCCACTTGCAGATTCTACAAAAAGAGTGTTTCCAAAATGTTGTATCAAAACAAAGGTTCAACTCTGTTAGTTGAGGACACACATCACAAATAAGTTTCTGAGAATGCTTCTGTCTAGTTTTTATTTGAAGATATTTCCTTTCTTACCATAGGCCTGAAAGCGCTTGAAATGTCCGTTTGCAGATACTACAGAAAGAGTGTTTCAAACATGCTCTATGAAAGGGAATGTTCAGTTCTGTGACTTGAATGCAAACATCACAAAGAAGTTCCTGAGAATGCTTCTCTCTAGATTTTATATGTAATCCCGTTTCCAACGAAATCCTCAAAGCTATCCAAATATGCACTTTCAGATTCCACAAAAAGAGTGTTTCAAAACTGCTCTGTAAAAAGAAAGGTTCATCTCTGTTAGTTGAATACACACATCACAACCAAGTTTCTGAGAATGCTTCTGTCTAGTTTTTATGGGAAGATATTTCCTTTTTCATCATAGGCCTCAAAGCGCTCCAAATGTCCACTTCCAGATAGTGCAGAAAGAGTGTCTCAAACCTGGTATATAAAAGAGAACATTCTACTCTGTGACTTGAATGAAAACATCACAAAGCAGTTTCTGAGAATGCTTCCGTCTAGATTTTCTATGAAGATATTCCCGTTTCCAACGAAACCTTCAAAGCTATCCGAATATCCACCAGCAGATTCTACAAAAAGAGTGTTTCCAAAATGCCGTATCAAAACAAAGGTTCAACTCTGTTAGTTGAGAACACACATGTTAAATAAGTTTCTGAGAATGCTTCTGTCTAGTTTTTACTTGAAGATATTTCCTTTCTCACCATAGGCCTGAAAGCGCTTGAAACGTCCGCTTGCAGATACTACAGAAAGAGTGTTTCAAACATGCTCTATGAAAGGGAATGTTCAGTTCTGTGACTTGAATGCAAACATCACAAAGAAGTTCCTGAGAATGCTTCTCTCTAGATTTTATATGTAATCCCGTTTCCAACGAAATCCTCAAAGCTATCCAAATATCCACTTTCAGATTCCACAAAAAGAGTGTTTCAAAACTGCTCTGTAAAAAGAAAGGTTCATCTCTGTTAGTTGAATACACACATCACAAACAAGTTTCTGATAATGCTTCTGTCTAGTTTTTATGGGAAGATATTTCCTTTTTCAACATAGGCCTCAAAGCGCTCCAAATGTCCACTTCCAGGTAGTGCAGAAAGAGTGTTTCAAACCTGCTCTATAAAAGGGAATATTCAACTCTGTGACTTGAATGCAAACATCACAAAGCACTTTCTGAGAATGCTTCCGTCTAGATTTTATATGAAGATATTCCCGTTTCCAAGGAAATCTTCCTAGCTATCTAAATATCAACTTGCATATCCTACTAAAGGAGTGTTTCCAAAATGCTGTATCCACACAAAGGTTCAACTCTGTTAATTGAGGACATACAGCACAAAGAAGTTTCTGAGAATGCTTCTGTCTAGATTTTATATGAAGATATCCCGTTTCCAAAGAAATCCTCAAAGGTGTCCAAATATCTACTTCCAGATTCTACAAAAAGACTGTTTCAAAACGACTCTGTCAAAAGTAAGGTTCAACTCTGTTACTTGAGTACACACATCACAAGGAAGTTTCTGAGAATGCTTCTGTCTGGTTTTTAGGAGAAGATATTTCCTTTTTCAACATAGGCCTCAAAGCGCTGCAAATGTCCACTTCCAAATATTACAAAAAGAGTGTTTCAAACCTGCTCTATGAAGGGAAGTGTTCACCTCTATGAGTTGAATGCAAACATCACAGAGAAGTTTCTGAGAATGCTTCTGTCTTGATTTTATATGAAGATATTCCCGTTTCCAACGAAACCTTCAAAGCTATCCAAATATCCACTTGCAGATTCTACAAAAAGAGTGTTTCCAAAATGTTGTATCAAAACAAAGGTTCAACTCTGTTAGTTGAGGACACACATCGCAAATAAGTTTCTGAGAATGCTTCTGTCTAGTTTTTATTTGAAGATATTTCCTTTCTTACCATAGGCCTGAAAGCGCTTGAAATGTCCGTTTGCAGATACTACAGAAAGAGTGTTTTAAACATGCTCTATGAAAGGGAATGTTCAGTTCTGTGACGTGAATGCAAACATCACAAAGAAGTTCCTGAGAATGCTTCTCTCTAGATTTTATATGTAATCCCGTTTCCAACGAAATCCTCAAAGCTATCCAAATATCCACTTTCAGATTCCACAAAAAGAGTGTTTCAAAACTGCTCTGTAAAAAGAAAGGTTCATCTCTGTTAGTTGAATACACACATCACAAACAAGTTTCTGAGAATGCTTCTGTCTAGTTTTTATGGGAAGATATTTCCTTTTTCATCATAGGCCTCAAGGCGCTCCAAATGTCCACTTCCAGATAGTGCAGAAAGAGTGTCTCAAACCTGGTATATAAAAGGGAACATTCTACTCTGTGACTTGAATGAAAACATCACAAAGCAGTTTCTGAGAATGCTTCCGTCTAGATTTTCTATGAAGATATTCCCGTTTCCAACGAAACCTTCAAAGCTATCCGAATATCCACCTGCAGATTCTACAAAAAGAGTGTTTCCAAAATGCCGTATCCAAACAAAGGTTCAACTCTGTTAGTTGAGAACACACATGGCAAATAAGTTTCTGAGAATGCTTCTGTCTAGTTTTTACTTGAAGATATTTCCTTTCTCACCATAGGCCTGAAAGCGCTTGAAACGTCCGCTTGCAGATACTACAGAAAGAGTGTTTCAAACATGCTCTATGAAAGGGAATGTTCAGTTCTGTGACTTGAATGCAAACATCACAAAGAAGTTCCTGAGAATGCTTCTCCCTAGATTTTATATGTAATCCCGTTTCCAACGAAATCCGCAAAGCTATCCAAATATCCACTTTCAGATTCCACAAAAAGAGTGTTTCAAAACTGCTCTGTAAAAAGAAAGGTTCATCTCTGTTAGTTGAATACACACATCACAAACAAGTTTCTGAGAACGCTTCTGTCTAGTTTTTATGGGAAGATATTACCTTTTTCATCATAGGCCTCAAAGCGCTGCAAATGTCCACTTCCAAATATTACAAAAAGAGTGTTTCAAACCTGCTGTATGAAGGGAAGTGTTCAACTCTATGAGTTGAATGCAAACATCACAGAGAAGTTTCTGAGAATGCTTCTGTCTTGATTTTATATGAAGATATTCCCGTTTCCAACGAAACCTTCAAAGCTATCCAAATATCCACTTGCAGATTCTACAAAAAGAGTGTTTCCAAAATGTTGTATCAAAAGAAAGGTTCAACTCTGTTAGTTGAGGACACACATCGCAAATAAGTTGCTGAGAATGCTTCTGTCTAGTTTTTATTTGAAGATATTTCCTTTCTCACCATAGGCCTGAAAGCGTTTGAAATGTCCGTTTGCAGATACTACAGAAAGAGTGTTTCAAACATGCTCTATGAAAGGGAATGTTCAGTTCTGTGACGTGAATGCAAACATCACAAAGAAGTTCCTGAGAATGCTTCTCTCTAGATTTTATATGTAATCCCGTTTCCAACGAAATCCTCAAAGCTATCCAAATATCCACTTTCAGATTCCACAAAAAGAGTGTTTCAAAACTGCTCTGTAAAAAGAAAGGTTCATCTCTGTTAGTTGAATACACACATCACAAACAAGTTTCTGAGAATGCTTCTGTCTAGTTTTTATGGGAAGATATTTCCTTTTTCATCATAGGCCTCAAAGCGCTGCAAATGTCCACTTCCAGGTAGTGCAGAAAGAGTGTCTCAAACCTGGTATATAACAGGGAACATTCTACTCTGTGACTTGAATGAAAACATCACAAAGCAGTTTCTGAGAATGCTTCCGTCTAGATTTTATATGAAGATATTCCCGTTTCCAACGAAACCTTCAAAGCTATCCGAATATCCACCTGCAGATTCTACAAAAAGAGTGTTTCCAAAATGCCGTATCAAAACAAAGGTTCAACTCTGTTAGTTGAGAACACACATGGCAAATAAGTTTCTGAGAATGCTTCTGTCTAGTTTTTACTTGAAGATATTTCCTTTCTCACCATAGGCCTGAAAGCGCTTGAAACGTCAGCTTGCAGATACTACAGAAAGAGTGTTTCAAACCTGCTCTATGAAAGGGAATGTTCAGTCCTGTGACTTGAAGGCAAACATCACAAAGAAGTTCCTGAGAATGCTTCTCTCTAGGTTTTATATGTAATCCCGTTTCCAACGAAATCCTCAAAGCTATCCAAATATCCACTTTCAGATTCCACAAAAAGAGAGTTTCAAAACTGCTCTGTAAAAAGAAAGGTTCATCTCTGTTAGTTGAATACACACATCACAAACAAGTTTCTGAGAATGCTTCTGTCTAGTTTTTATGGGAAGATATTTCCTTTTTCAACATAGGCCTCAAAGCGCTCCAAATGTCCACTTCCAGGTAGTGCAGAAAGAGTGTTTCAAACCTGCTCTATAAAAGGGAATATTCAACTCTGTGACTTGAATGCAAACATCACAAAGCACTTTCTGAGAATGCTTCCGTCTAGATTTTATATGAAGATATTCCCGTTTCCAAGGAAATCTTCCTAGCTATCTAAATATCAACTTGCAGATTCTACTAAAGGAATGTTTCCAAAATGCTGTATCCACACAAAGGTTCAACTCTGTTAATTGAGGACATACAGCACAAAGAAGTTTCTGAGAATGCTTCTGTCTAGATTTTATATGAAGATATCCCGTGTCCAACGAAATCCTCAAAGGTATCAAAATATCCACTTGCAGATTCTACAAAAAGAGTGCTTCAAAACTGCTCTGTCAAAAGGAAGGTTCAACTCTGTTACTTGAGTACACACATCACAAGGAAGTTTCTGAGAATGCTTCTGTCTGGTTTTTAGGAGAAGATATATCCTTTTTCAACATAGGCCTCAAAGCGCTGCAAATGTCCACTTCCAAATATTAGAAAAAGAGTGTTTCAAACCTGCTGTATGAAGGGAAGTGTTCAACTCTATGAGTTGAATGCAAACATCACAGAGAAGTTTCTGAGAATGCTTCTGTCTTGATTTCATATGAAGATATTCCCGTTTCCAACGAAACCTTCAAAGCTATCCAAATATCCACTTGCAGATTCTACAAAAAGAGTGTTTCCAAAATGTTGTATCAAAAGAAAGGTTCAACTCTGTTAGTTGAGGACACACATCGCAAATAAGTTTCTGAGAATGCTTCTGTCTAGTTTTTATTTGAAGATATTTCCTTTCTCACCATAGGCCTGAAAGCGTTTGAAATGTCCGTTTGCAGATACTACAGAAAGAGTGTTTCAAACATGCTCTATGAAAGGGAATGTTCAGTTCTGTGACTTGAATGCAAACATCACAAAGAAGTTCCTGAGAATGCTTCTCTCTAGATTTTATATGTAATCCCGTTTCCAACGAAATCCTCAAAGCTATCCAAATATCCACTTTCAGATTCCACAAAAAGGGTGTTTCAAAACTGCTCTGTAGAAAGAAAGGTTCATCTCTGTTAGTTGAATACACACATCACAAACAAGTTTCTGAGAATGCTTCTGTCTAGTTTTTATGGGAAGATATTTCCTTTTTCAACATAGGGCTCAAAGCGCTCCAAACGTCCACTTCCAGGTAGTGCAGAAAGAGTGTCTCAAACCTGGTATATAACAGCGAACATTCTACTCTGTGACTTGAATGAAAACATCACAAAGCAGTTTCTGAGAATGCTTCCGTCTAGACTTTATATGAAGATATTCCCGTTTCCAACGAAACCTTCAAAGCTATCCGTACATCCACCTGCAGATTCTACAAAAAGAGTGTTTCCAAAATGCCGTATCAAAACAAAGGTTCAACTCTGTTAGTTGAGAACACACATGGCAAATAAGTTTCTGAGAATGCTTCTGTCTAGTTTTTGCTTGAAGATATTTCCTTTCTCACCATAGGCCTGAAAGCGCTTGAAACGTCAGCTTGCAGATACTACAGAAAGAGTGTTTCAAACCTGCTCTATGAAAGGGAATGTTCAGTCCTGTGACTTGAAGGCAAACATCACAAAGGAGTTCCTGAGAATGCTTCTCTCTAGGTTTTATATGTAATCCCGTTTCCAACGAAATCCTCAAAGCTATCCAAATATCCACTTTCAGATTCCACAAAAAGAGTGTTTCAAAACTGCTCTGTAAAAAGAAAGGTTCATCTCTGTTAGTTGAATACACACATCACAAACTAGTTTCTGAGAATGCTTCTGTCTAGTTTTTATGGGAAGATATTTCCTTTTTCAACATAGGCCTCAAAGCGCTCCAAATGTCCACTTCCAGGTAGTGCAGAAAGAGTGTTTCAAACCTGCTCTATAAAAGGGAATATTCAACTCTGTGACTTGAATGCAAACATCACAAAGCACTTTCTGAGAATGCTTCCGTCTAGATTTTATATGAAGATATTCCCGTTTCCAAGGAAATCTTCCTAGCTATCTAAATATCAACTTGCAGATTCTACTAAAGGAATGTTTCCAAAATGCTGTATCCACACAAAGGTTCAACTCTGTTAATTGAGGACATACAGCACAAAGAAGTTTCTGAGAATGCTTCTGTCTAGATTTTATATGAAGATATCCCGTGTCCAACGAAATCCTCAAAGGTATCAAAATATCCACTTGCAGATTCTACAAAAAGAGTGCTTCAAAACTGCTCTGTCAAAAGGAAGGTTCAACTCTGTTACTTGAGTACACACATCACAAGGAAGTTTCTGAGAATGCTTCTGTCTGGTTTTTAGGAGAAGATATTTCCTTTTTCAACATAGGCCTCAAAGCGCTGCAAATGTCCACTTCCAAATATTACAAAAAGAGTGTTTCAAACCTGCTGTATGAAGGGAAGTGTTCAACTCTATGAGTTGAATGCAAACATCACAGAGAAGTTTCTGAGAATGCTTCTGTCTTGATTTCATATGAAGATATTCCCGTTTCCAACGAAACCTTCAAAGCTATCCAAATATCCACTTGCAGATTCTACAAAAAGAGTGTTTCCAAAATGTTGTATCAAAAGAAAGGTTCAACTCTGTTAGTTGAGGACACACATCGCAAATAAGTTTCTGAGAATGCTTCTGTCTAGTTTTTATTTGAAGATATTTCCTTTCTCACCACAGGCCTGAAAGCGCTTAAAACGTCCGCTTGCAGATACTACAGAAAGAGTGTTTCAAACCTGCTCTATGAAAGGGAATGTTCAGTTCTGTGACTTGAATGCAAACATCACAAAGAAGTTCCTGAGAATGCTTCTCCCTAGATTTTATATGTAATCACGTTTCCAACGAAATCCGCAAAGCTATCCAAATATCCACTTTCAGATTCCACAAAAAGAGTGTTTCAAAACTGCTCTGTAAAAAGAAAGGTTCATCTCTGTTAGTTGAATACACACATCACAAACAAGTTTCTGAGAATGCTTCTGTCTAGTTTTTATGGGAAGATATTACCTTTTTCATCATAGGCCTCAAAGCGCTGCAAATGTCCACTTCCAAATATTACAAAAAGAGTGTTTCAAACCTGCTGTATGAAGGGAAGTGTTCAACTCTATGAGTTGAATGCAAACATCACAGAGAAGTTTCTGAGAATGCTTCTGTCTTGATTTTATATGAAGATATTCCCGTTTCCAACGAAACCTTCAAAGCTATTCAAATATCAACTTGCTGATTCTACAAAAAGAGTGTTTCCAAAATGTTGTATCAAAAGAAAGGTTCAACTCTGTTAGTTGAGGACACACATCGCAAATAAGTTTCTGAGAATGCTTCTGTCTAGTTTTTATTTGAAGATATTTCCTTTCTCACCATAGGCCTGAAAGCGTTTGAAATGTCCGTTTGCAGATACTACAGAAAGAGTGTTTCAAACATGCTCTATGAAAGGGAATGTTCAGTTCTGTGACGTGAATGCAAACATCACAAAGAAGTTCCTGAGAATGCTTCTCTCTAGGTTTTATATGTAATCCCGTTTCCAACGAAATCCTCAAAGCTATCCAAATATCCACTTTCAGATTCCACAAAAAGAGTGTTTCAAAACTGCTCTATAAAAAGAAAGGTTCATCTCTGTTAGTTGAATACACACATCACAAACAAGTTTCTGAGAATGCTTCTGTCTAGTTTTTATGGGAAGATATTTCCTTTTTCAACATAGGCCTCAAAGCGCTCCAAATGTCCACTTCCAGGTAGTGCAGAAAGAGTGTCTCAAAGCTGGTATATAACGGAACATTCTACTCTGTGACTTGAATGAAAACATCACAAAGCAGTTTCTGAGAATGCTTCTGTCTTGATTTTATATGAAGATATTCCCGTTTCCAACGAAACCTTCAAAGCTATTCAAATATCCACTTGCAGATTCTACAAAAAGAGTGTTTCCAAAATGTTGTATCAAAAGAAAGGTTCAACTCTGTTAGTTGAAGACACACCTCGCAAATAAGTTTCTGAGAATGCTTCTGTCTAGTTTTTATTTGAAGATATTTCCTTTCTCACCATAGGCCTGAAAGCGTTTGAAATGTCCGTTTGCAGATACTACAGAAAGAGTGTTTCAAACATGCTCTATGAAAGGGAATGTTCAGTTCTGTGACGGTGAATGCAAACATCACAAAGAAGTTCCTGAGAATGCTTCTCTCTAGGTTTTATATGTAATCCCGTTTCCAACGAAATCCTCAAAGCTATCCAAATATCCACTTTCAGATTCCACAAAAAGAGTGTTTCAAAACTGCTCTGTAAAAAGAAAGGTTCATCTCTGTTAGTTGAATACACACATCACAAACAAGTTTCTGAGAATGCTTCTGTCTAGTTTTTATGGGAAGATATTTCCTTTTTCATCATAGGCCTCAAAGCGCTGCAAATGTCCACTTCCAGGTAGTGCAGAAAGAGTGTCTGAAACCTGGTATATAACAGGGAAGATTCTACTCTGTGACTTGAATGAAAACATCACAAAGCAGTTTCTGAGAATGCTTCCCTCTAGATTTTATATGAAGATATTCCCGTTTCCAAGGAAATCTTCCTAGCTATCTAAATATCAACTTGCAGATTCTACTAAAGGAATGTTTCCAAAATGCTGTATCCACACAAAGGTTCAACTCTGTTAATTGAGGACATACAGCACAAAGAAGTTTCTGAGAATGCTTCTGTCTAGATTTTATATGAAGATATCCCGTGTCCAACGAAATCCTCAAAGGTATCAAAATATCCACTTGCAGATTCTACAAAAAGAGTGCTTCAAAACTGCTCTGTCAAAAGGAAGGTTCAACTCTGTTACTTGAGTACACACATCACAAGGAAGTTTCTGAGAATGCTTCTGTCTGGTTTTTAGGAGAAGATATTTCCTTTTTCAACATAGGCCTCAAAGCGCTGCAAATGTCCACTTCCAAATATTAGAAAAAGAGTGTTTCAAACCTGCTGTATGAAGGGAAGTGTTCAACTCTATGAGTTGAATGCACACATCACAGAGAAGTTTCTGAGAATGCTTCTGTCTTGATTTCATATGAAGATATTCCCGTTTCCAACGAAACCTTCAAAGCTATCCAAATATCCACTTGCAGATTCTACAAAAAGAGTGTTTCCAAAATGTTGTATCAAAAGAAAGGTTCAACTCTGTTAGTTGAGGACACACATCGCAAATAAGTTTCTGAGAATGCTTCTGTCTAGTTTTTATTTGAAGATATTTCCTTTCTCACCAGAGGCCTGAAAGCGCTTAAAACGTCCGCTTGCAGATACTACAGAAAGAGTGTTTCAAACCTGCTCTATGAAAGGGAATGTTCAGTTCTGTGACTTGAATGCAAACATCACAAAGAAGTTCCTGAGAGTGCTTCTCCCTAGATTTTATATGTAATCCCGTTTCCAACGAAATCCGCAAAGCTATCCAAATATCCACTTTCAGATTCCACAAAAAGAGTGTTTCAAAACTGCTCTGTAAAAAGAAAGGTTCATCTCTGTTAGTTGAATACACACATCACAAACAAGTTTCTGAGAATGCTTCTGTCTAGTTTTTATGGGAAGATATTACCTTTTTCATCATAGGCCTCAAAGCGCTGCAAATGTCCACTTCCAAATATTACAAAAAGAGTGTTTCAAACCTGCTGTATGAAGGGAAGTGTTCAACTCTATGAGTTGAATGCAAACATCACAGAGAAGTTTCTGAGAATGCTTCTGTCTTGATTTTATATGAAGATATTCCCGTTTCCAACGAAACCTTAAAAGCTATCCAAATATCCACCTGCAGATCCTACAAAAAGAGTGTTTCCAAAATGCTGTATCAAAACAAAGGTTCAACTCTGTTAGTTGAGGACACACATCGCAAATAAGTTTCTGAGAATGCTTCTGTCTAGTTTTTATTTGAAGATATTTCCTTTCTCACCACAGGCCTGAAAGCGCTTAAAACGTCCGCTTGCAGATACTACAGAAAGAGTGTTTCAAACATGCTCTATGAAAGGGAATGTTCAGTTCTGTGACTTGAATGCAAACATCACAAAGAAGTTCCTGAGAATGCTTCTCCCTAGATTTTATATGTAATCCCGTTTCCAACGAAATCCGCAAAGCTATCCAAATATCCACTTTCAGATTCCACAAAAAGAGTGTTTCAAAACTGCTCTGTAAAAAGAAAGGTTCATCTCTGTTAGTTGAATACACACGTCACAAACAAGTTTCTGAGAACGCTTCTGTCTAGTTTTTATGGGAAGATATTACCTTTTTCATCATAGGCCTCAAAGCGCTGCAAATGTCCACTTCCAAATATTACAAAAAGAGTGTTTCAAACCTGCTGTATGAGGGGAAGTGTTCAACTCTATGAGTTGAATGCAAACATCACAGAGAAGTTTCTGAGAATGCTTCTGTCTTGATTTTATATGAAGATATTCCCGTTTCCAACGAAACCTTCAAAGCTATTCAAATATCCACTTGCAGAATCTACAAAAAGAGTGTTTCCAAAATGTTGTATCAAAAGAAAGGTTCAACTCTGTTAGTTGAGGACACACATCGCAAATAAGTTTCTGAGAATGCTTCTGTCTAGTTTTTACTTGAAGATATTTCCTTTCTCACCATAGGCCTGAAAGCGCTTGAAACATCAGCTTGCAGATACTACAGAAAGAGTGTTTCAAACCTGCTCTATGAAAGGGAATGTTCAGTCCTGTGACTTGAAGGCCAACATCACAAAGAAGTTCCTGAGAATGTTTCTCTCTAGGTTTTATATGTAATCCCGTTTCCAACGAAATCGTCAAAGCTATCCAAATATCCACTTTCAGATTCCACAAAAAGAGTGTTTCAAAACTGCTCTGTAAAAAGAAAGGTTCATCTCTGTTAGTTGAATACACACATCACAAACAAGTTTCTGAGAATACTTCTGTCTAGTTTTTATGGGAAGATATTTCCTTTTTCAACATAGGCCTCAAAGCGCTCCAAACGTCCACTTCCAGGTAGTGCAGAAAGAGTGTCTCAAACCTGGTATATAACAGGGAACATTCTACTCTGTGACTTGAATGAAAACATCACAAAGCAGTTTCTGAGAATGCTTCCGTCTAGATTTTATATGAAGATATTCCCGTTTCCAACGAAACCTTCAAAGCTATCCGAATATCCACCTGCAGATTCTACAAAAAGAGTGTTTCCAAAATGCCGTATCAAAACAAAGGTTCAACTCTGTTAGTTGAGAACACACATGGCAAATAAGTTTCTGAGAATGCTTCTGTCTAGTTTTTACTTGAAGATATTTCCTTTCTCACCATAGGCCTGAAAGCGCTTGAAACGTCAGCTTGCAGATACTACAGAAAGAGTGTTTCAAACCTGCTCTATGAAAGGGAATGTTCAGTTCTGTGACTTGAATGCAAACATCACAAAGAAGTTCCTGAGAATGCTTCTCTCTAGATTTTATATGTAATCCCGTTTCCAACGAAATCCTCAAAGCTATCCAAATATCCACTTTCAGATTCCACAAAAAGAGTGTTTCAAAACTGCTCTGTAAAAAGAAAGGTTCATCTCTGTTAGTTGAATACACACATCACAAACAAGTTTCTGAGAATGATTCTGTCTAGTTTTTATGGGAAGATATTTCCTTTTTCAACATAGGCCTCAAAGCGCTCCAAATGTCCACTTCCAGGTAGTGCAGAAAGAGTGTTTCAAACCTGCTCTATAAAAGGGAATATTCAACTCTGTGACTTGAATGCAAACATCACAAAGCACTTTCTGAGAATGCTTCCGTCTAGATTTTATATGAAGATATTCCCGTTTCCAAGGAAATCTTCCTAGCTATCTAAATATCAACTTGCAGATTCTACTAAAGGAATGTTTCCAAAATGCTGTATCCACACAAAGGTTCAACTCTGTTAATTGAGGACATACAGCACAAAGAAGTTTCTGAGAATGCTTCTGTCTAGATTTTATATGAAGATATCCCGTGTCCAACGAAATCCTCAAAGGTATCAAAATATCCACTTGCAGATTCTACAAAAAGACTGCTTCAAAACTGCTCTGTCAAAAGGAAGGTTCAACTCTGTTACTTGAGTACACACATCACAAGGAAGTTTCTGAGAATGCTTCTGTCTGGTTTTTAGGAGAAGATATTTCCTTTTTCAACATAGGCCTCAAAGCGCTGCAAATGTCCACTTCCAAATATTAGAAAAAGAGTGTTTCAAACCTGCTGTATGAAGGGAAGTGTTCAACTCTATGAGTTGAATGCAAACATCACAGAGAAGTTTCTGAGAATGCTTCCATCTAGATTTTATATGAAGATATTCCCGTTTCCAAGGAAATCTTCCTAGCTATCTAAATATCAACTTGCAGATTCTTCTAAAGGAATGTTTCCAAAATGCTGTATCCACACAAAGGTTCAACTCTGTTAATTGAGGACATACAGCACAAAGAAGTTTCTGAGAATGCTTCTGTCTAGATTTTATATGAAGATATCCCGTGTCCAACGAAATCCTCAAAGGTATCAAAATATCCACTTGCAGATTCTACAAAAAGAGTGCTTCAAAACTGCTCTGTCAAAAGGAAGGTTCAACTCTGTTACTTGAGTACACACATCACAAGGAAGTTTCTGAGAATGCTTCTGTCTGGTTTTTAGGAGAAGATATTTCCTTTTTCAACATAGGCCTCAAAGCGCTGCAAATGTCCACTTCCAAATATTACAAAAAGAGTGTTTCAAACCTGCTGTATGAAGGGAAGTGTTCAACTCTATGAGTTGAATGCAAACATCACAGAGAAGTTTCTGAGAATGCTTCTGTCTTGATTTCATATGAAGATATTCCCGTTTCCAACGAAACCTTCAAAGCTATCCAAATATTCACTTGCAGATTCTACAAAAAGAGTGTTTCCAAAATGTTGTATCAAAAGAAAGGTTCAACTCTGTTAGTTGAGGACACACATCGCAAATAAGTTTCTGAGAATGCTTCTGTCTAGTTTTTATTTGAAGATATTTCCTTTCTCACCACAGGCCTGAAAGCGCTTAAAACGTCCGCTTGCAGATACTACAGAAAGAGTGTTTCAAACCTGCTCTATGAAAGGGAATGTTCAGTTCTGTGACTTGAATGCAAACATCACAAAGAAGTTCCTGAGAATGCTTCTCCCTAGATTTTATATGTAATCGCGTTTCCAACGAAATCCGCAAAGCTATCCAAATATCCACTTTCAGATTCCACAAAAAGAGTGTTTCAAAACTGCTCTGTAAAAAGAAAGGTTCATCTCTGTTAGTTGAATACACACATCACAAACAAGTTTCTGAGAAGGCTTCTGTCTAGTTTTTATGGGAAGATATTACCTTTTTCATCATAGGCCTCAAAGCGCTGCAAATGTCCACTTCCAAATATTACAAAAAGAGTGTTTCAAACCTGCTGTATGAAGGGAAGTGTTCAACTCTATGAGTTGAATGCAAACATCACAGAGAAGTTTCTGAGAATGCTTCTGTCTTGATTTTATATGAAGATATTCCCGTTTCCAACGAAACCTTCAAAGCTATCCAAATATCCACTTGCAGATTCTACAAAAAGAGTGTTTCCAAAATGTTGTATCAAAAGAAAGGTTTAACTCTGTTAGTTGAGGACACACATCGCAAATAAGTTGCTGAGAATGCTTCTGTCTAGTTTTTATTTGAAGATATTTCCTTTCTCACCATAGGCCTGAAAGCGTTTGAAATGTCCGTTTGCAGATACTACAGAAAGAGTGTTTCAAACATGCTCTATGAAAGGGAATGTTCAGTTCTGTGACGTGAATGCAAACATCACAAAGAAGTTCCTGAGAATGCTTCTCTCTAGATTTTATATGTAATCCCGTTTCCAACGAAATCCTCAAAGCTATCCAAATATCCACTTTCAGATTCCACAAAAAGAGTGTTTCAAAACTGCTCTGTAAAAAGAAAGGTTCATCTCTGTTAGTTGAATACACACATCACAAACAAGTTTCTGAGAATGCTTCTGTCTAGTTTTTATGGGAAGATATTTCCTTTTTCATCATAGGCCTCAAAGCGCTCCAAATGTCCACTTCCAGGTAGTGCAGAAAGAGTGTCTCAAACCTGGTATATAACAGGGAACATTCTACTCTGTGACTTGAATGAAAACATCACAAAGCAGTTTCTGAGAATGCTTCCGTCTAGATTTTATATGAAGATATTCCCGTTTCCAACGAAACCTTCAAAGCTATCCGAATATCCACCTGCAGATTCTACAAAAAGAGTGTTTCCAAAATGCCGTATCAAAACAAAGGTTCAACTCTGTTAGTTGAGAACACACATGGCAAATAAGTTTCTGACAATGCTTCTGTCTAGTTTTTACTTGAAGATATTTCCTTTCTCACCATAGGCCTGAAAGCGCTTGAAACGTCAGCTTGCAGATACTACAGAAAGAGTGTTTCAAACCTGCTCTATGAAAGGGAATGTTCAGTTCTGTGACTTGAATGCAAACATCACAAAGAAGTTCCTGAGAATGCTTCTGTCTAGATTTTATATGAAGATATCCCGTGTCCAACGAAATCCTCAAAGGTATCAAAATATCCACTTGAAGATTCTACAAAAAGAGTGCTTCAAAACTGCTCTGTCAAAAGGAAGGTTCAACTCTGTTACTTGAGTACACACATCACAAGGAAGTTTCTGAGAATGCTTCTGTCTGGTTTTTAGGAGAAGATATTTCCTTTTTCAACATAGGCCTCAAAGCGCTGCAAATGTCCACTTCCAAATATTAGAAAAAGAGTGTTTCAAACCTGCTGTATGAAGGGAAGTGTTCAACTCTATGAGTTGAATGCAAACATCACAGAGAAGTTTCTGAGAATGCTTCTGTCTTGATTTCATATGAAGATATTCCCGTTTCCAACGAAACCTTCAAAGCTATCCAAATATCCACTTGCAGATTCTACAAAAAGAGTGTTTCCAAAATGTTGTATCAAAAGAAAGGTTCAACTCTGTTAGTTGAGGACACACATCGCAAATAAGTTTCTGAGAATGCTTCTGTCTAGTTTTTATTTGAAGATATTTCCTTTCTCACCACAGGCCTGAAAGCGCTTAAAACGTCCGCTTGCAGATACTACAGAAAGAGTGTTTCAAACCTGCTCTATGAAAGGGAATGTTCAGTTCTGTGACTTGAATGCAAACATCACAAAGAAGTTCCTGAGAATGCTTCTCCCTAGATTTTATATGTAATCCCGTTTCCAACGAAATCCGCAAAGCTATCCAAATATCCACTTTCAGATTCCACAAAAAGAGTGTTTCAAAACTGCTCTGTAAAAAGAAAGGTTCATCTCTGTTAGTTGAATACACACATCACAAACAAGTTTCTGAGAATGCTTCTGTCTAGTTTTTATGGGAAGATATTTCCTTTTTCAACATAGGCCTCAAAGCGCTCCAAACGTCCACTTCCAGGTAGTGCAGAAAGAGTGTCTCAAACCTGGTGTATAACAGGGAACATTCTACTCTGTGACTTGAATGAAAACATCACAAAGCAGTTTCTGAGAATGCTTCCGTCTAGATTTTATATGAAGATATTCCCGTTTCCAACGAAACCTTCAAAGCTATCCGAATATCCACCTGCAGATTCTACAAAAAGAGTGTTTCCAAAATGCCGTATCAAAACAAAGGTTCAACTCTGTTAGTTGAGAACACACATGGCAAATAAGTTTCTGAGAATGCTTCTGTCTAGTTTTTACTTGAAGCATATTTCCTTTCTCACCATAGGCCTGAAAGCGCTTGAAACGTCAGCTTGCAGATACTACAGAAAGAGTGTTTCAAACCTGCTCTATGAAAGGGAATGTTCAGTCCTGTGACTTGAAGGCAAACATCACAAAGTAAGTTCCTGAGAATGCTTCTCTCTAGGTTTTATATGTAATCCCGTTTCCAACGAAATCCTCAAAGCTATCCAAATATCCACTTTCAGATTCCACAAAAAGAGTGTTTCAAAACTGCTCTGTAAAAAGAAAGGTTCATCTCTGTTAGTTGAATACACACATCACAAACAAGTTTCTGAGAATGCTTCTGTCTGGTTTTTAGGAGAAGATATTTCCTTTTTCAACATAGGCCTCAAAGCGCTGCAAATGTCCACTTCCAAATATTACAAAAAGAGTGTTTCAAACCTGCTGTATGAAGGGAAATGTTCAACTCTATGAGTTGAATGCAAACATCACAGAGAAGTTTCTGAGAATGCTTCTGTCTTGATTTCATATGAAGATATTCCCGTTTCCAACGAAACCTTCAAAGCTATCCAAATATCCACTTGCAGATTCTACAAAAAGAGTGTTTCCAAAATGTTGTATCAAAAGAAAGGTTCAACTCTGTTAGTTGAGGACACACATCGCAAATAAGTTTCTGAGAATGCTTCTGTCTAGTTTTTATTTGAAGATATTTCTTTTCTCACCACAGGCCTGAAAGCGCTTAAAACGTCCGCTTGCAGATACTACAGAAAGAGTGTTTCAAACCTGCTCTATGAAAGGGAATGTTCAGTTCTGTGACTTGAATGCAAACATCACAAAGAAGTTCCTGATAATGCTTCTCCCTAGATTTTATATGTAATCCCGTTTCCAACGAAATCCGCAAAGCTATCCAAATATCCACTTTCAGATTCCACAAAAAGAGTGTTTCAAAACTGCTCTGTAAAAAGAAAGGTTCATCTCTGTTAGTTGAATACACACATCACAAACAACTTTCTGAGAATGCTTCTGTCTGGTTTTTAGGAGAAGATATTTCCTTTTTCAACATAGGCCTCAAAGCGCTGCAAATGTCCACTTCCAAATATTACAAAAAGAGTGTTTCAAACCTACTGTATGAAGGGAAGTGTTCAACTCTATGAGTTGAATGCAAACATCACAGAGAAGTTTCTGAGAATGCTTCTGTCTTGATTTTATATGAAGATATTCCCGTTTCCAACGAAACCTTCAAAGCTATCCGAATATCCACCTGCAGATTCTACAAAAAGAGTGTTTCCAAAATGCTGTATCAAAACAAAGGTTCAACTCTGTTAGTTGAGAACACACATGGCAAATATGTTTCTGAGAATGCTTCTGTCTAGTTTTTATTTGAAGATATTTCCTTTCTCACCATAGGCCTGAAAGCGCTTGAAACGTCAGCTTGCAGATACTACAGAAAGAGTGTTTCAAACCTGCTCTATGAAAGGGAATGTTCAGTTCTGTGACTTGAATGCAAACATCACAAAGAAGTTCCTGAGAATGCTTCTCTCTAGGTTTTATATGTAATCCCGTTTCCAACGAAATCCTCAAAGCTATCCAAATATCCACTTTCAGATTCCACAAAAAGAGTGTTTCAAAACTGCTCTGTAAAAAGAAAGGTTCATCTCTGTTAGTTGAATACACACATCACAAACAAGTTTCTGAGAATGCTTCTGTCTAGTTTTTATGGGAAGATATTTCCTTTTTCAACATAGGCCTCAAAGCGCTCCAAATGTCCACTTCCAGGTAGTGCAGAAAGAGTGTTTCAAACCTGCTCTATAAAAGGGAACATTCTACTCTGTGACTTGAATGAAGACATCACAAAGCACTTTCTGAGAATGCTTCCGTCTAGATTTTATATGAAGATATTCCCGTTTCCAAGGAAATCTTCCTAGCTATCTAAATATCAACTTGCAGATTCTACTAAAGGAATGTTTCCAAAATGCTGTATCCACACAAAGGTTCAACTCTGTTAATTGAGGACATACAGCACAAAGAAGTTTCTGAGAATGCTTCTGTCTAGATTTTATATGAAGATATCCCGTGTCCAACGAAATCCTCAAAGGTATCAAAATATCCACTTGCAGATTCTACAAAAAGAGTGCTTCAAAACTGCTCTGTCAAAAGGAAGGTTCAACTCTGTTACTTGAGTACACACATCACAAGGAAGTTTCTGAGAATGCTTCTGTCTGGTTTTTAGGAGAAGATATTTCCTTTTTCAACATAGGCCTCAAAGCGCTGCAAATGTCCACTTCCAAATATTAGAAAAAGAGTGTTTCAAACCTGCTGTATGAAGGGAAGTGTTCAACTCTATGAGTTGAATGCAAACATCACAGAGAAGTTTCTGAGAATGCTTCTGTCTTGATTTCATATGAAGATATTCCCGTTTCCAACGAAACCTTCAAAGCTATCCAAATATCCACTTGCAGATTCTACAAACAGAGTGTTTCCAAAATGTTGTATCAAAAGAAAGGTTCAACTCTGTTAGTTGAGGACACACATCGCAAATAAGTTTCTGAGAATACTTCTGTCTAGTTTTTATTTGAAGATATTTCCTTTCTCACCACAGGCCTGAAAGCGCTTAAAACGTCCGCTTGCAGATACTACAGAAAGAGTGTTTCAAACCTGCTCTATGAAAGGGAATGTTCAGTTCTGTGACTTGAATGCAAACATCACAAAGAAGTTCCTGAGAATGCTTCTGTCTAGATTTTATATGAAGATATCCCGTTTCCAAAGAAATCCTCAAAGGTATCCAAATATCTACTTCCAGATTCTACAAAAAGACTGTTTCAAAACGGCTCTGTCAAAAGTAAGGTTCAACTCTGTTACTTGAGTACACACATCACAAGGAAGTTTCTGAGAATGCTTCTGTCTGGTTTTTAGGAGAAGATATTTCCTTTTTCAACATAGGCCTCAAAGCGCTGCAAATGTCCACTTCCAAATATTACAAAAAGAGTGTTTCAAACCTGCTCTATGAAGGGAAGTGTTCAACTCTATGAGTTGAATGCAAACATCACAGAGAAGTTTCTGAGAATGCTTCTGTCTTGATTTTATATGAAGATATTCCCGTTTCCAACGAAACCTTCAAAGCTATCCAAATATCCACTTGCAGATTCTACAACAAGAGTGTTTCCAAAATGTTGTATCAAAACAAAGCTTCAACTCTGTTAGTTGAGGACACACATCGCAAATAAGTTTCTGAGAATGCTTCTGTCTAGTTTTTATTTGAAGATATTTCCTTTCTTACCATAGGCCTGAAAGCGCTTGAAATGTCCGTTTGCAGATACTACAGAAAGAGTGTTTCAAACATGCTCTATGAAAGGGAATGTTCAGTTCTGTGACTTGAATGCAAACATCACAAAGAAGTTCCTGAGAATGCTTCTCCCTAGATTTTATATGTAATCCAGTTTCCAACGAAATCCGCAAAGCTATCCAAATATCCACTTTCAGATTCCACAAAAAGAGTGTTTCAAAACTGCTCTGTAAAAAGAAAGGTTCATCTCTGTTAGTTGAATACACACATCACAAACAAGTTTCTGAGAATGCTTCTGTCTAGTTTTTATGGGAAGATATTTCCTTTTTCATCATAGGCCTCAAAGCGCTGCAAATGTCCACTTCCAAATATTACAAAAAGAGTGTTTCAAACCTGCTGTATGAAGGGAAGTGTTCAACTCTATGAGTTGAATGCAAACATCACAGAGAAGTTTCTGAGAATGCTTCTGTCTTGATTTTATATGAAGATATTCCCGTTTCCAACGAAACCTTCAAAGCTATCCAAATATCCACTTGCAGATTCTACAAAAAGAGTGGTTCCAAAATGTTGTATCAAAAGAAAGGTTCAACTCTGTTAGTTGAGGACACACATCACAAATAAGTTTCTGAGAATGCTTCTGTCTAGTTTTTATTTGAAGATATTTCCTTTCTCACCATAGGCCTGAAAGCGTTTGAAATGTCCGTTTGCAGATACTACAGAAAGAGTGTTTCAAACATGCTCTATGAAAGGGAATGTTCAGTTCTGTGACGTGAATGCAAACATCACAAAGAAGTTCCTGAGAATGCTTCTCTCTAGATTTTATATGTAATCCCGTTTCCAACGAAATCCTCAAAGCTATCCAAATATCCACTTTCAGATTCCACAAAAAGAGTGTTTCAAAACTGCTCTGTAAAAAGAAAGGTTCATCTCTGTTAGTTGAATACACAC
Organism: Homo sapiens; assembly: GCF_000001405.40. Taxonomy (NCBI): domain Eukaryota; kingdom Metazoa; phylum Chordata; class Mammalia; order Primates; family Hominidae; genus Homo; species Homo sapiens. The sequence continues at coordinate 43,938,336 of NC_000009.12, read as the reverse complement.
ATCACAAACAAGTTTCTGAGAATGCTTCTGTCTAGTTTTTATGGGAAGATATTTCCTTTTTCATCATAGGCCTCAAAGCGCTCCAAATGTCCACTTCCAGATAGTGCAGAAAGAGTGTCTCAAACCTGGTATATAAAAGGGAACATTCTACTCTGTGACTTGAATGAAAACATCACAAAGCAGTTTCTGAGAATGCTTCCGTCTAGATTTTATATGAAGATATTCCCGTTTCCAACGAAACCTTCAAAGCTATCCGAATATCCACCTGCAGATTCTACAAAAAGAGTGTTTCCAAAATGCCGTATCAAAACAAAGGTTCAACTCTGTTAGTTGAGAACACACATGGCAAATAAGTTTCTGAGAATGCTTCCTGTCTAGTTTTTACTTGAAGATATTTCCTTTCTCACCATAGGCCTGAAAGCGCTTGAAACGTCAGCTTGCAGATACTACAGAAAGAGTGTTTCAAACCTGCTCTATGAAAGGGAATGTTCAGTCCTGTGACTTGAAGGCAAACATCACAAAGAAGTTCCTGAGAATGCTTCTCTCTAGATTTTATATGTAATCCCGTTTCCAACGAAATCCTCAAAACTATCCAAATATCCACTTTCAGATTCCACAAAAAGAGTGTTTCAAAACTGCTCTGTAAAAAGAAAGGTTCATCTCTGTTAGTTGAATACACACATCAAAAACAAGTTTCTGAGAATGCTTCTGTCTAGTTTTTATGGGAAGATATTTCCTTTTTCAACATAGGCCTCAAAGCGCTCCAAATGTCCACTTCCAGGTAGTGCAGAAAGAGTGTTTCAAACCTGCTCTATAAAAGGGAATATTCAACTCTGTGACCTGAATGCAAACATCACAAAGCACTTTCTGAGAATGCTTCCGTCTAGATTTTATATGAAGATATTCCCGTTTCCAAGGAAATCTTCCTAGCTATCTAAATATCAACTTGCAGATTCTACTAAAGGAATGTTTCCAAAATGCTGTATCCACACAAAGGTTCAACTCTGTTAATTGAGGACATACAGCACAAAGAAGTTTCTGAGAATGCTTCTGTCTAGTTTTTACTTGAAGATATTTCCTTTCTCACCATAGGCCTGAAAGCGCTTGAAACGTCAGCTTGCAGATACTACAGAAAGAGTGTTTCAAACCTGCTCTATGAAAGGGAATGTTCAGTCCTGTGACTTGAAGGCAAACATCACAAAGAATTTCCTGAGAATGCTCTTCTCTCTAGAATTTTATATGTAATCCCGTTTCCAACGAAATCCTCAAAGCTATCCAAATATCCACTTTCAGATTCCACAAAAAGAGTGTTTCAAAACTGCTCTGTAAAAAGAAAGGTTCATCTCTGTTAGTTGAATACACACATCACAAACAAGTTTCTGAGAATGCTTCTGTCTAGTTTTTATGGGAAGATATTTCCTTTTTCATCATAGGCCTCAAAGCGCTCCAAATGTCCACTTCCAGGTAGTGCAGAAAGAGTGTTTCAAACCTGCTCTATAAAACGGAATATTCAACTCTGTGACTTGAATGCAAACATCACAAAGCAGTTTCTGAGAATGCTTCCGTCTAGATTTTATGTGAAGATATTCCCGTTTCCAAGGAAATCTTCCTAGCTATCTAAATATCAACTTGCAGATTCTACTAAAGGAATGTTTCCAAAATGCTGTATCCACACAAAGGTTCAACTCTGTTAATTGAGGACATACAGCACAAAGAAGTTTCTGAGAATGCTTCTGTCTAGATTTTATATGAAGATATCCCGTGTCCAACGAAATCCTCGAAGGTATCAAAATATCCACTTGCAGATTCTACAAAAAGAGTGCTTCAAAACTGCTCTGTCAAAAGGAAGGTTCAACTCTGTTACTTGAGTACACACATCACAAGGAAGTTTCTGAGAATGCTTCTGTCTGGTTTTTAGGAGAAGATATTTCCTTTTTCAACATAGGCCTCAAAGCGCTGCAAATGTCCACTTCCAAATATTAGAAAAAGAGTGTTTCAAACCTGCTGTATGAAGGGAAGTGTTCAACTCTATGAGTTGAATGCAAACATCACAGAGAAGTTTCTGAGAATGCTTCTGTCTTGATTTCATATGAAGATATTCCCGTTTCCAACGAAACCTTCAAAGCTATCCAAATATCCACTTGCAGATTCTACAAAAAGAGTGTTTCCAAAATGTTGTATCAAAAGAAAGGTTCAACTCTGTTAGTTGAGGACACACATCGCAAATAAGTTTCTGAGAATGCTTCTGTCTAGTTTTTATTTGAAGATATTTCCTTTCTCACCACAGGCCTGAAAGCGCTTAAAACGTCCGCTTGCAGATACTACAGAAAGAGTGTTTCAAACCTGCTCTATGAAAGGGAATGTTCAGTTCTGTGACTTGAATGCAAACATCACAAAGAAGTTCCTGAGAATGCTTCTCCCTAGATTTTATATGTAATCCCGTTTCCAACGAAATCCGCAAAGCTATCCAAATATCCACTTTCAGATTCCACAAAAAGAGTGTTTCAAAACTGCTCTGTAAAAAGAAAGGTTCATCTCCGTTAGTTGAATACACACATCACAAACAAGTTTCTGAGAATGCTTCTGTCTAGTTTTTATGGGAAGATATTACCTTTTTCATCATAGGCCTCAAAGCGCTGCAAATGTCCACTTCCAAATATTACAAAAAGAGTGTTTCAAACCTGCTGTATGAAGGGAAGTGTTCAACTCTATGAGTTGAATGCAAACATCACAGAGAAGTTTCTGAGAATGCTTCTGTCTTGATTTTATATGAAGATATTCCCGTTTCCAAAGAAACCTTCAAAGCTATCCAAATATCCACTTGCAGATTCTACAAAAAGAGTGTTTCCAAAATGTTGTATCAAAAGAAAGGTTCAACTCTGTTAGTTGAGGAAACACATCGCAAACAAGTTTCTGAGAATGCTTCTGTCTAGTTTTTATTTGAAGATATTTCCTTTCTCACCATAGGCCTGAAAGCGTTTGAAATGTCCGTTTGCAGATACTACAGAAAGAGTGTTTCAAACATGCTCTATGATAGGGAATGTTCAGTTCTGTGACTTGAATGCAAACATCACAAAGAAGTTCCTGAGAATGCTTCTCTCTAGGTTTTATATGTAATCCCGTTTCCAACGAAATCCTCAAAGCTATCCAAATATCCACTTTCAGATTCCACAAAAAGAGTGTTTCAAAACTGCTCTGTAAAAAGAAAGGTTCATCTCTGTTAGTTGAATACACACATCACAAACAAGTTTCTGAGAATGCTTCTGTCTAGTTTTTATGGGAAGATATTTCCTTTTTCAACATAGGCCTCAAAGCGCTCCAAATGTCCACTTCCATGTAGTGCAGAAAGAGTGTCTCAAACCTGGTATATAACAGGGAACATTCTACTCTGTGACTTGAATGAAAACATCACAAAGCAGTTTCTGAGAATGCTTCCGTCTAGATTTTATATGAAGATATTCCCGTTTCCAACGAAACCTTCAAAGCTATCCGAATATCCACCTGCAGATTCTACAAAAAGAGTGTTTCCAAAATGCCATATCAAAACAAAGGTTCAACTCTGTTAGTTGAGAACACACATCGCAAATAAGTTTCTGAGAATGCTTCTGTCTAGTTTTTACTTGAAGATATTTCCTTTCTCACCATAGGCCTGAAAGCGCTTGAAACGTCAGCTTGCAGATACTACAGAAAGAGTGTTTCAAACCTGCTCTATGAAAGGGAATGTTCAGTTCTGTGACTTGAATGCAAACATCACAAAGAAGTTCCTGAGAATGCTTCTCTCTAGATTTTATATGTAATCCCGTTTCCAACGAAATCCTCAAAGCTATCCAAATATCCACTTTCAGATTCCACAAAAAGAGTGTTTCAAAACTGCTCTGTAAAAAGAAAGGTTCATCTCTGTTAGTTGAATACACACATCACAAACAAGTTTCTGAGAATGCTTCTGTCTAGTTTTTATGGGAAGATATTTCCTTTTTCAACATAGGCCTCAAAGCGCTCCAAACGTCCACTTCCAGGTAGTGCAGAAAGAGTGTCTCAAACCTGGTATATAACAGGGAACATTCTACTCTGTGACTTGAATGAAAACATCACAAAGCAGTTTCTGAGAATGCTTCCGTCTAGATTTTATATGAAGATATTCCCGTTTCCAACGAAACCTTCAAAGCTATCCGAATATCCACCTGCAGATTCTACAAAAAGAGTGTTTCCAAAATGCCATATCAAAACAAAGGTTCAACTCTGTTAGTTGAGAACACACATCGCAAATAAGTTTCTGAGAATGCTTCTGTCTAGTTTTTACTTGAAGATATTTCCTTTCTCACCATAGGCCTGAAAGCGCTTGAAACGTCAGCTTGCAGATACTACAGAAAGAGTGTTTCAAACCTGCTCTATGAAAGGGAATGTTCAGTCCTGTGACTTGAAGGCAAACATCACAAAGAAGTTCCTGAGAATGCTTCTCTCTAGGTTTTATATGTAATCCCGTTTCCAACGAAATCCTCAAAGCTATCCAAATATCCACTTTCAGATTCCACAAAAAGAGTGTTTCAAAACTGCTCTGTAAAAAGAAAGGTTCATCTCTGTTAGTTGAATACACACATCACAAACAAGTTTCTGAGAATGCTTCTGTCTAGTTTTTATGGGAAGATATTTCCTTTTTCAACATAGGCCTCAAAGCGCTCCAAATGTCCACTTCCAGGTAGTGCAGAAAGAGTGTTTCAAACCTGCTCTATAAAAGGGAATATTCAACTCTGTGACTTGAATGCAAACATCACAAAGCACTTTTTGAGAATGCTTCCGTCTAGATTTTATATGAAGATATTCCCGTTTCCAAGGAAATCTTCCTAGCTATCTAAATATCAACTTGCAGATTCTACTAAAGGAATGTTTCCAAAATGCTGTATCCACACAAAGGTTCAACTCTGTTAATTGAGGACATACAGCACAAAGAAGTTTCTGAGAATGATTCTGTCTAGTTTTTACTTGAAGATATTTCCTTTCTCACCATAGGCCTGAAAGCGCTTGAAACGTCAGCTTGCAGATACTACAGAAAGAGTGTTTCAAACATGCTCTATGAAAGGGAATGTTCAGTCCTGTGACTAGAAGGCAAACATCACAAAGAAGTTCCTGAGAATGCTTCTGTCTGGTTTTTAGGAGAAGATATTTCCTTTTTCAACATAGGCCTCAAAGCGCTGCAAATGTCCACTTCCAAATATTACAAAAAGAGTGTTTCAAACCTGCTGTATGAAGGGAAGTGTTCAACTCTATGAGTTGAATGCAAACATCACAGAGAAGTTTCTGAGAATGCTTCTGTCTTGATTTCATATGAAGATATTCCCGTTTCCAACGAAACCTTCAAAGCTATCCAAATATCCACTTGCAGATTCTACAAAAAGAGTGTTTCCAAAATGTTGTATCAAAAGAAAGGTTCAACTCTGTTAGTTGAGGACACACATCGCAAATAAGTTTCTGAGAATGCTTCTGTCTAGTTTTTATTTGAAGATATTTCCTTTCTCACCACAGGCCTGAAAGCGCTTAAAACGTCCGCTTGCAGATACTACAGAAAGAGTGTTTCAAACCTGCTCTATGAAAGGGAATGTTCAGTTCTGTGACTTGAATGCAAACATCACAAAGAAGTTCCTGAGAATGCTTCTCCCTAGATTTTATATGTAATCCCGTTTCCAACGAAATCCGCAAAGCTATCCAAATATCCACTTTCAGATTCCACAAAAAGAGTGTTTCAAAACTGCTCTGTAAAAAGAAAGGTTCATCTCTGTTAGTTGAATACACACATCACAAACAAGTTTCTGAGAATGCTTCTGTCTAGTTTTTATGGGAAGATATTACCTTTTTCATCATAGGCCTCAAAGCGCTGCAAATGTCCACTTCCAAATATTACAAAAAGAGTGTTTCAAACCTGCTGTATGAAGGGAAGTGTTCAACTCTATGAGTTGAATGCAAACATCACAGAGAAGTTTCTGAGAATGCTTCTGTCTTGATTTTATATGAAGATATTCCCGTTTCCAAAGAAACCTTCAAAGCTATCCAAATATCCACTTGCAGATTCTACAAAAAGAGTGTTTCCAAAATGTTGTATCAAAAGAAAGGTTCAACTCTGTTAGTTGAGGAAACACATCGCAAACAAGTTTCTGAGAATGCTTCTGTCTAGTTTTTATTTGAAGATATTTCCTTTCTCACCATAGGCCTGAAAGCGTTTGAAATGTCCGTTTGCAGATACTACAGAAAGAGTGTTTCAAACATGCTCTATGAAAGGGAATGTTCAGTTCTGTGACTTGAATGCAAACATCACAAAGAAGTTCCTGAGAATGCTTCTCTCTAGGTTTTATATGTAATCCCGTTTCCAACGAAATCCTCAAAGCTATCCAAATATCCACTTTCAGATTCCACAAAAAGAGTGTTTCAAAACTGCTCTGTAAAAAGAAAGGTTCATCTCTGTTAGTTGAATACACACATCACAAACAAGTTTCTGAGAATGCTTCTGTCTAGTTTTTATGGGAAGATATTTCCTTTTTCAACATAGGCCTCAAAGCGCTCCAAACGTCCACTTCCAGGTAGTGCAGAAAGAGTGTCTCAAACCTGGTGTATAACAGGGAACATTCTACTCTGTGACTTGAATGAAAACATCACAAAGCAGTTTCTGAGAATGCTTCCGTCTAGATTTTATGTGAAGATATTCCCGTTTCCAAGGAAATCTTCCTAGCTATCTAAATATCAACTTGCAGATTCTACTAAAGGAGTGTTTCCAAAATGCTGTATCCACACAAAGGTTCAACTCTGTTAATTGAGGACATACAGCACAAAGAAGTTTCTGAGAATGCTTCTGTCTAGATGTTATATGAAGACATCCCGTTTCCAAAGAAATCCTCAAAGGTATCCAAATATCTACTTCCAGATTCTACAAAAAGACTGTTTCAAAACGGCTCTGTCAAAAGTAAGGTTCAACTCTGTTACTTGAGTACACACATCACAAGGAAGTTTCTGAGAATGCTTCTGTCTGGTTTTTAGGAGAAGATATTTCCTTTTTCAACATAGGCCTCAAAGCGCTGCAAATGTCCACTTCCAAATATTACAAAAAGAGTGTTTCAAACCTGCTGTATGAAGGGAAGTGTTCAACTCTATGAGTTGAATGCAAACATCACAGAGAAGTTTCTGAGAATGCTTCTGTCTTGATTTTATATGAAGATATTCCCGTTTCCAACGAAATCTTCAAAGCTATCCAAATATCCACTTGCAGATTCCACAAAAAGAGTGTTTCCAAAATGTTGTATCAAAAGAAAGGTTCAACTCTGTTAGTTGAGGACACACATCGCAAATAAGTTTCTGAGAATGCTTCTGTCTAGTTTTTATTTGAAGATATTTCCTTTCTCACCATAGGCCTGAAAGCGTTTGAAATGTCCGTTTGCAGATACTACAGAAAGAGTGTTTCAAACATGCTCTATGAAAGGGAATGTTCAGTTCTGTGACGTGAATGCAAACATCACAAAGAAGTTCCTGAGAATGCTTCCGTCTAGATTTTATATGAAGATATCCCGTTTCCAAAGAAATCCTCAAAGGTGTCCAAATATCTACTTCCAGATTCTACAACAAGACTGTTTCAAAACGGCTCTGTCAAAAGTAAGGTTCAACTCTGTTACTTGAGTACACACATCACAAGGAAGTTTCTGAGAATGCTTCTGTCTAGTTTTTATGGGAAGATAATTCCTTTTTCAACATAGGCCTCAAAGCGCTCCAAACGTCCACTTCCAGGTAGTGCAGAAAGAGTGTCTCAAACCTGGTGTATAACAGGGAACATTCTACTCTGTGACTTGAATGAAAACATCACAAAGCAGTTTCTGAGAATGCTTCCGTCTAGATTTTATATGAAGATATTCCCGTTTCCAACGAAACCTTCAAAGCTATCCGAATATCCACCTGCAGATTCTACAAAAAGAGTGTTTCCAAAATGCCGTATCAAAACAAAGGTTCAACTCTGTTAGTTGAGAACACACATGGCAAATAAGTTTCTGAGAATGCTTCTGTCTAGTTTTTACTTGAAGATATTTCCTTTCTCACCATAGGCCTGAAAGCGCTTGAAACGTCAGCTTGCAGATACTACAGAAAGAGTGTTTCAAACCTGCTCTATGAAAGGGAATGTTCAGTCCTGTGACTTGAAGGCAAACATCACAAAGAAGTTCCTGAGAATGCTTCTCTCTAGGTTTTATATGTAATCCCGTTTCCAACGAAATCCTCAAAGCTATCCAAATATCCACTTTCAGATTCCACAAAAAGAGTGTTTCAAAACTGCTCTGTAAAAAGAAAGGTTCATCTCTGTTAGTTGAATACACACATCACAAACAAGTTTCTGAGAATGCTTCTGTCTAGTTTTTATGGGAAGATATTTCGTTTTTCAACATAGGCCTCAAAGCGCTCCAAATGTCCACTTCCAGGTAGTGCAGAAAGAGTGTTTCAAACCTGCTCTATAAAAGGGAATATTCAACTACTGTGACTTGAATGCAAACATCACAAAGCACTTTCTGAGAATGCTTCCGTCTAGATTTTATATGAAGATATTCCCGTTTCCAAGGAAATCTTCCTAGCTATCTAAATATCAACTTGCAGATTCTACTAAAGGAATGTTTCCAAAATGCTGTATCCACACAAAGGTTCAACTCTGTTAATTGAGGACATAAAGCACAAAGAAGTTTCTGAGAATGCTTCTGTCTAGATTTTATATGAAGATATCCCGTGTCCAACGAAATCCTCAAAGGTATCAAAATATCCACTTGCAGATTCTACAAAAAGAGTGCTTCAAAACTGCTCTGTCAAAAGGAAGGTTCAACTCTGTTACTTGAGTACACACATCACAAGGAAGTTTCTGAGAATGCTTCTGTCTGGTTTTTAGGAGAAGATATTTCCTTTTTCAACATAGGCCTCAAAGCGCTGCAAATGTCCACTTCCAAATATTAGAAAAAGAGTGTTTCAAACCTGCTGTATGAAGGGAAGTGTTCAACTCTATGAGTTGAATGCAAACATCACAGAGAAGTTTCTGAGAATGCTTCTGTCTTGATTTCATATGAAGATATTCCCGTTTCCAACGAAACCTTCAAAGCTATCCAAATATCCACTTGCAGATTCTACAAAAAGAGTGTTTCCAAAATGTTGTATCAAAAGAAAGGTTCAACTCTGTTAGTTGAGGACACACATCGCAAATAAGTTTCTGAGAATGCTTCTGTCTAGTTTTTACTTGAAGATATTTCCTTTCTCACCATAGGCCTGAAAGCGCTTGAAACGTCAGCTTGCAGATACTACAGAAAGAGTGTTTCAAACCTGCTCTATGAAAGGGAATGTTCAGTCCTGTGACTTCAAGGCAAACATCACAAAGAAGTTCCTGAGAATGCTTCTCTCTAGGTTTTATATGTAATCCCGTTTCCAACGAAATCCTCAAAGCTATCCAAATATCCACTTTCAGATTCCACAAAAAGAGTGTTTCAAAACTGCTCTGTAAAAAGAAAGGTTCATCTCTGTTAGTTGAATACACACATCACAAACAAGTTTCTGAGAATGCTTCTGTCTAGTTTTTATGGGAAGATATTACCTTTTTCATCATAGGCCTCAAAGCGCTGCAAATGTCCACTTCCAAATATTACAAAAAGAGTGTTTCAAACCTGCTGTATGAAGGGAAGTGTTCAACTCTATGAGTTGAATGCAAACATCACAGAGAAGTTTCTGAGAATGCTTCTGTCTTGATTTTATATGAAGATATTCCCGTTTCCAACGAAACCTTCAAAGCTATCCAAATATCCACTTGCAGATTCCACAAAAAGAGTGTTTCCAAAATGTTGTATCAAAAGAAAGGTTCAACTCTGTTAGTTGAGGACACACATCGCAAATAAGTTTCTGAGAATGCTTCTGTCTAGTTTTTATTTGAAGATATTTCCTTTCTCACCACAGGCCTGAAAGCGCTTAAAACGTCCGCTTGCAGATACTACAGAAAGAGTGTTTCAAACATGCTCTATGAAAGGGAATGTTCAGTTCTGTGACTTGAATGCAAACATCACAAAGAAGTTCCTGAGAATGCTTCTCTCTAGATTTTATATGTAATCCCGTTTCCAACGAAATCCTCAAAGCTATCCAAATATCCACTTTCAGATTCCACAAAAAGAGTGTTTCAAAACTGCTCTGTAAAAAGAAAGGTTCATCTCTGTTAGTTGAATACACACATCACAAACAAGTTTCTGAGAATGCTTCTGTCTGGTTTTTAGGAGAAGATATTTCCTTTTTCAACATAGGCCTCAAAGCGCTGCAAATGTCCACTTCCAAATATTACAAAAAGAGTGTTTCAAACCTGCTGTATGAAGGGAAGTGTTCAACTCTATGAGTTGAATGCAAACATCACAGAGAAGTTTCTGAGAATGCTTCTGTCTTGATTTCATATGAAGATATTCCCGTTTCCAACGAAACCTTCAAAGCTATCCAAATATCCACTTGCAGATTCTACAAAAAGAGTGTTTCCAAAATGTTGTATCAAAAGAAAGGTTCAACTCTGTTAGTTGAGGACACACATCGCAAATAAGTTTCTGAGAATGCTTCTGTCTAGTTTTTATTTGAAGATATTTCTTTTCTCACCACAGGCCTGAAAGCGCTTAAAACGTCCGCTTGCAGATACTACAGAAAGAGTGTTTCAAACCTGCTCTATGAAAGGGAATGTTCAGTTCTGTGACTTGAATGCAAACATCACAAAGAAGTTCGTGATAATGCTTCTCCCTAGATTTTATATGTAATCCCGTTTCCAACGAAATCCGCAAAGCTATCCAAATATCCACTTTCAGATTCCACAAAAAGAGTGTTTCAAAACTGCTCTGTAAAAAGAAAGGTTCATCTCTGTTAGTTGAATACACACATCACAAACAAGTTTCTGAGAATGCTTCTGTCTAGTTTTTATGGGAAGATATTACCTTTTTCATCATAGGCCTCAAAGCGCTGCAAATGTCCACTTCCAAATATTACAAAAAGAGTGTTTCAAACCTGCTGTATGAAGGGAAGTGTTCAACTCTATGAGTTGAATGCAAACATCACAGAGAAGTTTCTGAGAATGCTTCTGTCTTGATTTTATATGAAGATATTCCCGTTTCCAACGAAACCTTCAAAGCTATCCAAATATCCACTTGCAGATTCTTCAAAAAGAGTGTTTCCAAAATGTTGTATCAAAAGAAAGGTTCAACTCTGTTAGTTGAGGACACACATCGCAAATAAGTTTCTGAGAATGCTTCTGTCTAGTTTTTATTTGAAGATATTTCCTTTCTCACCATAGGCCTGAAAGCGTTTGAAATGTCCGTTTGCAGATACTACAGAAAGAGTGTTTCAAACATGCTCTATGAAAGGGAATGTTCAGTTCTGTGACGTGAATGCAAACATCACAAAGAAGTTCCTGAGAATGCTTCTCTCTAGGTTTTATATGTAATCCCGTTTCCAACGAAATCCTCAAAGCTATCCAAATATCCACTTTCAGATTCCACAAAAAGAGTGTTTCAAAACTGCTCTGTAAAAAGAAAGGTTCATCTCTGTTAGTTGAATACACACATCACAAACAAGTTTCTGAGAATGCTTCTGTCTAGTTTTTATGGGAAGATATTTCCTTTTTCAACATAGGCCTCAAAGCGCTCCAAACGTCCACTTCCAGGTAGTGCAGAAAGAGTGTCTCAAACCTGGTATATAACAGGGAACATTCTACTCTGTGACTTGAATGAAAACATCACAAAGCAGTTTCTGAGAATGCTTCCGTCTAGATTTTATATGAAGATATTCCCGTTTCCAACGAAACCTTCAAAGCTATCCGAATATCCACCTGCAGATTCTACAAAAAGAGTGTTTCCAAAATGCCGTATCAAAACAAAGGTCCAACTCTGTTAGTTGAGAACACACATGGCAAATAAGTTTCTGAGAATGCTTCTGTCTAGTTTTTACTTGAAGATATTTCCTTTCTCACCATAGGCCTGAAAGCGCTTGAAACGTCAGCTTGCAGATACTACAGAAAGAGTGTTTCAAACCTGCTCTATGAAAGGGAATGTTCAGTCCTGTGACTTGAAGGCAAACATCACAAAGAAGTTCCTGAGAATGCTTCTCTCTAGGTTTTATATGTAATCCCGTTTCCAACGAAATCCTCAAAGCTATCCAAATATCCACTTTCAGATTCCACAAAAAGAGTGTTTCAAAACTGCTCTGTAAAAAGAAAGGTTCATCTCTGTTAGTTGAATACACACATCACAAACAAGTTTCTGAGAATGCTTCTGTCTAGTTTTTATGGGAAGATATTTCCTTTTTCATCATAGGCCTCAAAGCGCTGCAAATGTCCACTTCCAGGTAGTGCAGAAAGAGTGCCTGAAACCTGGTATATAACAGGGAAGATTCTACTCTGTGACTTGAATGAAAACATCACAAAGCAGTTTCTGAGAATGCTTCTGTCTTGATTTTATATGAAGATATTCCCGTTTCCAACGAAACCTTCAAAGCTATCCAAATATCCACTTGCAGATTCCACAAAAAGAGTGTTTAAAATATGTTGTATCAAAAGAAAGGTTCAACTCTGTTAGTTGAGGACACACATCGCAAATAAGTTTCTGAGAATGCTTCTGTCTAGTTTTTATTTGAAGATATTTCCTTTCTCACCATAGGCCTGAAAGCGTTTGAAATGTCCGTTTGCAGATACTACAGAAAGAGTGTTTCAAACATGCTCTATGAAAGGGAATGTTCAGTTCTGTGACGTGAATGCAAACATCACAAAGAAGTTCCTGAGAATGCTTCTCTCTAGATTTTATATGTAATCCCGTTTCCAACGAAATCCTCAAAGCTATCCAAATATCCACTTTCAGATTCCACAAAAAGAGTGTTTCAAAACTGCTCTGTAAAAAGAAAGGTTCATCTCTGTTAGTTGAATACACACATCACAAACAAGTTTCTGAGAATGCTTCTGTCTAGTTTTTATGGGAAGATATTTCCTTTTTCAACATAGGCCTCAAAGCGCTCCAAACGTCCACTTCCAGGTAGTGCAGAAAGAGTGTCTCAAACCTGGTATATAACAGGGAACATTCAACTCTGTGACTTGAATGAAAACATCACAAAGCAGTTTCTGAGAATGCTTCCGTCTAGATTTTATATGAAGATATTCCCGTTTCCAACGAAACCTTCAAAGCTATCCGAATATCCACCTGCAGATTCTACAAAAAGAGTGTTTCCAAAATGCCGTATCAAAACAAAGGTTCAACTCTGTTAGTTGAGAACACACATGGCAAATAAGTTTCTGAGAATGCTTCTGTCTAGTTTTTACTTGAAGATATTTCCTTTCTCACCATAGGCCTGAAAGCGCTTGAAACGTCAGCTTGCAGATACTACAGAAAGAGTGTTTCAAACCTGCTCTATGAAAGGGAATGTTCAGTCCTGTGACTTGAAGGCAAACATCACAAAGAAGTTCCTGAGAATGCTTCTCTCTAGGTTTTATATGTAATCCCGTTTCCAACGAAATCCTCAAAGCTATCCAAATATCCACTTTCAGATTCCACAAAAAGAGTGTTTCAAAACTGCTCTGTAAAAAGAAAGGTTCATCTCTGTTAGTTGAATACACACATCACAAACAAGTTTCTGAGAATGCTTCTGTCTAGTTTTTATGGGAAGATATTTCCTTTTTCAACATAGGCCTCAAAGCGCTCCAAATGTCCACTTCCAGGTAGTGCAGAAAGAGTGTTTCAAACCTGCTCTATAAAAGGGAATATTCAACTCTGTGACTTGAATGCAAACATCACAAAGCACTTTCTGAGAATGCTTCCGTCTAGATTTTATATGAAGATATTCCCGTTTCCAACGAAACCTTCAAAGCTATCCGAATATCCACCTGCAGATTCTACAAAAAGAGTGTTTCCAAAATGCCGTTTCAAAACAAAGGTTCAACTCTGTTAGTTGAGAACACACATGGCAAATAAGTTTCTGAGAATGCTTCTGTCTAGTTTTTACTTGAAGATATTTCCTTTCTCACCATAGGCCTGAAAGCGCTTGAAACGTCAGCTTGCAGATACTACAGAAAGAGTGTTTCAAACCTGCTCTATGAAAGGGAATGTTCAGTTCTGTGACTTGAATGCAAACATCACAAAGAAGTTCCTGAGAATGCTTCTCTCTAGGTTTTATATGTAATCCCGTTTCCAACGAAATCCTCAAAGCTATCCAAATATCCACTTTCAGATTCCACAAAAAGAGTGTTTCAAAACTGCTCTGTAAAAAGAAAGGTTCATCTCTGTTAGTTGAATACACACATCACAAACAAGTTTCTGAGAATGCTTCTGTCTGGTATTTAGGAGAAGATATTTCCTTTTTCAACATAGGCCTCAAAGCGCTGCAAATGTCCACTTCCAAATATTAGAAAAAGAGTGTTTCAAACCTGCTGTATGAAGGGAAGTGTTCAACTCTATGAGTTGAATGCAAACATCACAGAGAAGTTTCTGAGAATGCTTCTGTCTTGATTTTATATGAAGATATTCCCGTTTCCAACGAAACCTTCAAAGCTATTCAAATATCCACTTGCAGATTCTACAAAAAGAGTGTTTCCAAAATGTTGTATCAAAAGAAAGGTTCAACTCTGTTAGTTGAGGACACACATCGCAAATAAGTTTCTGAGAATGCTTCTGTCTAGTTTTTATTTGAAGATATTTCCTTTCTCACCATAGGCCTGAAAGCGTTTGAAATGTCCGTTTGCAGATACTACAGAAAGAGTGTTTCAAACATGCTCTATGAAAGGGAATGTTCAGTTCTGTGACGTGAATGCAAACATCACAAAGAAGTTCCTGAGAATGCTTCTCTCTAGATTTTATATGTAATCCCGTTTCCAACGAAATCCTCAAAGCTATCCAAATATCCACTTTCAGATTCCACAAAAAGAGTGTTTCAAAACTGCTCTGTAAAAAGAAAGGTTCATCTCTGTTAGTTGAATACACACATCACAAACAAGTTTCTGAGAATGCTTCTGTCTAGTTTTTATGGGAAGATATTTCCTTTTTCATCATAGGCCTCAAAGCGCTGCAAATGTCCACTTCCAGGTAGTGCAGAAAGAGTGTCTCAAACCTGGTATATAACAGGGAACATTCTACTCTGTGACTTGAATGAAAACATCACAAAGCAGTTTCTGAGAATGCTTCCGTCTAGATTTTATATGAAGATATTCCCGTTTCCAACGAAACCTTCAAAGCTATCCGAATATCCACCTGCAGATTCTACAAAAAGAGTGTTTCCAAAATGCCATATCAAAACAAAGGTTCAACTCTGTTAGTTGAGAACACACATCGCAAATAAGTTTCTGAGAATGCTTCTGTCTAGTTTTTACTTGAAGATATTTCCTTTCTCACCATAGGCCTGAAAGCGCTTGAAACGTCAGCTTGCAGATACTACAGAAAGACTGTTTCAAACCTGCTCTATGAAAGGGAATGTTCAGTTCTGTGACTTGAATGCAAACATCACAAAGAAGTTCCTGAGAATGCTTCTGTCTAGATTTTATATGAAGATATCCCGTTTCCAAAGAAATCCTCAAAGGTATCCAAATATCTACTTCCAGATTCTACAAAAAGACTGTTTCAAAACGGCTCTGTCAAAAGTAAGGTTCAACTCTGTTACTTGAGTACACACATCACAAGGAAGTTTCTGAGAATGCTTCTGTCTGGTTTTTAGGAGAAGATATTTCCTTTTTCAACATAGGCCTCAAAGCGCTGCAAATGTCCACTTCCAAATATTACAAAAAGAGTGTTTCAAACCTGCTGTATGAAAGGAAGTGTTCAACTCTATGAGTTGAATGCAAACATCACAGAGAAGTTTCTGAGAATGCTTCTGTCTTGATTTTATATGAAGATATTCCCGTTTCCAACGAAACCTTCAAAGCTATTCAAATATCCACTTGCAGATTCTACAAAAAGAGTGTTTCCAAAATGTTGTATCAAAAGAAAGGTTCAACTCTGTTAGTTGAGGACACACATCGCAAATAAGTTTCTGAGAATGCTTCCGTCTAGTTTTTATTTGAAGATATTTCCTTTTTCTCCACAGGCCTGAAAGCGCTTGAAACGTCCGCTTGCAGATACTACTGAAAGAGTGTTTCAAACCTGCTCTATGAAAGGGAATGTTCAGTTCTGTGACTTGAATGCAAACATCACAAAGAAGTTCCTGAGAATGCTTCTCTCTAGATTTTATATGTAATCCCGTTTCCAACGAAATCCTCAAAGCTATCCAAATATCCACTTTCAGATTCCACAAAAAGAGTGTTTCAAAACTGCTCTGTAAAAAGAAAGGTTCATCTCTGTTAGTTGAATACACACATCACAAACAAGTTTCTGAGAATGCTTCTGTCTAGTTTTTATGGGAAGATATTTCCTTTTTCAACATAGGCCTCAAAGCGCTCTAAATGTCCACCTCCAGGTAGTGCAGAAAGAGTGTTTCAAACCTGCTCTATAAAAGGGAATATTCAACTCTGTGACTTGAATGCAAACATCACAAAGCACTTTCTGAGAATGCTTCCGTCTAGATTTTATATGAAGATATTCCCGTTTCCAACGAAACCTTCAAAGCTATCCGAATATCCACCTGCAGATTCTACAAAAAGAGTGTTTCCAAAATGCCATATCAAAACAAAGGTTCAACTCTGTTAGTTGAGGACACACATCGCAAATAAGTTTCTGAGAATGCTTCTGTCTAGTTTTTACTTGAAGATATTTCCTTTCTCACCATAGGCCTGAAAGCGCTTGAAACGTCAGCTTGCAGATACTACAGAAAGAGTGTTTCAAACCTGCTCTATGAAAGGGAATGTTGAGTTCTGTGACTTGAATGCAAACATCACAAAGAAGTTCCTGAGAATGCTTCTCTCTAGGTTTTATATGTAATCCCGTTTCCAACGAAATCCTCAAAGCTATCCAAATATCCACTTTCAGATTCCACAAAAAGAGTGTTTCAAAACTGCTCTGTAAAAAGAAAGGTTCATCTCTGTTAGTTGAATACACACATCACAAACAAGTTTCTGAGAATGCTTCTGTCTAGTTTTTATGGGAAGATATTTCCTTTTTCAACATAGGCCTCAAGCGCTCCAAACGTCCACTTCCAGGTAGTGCAGAAAGAGTGTCTCAAACCTGGTATATAACAGGGAACATTCTACTCTGTGACTTGAATGAAAACATCACAAAGCAGTTTCTGAGAATGCTTCCGTCTAGATTTTATATGAAGATATTCACGTTTCCAACGAAACCTTCAAAGCTATCCGAATATCCACCTGCAGATTCTTCAAAATAGTGTTTCCAAAATGCCGTATCAAAACAAAGGTTCAACTCTGTTAGTTGAGAACACACATGGCAAATAAGTTTCTGAGAATGCTTCTGTCTAGTTTTTACTTGAAGATATTTCCTTTCTCACCATAGGCCTGAAAGCGCTTGAAACGTCAGCTTGCAGATACTACAGAAAGAGTGTTTCAAACCTGCTCTATGAAAGGGAATGTTCAGTTCTGTGACTTGAATGCAAACATCACAAAGAAGTTCCTGAGAATGCTTCTGTCTAGATTTTATATGAAGATATCCAGTGTCTAACGAAATCCTCAAAGGTATCAAAATATCCACTTGCAGATTCTACAAAAAGAGTGCTTCAAAACTGCTCTGTCAAAATGAAGGTTCAACTCTGTTACTTGAGTACACACATCACAAGAAAGATTCTGAGAATGCTTCTGTCTGGTTTTTAGGAGAAGATATCTCCTTTTTCACCATAGGCTTCAAAGCGCTGCCAATGTCCACTTCCAAATATTACAAAAAGAGTATTTCAAACCAGCTCTATGAAAGGAAGGGTTCAACTCTATGAGTTGAATGCAAACATCACAGAGAAGTTTCTGAGAATGCTTCTGTCTTGATTTTATATGAAGATATTCCCGTTTCCAAAGAAACCTTCAAAGCTATCCAAATATCCACCTGCAGATCCTACAAAAAGAGTGTTTCCAAAATGCTGTATCAAAACAAAGGTTCAACTCTGTTAGCTGAGAACACACATCGCAAATAAGTTTCTGAGAATGCTTCTGTCTAGTTTTCATTTGAAGATATTTCCTTTTTCACCACAGGCCTGAAAGCGCTTGAAACGTTCACTTGCAGATACTACAGAAAGAGTGTTTCAAACCTGCTCTATGAAAGGGAATGTTCAGTTCTGTGACTTGAATGCAAACATCACAAAGAAGTTCCTGAGAATGCTTCTCCCTAGATTTTATATGTAATCCCGTTTCCAACGAAATCCTCAAAGCTATCCAAATATCCACTTTCAGATTCCACAAAAAGAGTGTTTCAAAACTGCTCTGTAAAAAGAAAGGTTCATCTCTGTTAGTTGAATACACACATCACAAACAAGTTTCTGAGAATGCTTCTGTCTAGTTTTTATGGGAAGATATTTCCCTTTTCATCATAGGCCTCAAAGCGCTGCAAATGTCCACTTCCAGGTAGTGCAGAAAGAGTGTCTCTAACCTGGTATATAACAGGGAACATTCTACTCTGTGACTTGAATGAAAACATCACAAAGCAGTTTCTGAGAATGCTTCCGTCTAGATTTTATATGAAGATATTCCCGTTTCCAACGAAACCTTCAAAGCTATCCGAATATCCACCTGCAGATTCTACAAAAAGAGTGTTTCCAAAATGCCGTATCAAAACAAAGGTTCAACTCTGTTAGTTGAGAACACACATGGCAAATAAGTTTCTGAGAATGCTTCTGTCTAGTTTTTACTTGAAGATATTTCCTTTCTCACCATAGGCCTGAAAGCGCTTGAAACGTCAGCTTGCAGATACTACAGAAAGAGTGTTTCAAACCTGCTCTATGAAAGGGAATGTTCAGTCCTGTGACTTGAATGCAAACATCACAAAGAAGTTCCTGAGAATGCTTCTCTCTAGGTTTTATATGTAATCCCGTTTCAAACGAAATCCTCAAAGCTATCCAAATATCCACTTTCAGATTCCACAAAAAGAGTGTTTCAAAACTGCTCTGTAAAAAGAAAGGTTCATCTCTGTTAGTTGAATACACACATCACAAACAAGTTTCTGAGAATGCTTCTGTCCAGTTTTTATGGGAACATATTTCCTTTTTCAACATAGGCCTCAAAGCGCTCCAAATGTCCACTTCCAGGTAGTGCAGAAAGAGTGTTTCAAACCTGCTCTATAAAAGGGAATATTCAACTCTGTGACTTGAATGCAAACATCACAAAGCACTTTCTGAGAATGCTTCCGTCTAGATTTTATATGAGGATATTCCCGTTTCCAAGGAAATCTTCCTAGCTATCTAAATATCAACTTGCAGATTCTACTAAAGGAATGTTTCCAAAATGCTGTATCCACACAAAGGTTCAACTCTGTTAATTGAGGACATACAGCACAAAGAAGTTTCTGAGAATGCTTCTGTCTAGTTTTTATTTGAAGATATTTCCTTTCTCACCATAGGCCTGAAAGCTTTTGAAATGTCCGTTTGCAGATACTACAGAAAGAGTGTTTCAAACATGCTCTATGAAAGGGAATGTTCAGTTCAGTGACGTGAATGCAAACATCACAAAGAAGTTCCTGAGAATGTTTCTGTCTGGTTTTTAGGAGAAGATATTTCCTTTTTCAACATAGGCCTCAAAGCGCTGCAAATGTCCACTTCCAAATATTAGAAAAAGAGTGTTTCAAACCTGCTGTATGAAGGGAAGTGTTCAACTCTATGAGTTGAATGCAAACATCACAGAGAAGTTTCTGAGAATGCATCTGTCTTGATTTCATATGAAGATATTCCCGTTTCCAACGAAACCTTCAAAGCTATCCAAATATCCACTTGCAGATTCTACAAAAAGAGTGTTTCCAAAATGTTGTATCAAAAGAAAGGTTCAACTCTGTTAGTTGAGGACACACATCGCAAATAAGTTTCTGAGAATGCTTCTGTCTAGTTTTTATTTGAAGATATTTCCTTTCTCACCACAGGCCTGAAAGCGCTTAAAACGTCCGCTTGCAGATACTACAGAAAGAGTGTTTCAAACCTGCTCTATGAAAGGGAATGTTCAGTTCTGTGACTTGAATGCAAACATCACAAAGAAGATCTTGAGAATGCTTCTCTCTAGATTTTATATGTAATCCCGTTTCCAAAGAAATCCGCAAAGCTATCCAAATATCCACTTTCAGATTCCACAAAAAGAGTGTTTCAAAACTGCTCTGTAAAAAGAAAGGTTCATCTCTGTTAGTTGAATACACACATCACAAACAAGTTTCTGAGAATGCTTCTGTCTAGTTTTTATGGGAAGATATTACCTTTTTCATCATAGGCCTCAAAGCGCTGCAAATGTCCACTTCCAAATATTACAAAAAGAGTGTTTCAAACCTGCTGTATGAAGGGAAGTGTTCAACTCTATGAGTTGAATGCAAACATCACAGAGAAGTTTCTGAGAATGCTTCTGTCTTGATTTTATATGAAGATATTCCCGTTTCCAACGAAACCTTCAAAGCTATTCAAATATCCACTTGCAGATTCTACAAAAAGAGTGTTTCCAAAATGTTGTATCAAAAGAAAGGTTCAACTCTGTTAGTTGAGGACACACATCGCAAATAAGTTTCTGAGAATGCTTCTGTCTAGTTTTTATTTGAAGATATTTCCTTTCTCACCATAGGCCTGAAAGCGTTTGAAATGTCCGTTTGCAGATACTACAGAAAGAGAGTTTCAAACATGCTCTATGAAATGGAATGTTCAGTTCTGTGACGTGAATGCAAACATCACAAAGAAGTTCCTGAGAATGCTTCTCTCTAGATTTTATATGTAATCCCGTTTCCAACGAAATCCTCAAAGCTATCCAAATATCCACTTTCAGATTCCACAAAAAGAGTGTTTCAAAACTGCTCTGTAAAAAGAAAGGTTCATCTCTGTTAGTTGAATACACACATCACAAACAAGTTTCTGAGAATGCTTCTGTCTAGTTTTTATGGGAAGATATTTCCTTTTTCATCATAGGCCTCAAAGCGCTCCAAATGTCCACTTCCAGGTAGTGCAGAAAGAGGGTCTCAAACCTGGTATATAACAGGGAACATTCTACTCTGTGACTTGAATGAAAACATCACAAAGCAGTTTCTGAGAATGCTTCCGTCTAGATTTTATATGAAGATATTCCCGTTTCCAACGAAACCTTCAAAGCTATCCGAATATCCACCTGCAGATTCTACAAAAAGAGTGTTTCCAAAATGCCGTATCAAAACAAAGGTTCAACTCTGTTAGTTGAGAACACACATGGCAAATAAGTTTCTGAGAATGCTTCTGTCTAGTTTTTACTTGAAGATATTTCCTTTCTCACCATAGGCCTGAAAGCGCTTGAAACGTCAGCTTGCAGATACTACAGAAAGAGTGTTTCAAACCTGCTCTATGAAAGGGAATGTTCAGTCCTGTGACTTGAAGGCAAACATCACAAAGAAGTTCCTGAGAATGCTTCTCTCTAGGTTTTATATGTAATCCCGTTTCCAACGAAATCCTCAAAGCTATCCAAATATCCACTTTCAGATTCCACAAAAAGAGTGTTTCAAAACTGCTCTGTAAAAAGAAAGGTTCATCTCTGTTAGTTGAATACACACATCACAAACAAGTTTCTGAGAATGCTTCTGTCTAGTTTTTATGGGAAGATATTTCCTTTTTCAACATAGGCCTCAAAGCGCTCCAAATGTCCACTTCCAGGTAGTGCAGAAAGAGTGTTTCAAACCTGCTCTATAAAAGGGAATATTCAACTCTGTGACTTGAATGCAAACATCACAAAGCACTTTCTGAGAATGCTTCCGTCTAGATTTTATATGAAGATATTCCCGTTTCCAACGAAACCTTCAAAGCTATCCGAATATCCACCTGCAGATTCTACAAAAAGAGTGCTTCCAAAATGCCGTATCAAAACAAAGGTTCAACTCTGTTAGTTGAGAACACACATCGCAAATAAGTTTCTGAGAATGTTTCTGTCTAGTTTTTATTTGAAGATATTTCCTTTCTTACCATAGGCCTGAAAGCGCTTGAAATCTCCGTTTGCAGATACTACAGAAAGAGTGTTTCTAACATGCTCTATGAAAGGGAATGTTCAGTTCTGTGACTTGAATGCAAACATCACAAAGAAGTTCCTGAGAATGCTTCTCTCTAGATTTTATATGTAATCCCGTTTCCAACGAAATCCTCAAAGCTATCCAAATATGCACTTTCAGATTCCACAAAAAGAGTGTTTCAAAACTGCTCTGTAAAAAAAAAGGTTCATCTCTGTTAGTTGAATACACACATCACAAACAAGTTTCTGAGAATGCTTCTGTCTAGTTTTTATGGGAAGATATTTCCTTTTTCATCATAGGCCTCAAAGCGCTCCAAATGTCCACTTCCAGATAGTGCAGAAAGAGTGTCTGAAACCTGGTATATAAAAGGGAACATTCTACTCTGTGACTTGAATGAAAACATCACAAAGCAGTTTCTGAGAATGCTTCCGTCTAGATTTTATATGAAGATATTCCCGTTTCCAACGAAACCTTCAAAGCTATCCGAATATCCACCTGCAGATTCTACAAAAAGAGTGTTTCCAAAATGCCGTATCCAAACAAAGGTTCAACTCTGTTAGTTGAGAACACACATGGCAAATAAGTTTCTGAGAATGCTTCTGTCTAGTTTTTACTTGAAGATATTTCCTTTCTCACCATAGGCCTGAAAGCGCTTGAAACGTCCGCTTGCGGATACTACAGAAAGAGTGTTTCAAACATGCTCTATGAAAGGGAATGTTCAGTTCTGTGACTTGAATGCAAACATCACAAAGAAGTTCCTGAGAATGCTTCTCTCTAGATTTTATATGTAATCCCGTTTCCAACGAAATCCTCAAAGCTATCCAAATATCCACTTTCAGATTCCACAAAAAGAGTGTTTCAAAACTGCTCTGTAAAAAGAAAGGTTCATCTCTGTTAGTTGAATACACACATCACAAACAAGTTTCTGACAATGCTTCTGTCTAGTTTTTATGGGAAGATATTTCCTTTTTCATCATAGGCCTCAAAGCGCTCCAAATGTCCACTTCCAGATAGTGCAGAAAGAGTGTCTCAAACCTGGTATATAAAAGGGAACATTCTACTCTGTGACTTCAATGAAAACATCACAAAGCAGTTTCTGAGAATGCTTCCGTCTAGATTTTATATGAAGATATTCCCGTTTCCAACGAAACCTTCAAAGCTATCCGAATATCCACCTGCAGATTCTACAAAAAGAGTGTTTCCAAAATGCCGTATCCAAACAAAGGTTCAACTCTGTTAGTTGAGAACACACATGGCAAATAAGTTTCTGAGAATGCTTCTGTCTAGTTTTTATTTGAAGATATTTCCTTTCTCACCATAGGCCTGAAAGCGTTTGAAATGTCCGTTTGCAGATACTACAGAAAGAGTGTTTCAAACATGCTCTATTAAAGGGAATGTTCAGTTCTGTGACTTGAATGCAAATATCACAAAGAAGTTCCTGAGAATTCTTCTCTCTTGATTTTATATGTAATCCCGTTTCCAACGAAATCCTCAAAGCTATCCAAATATCCACTTCCAGATTCCACAAAAAGAGTGTTTCAAAACTGCTCTGTAAAAAGAAAGGTTCATCTCTGTTAGTTGAATACACACATCACAAACAAGTTTCTGAGAATGCTTCTGTCTAGTTTTTATGGGAAGATATTTCCTTTTTCATCATGGGCCTCAAAGCGCTCCAAATGTCCACT
Source organism: Homo sapiens (assembly GCF_000001405.40). Classification (NCBI taxonomy): domain Eukaryota; kingdom Metazoa; phylum Chordata; class Mammalia; order Primates; family Hominidae; genus Homo; species Homo sapiens. The sequence goes on along the minus strand of NC_000009.12, from coordinate 43,914,587 downwards.
TCCAGGTAGTGCAGAAAGAGTGTCTCAAACCTGGTATATAACAGGGAACATTCTACTCTGTGACTTGAATGAAAACATCACAAAGCAGTTTCTGAGAATGCTTCCGTCTACATTTTATATGAAGATATTCCCGTTTCCAACGAAACCTTCAAAGCTATCCGAATATCCACCTGCAGATTCTACAAAAAGAGTGTTTCCAAAATGCCGTATCAAAACAAAGGTTCAACTCTGTTAGTTGAGAACACACATGGCAAATAAGTTTCTGAGAATGCTTCTGTCTAGTTTTTACTTGAAGATATTTCCTTTCTCACCATAGGCCTGAAAGCGCTTGAAACGTCAGCTTGCAGATACTACAGAAAGAGTGTTTCAAACCTGCTCTATGAAAGGGAATGTTCAGTTCTGTGACTTGAATGCAAACATCACAAAGAAGTTCCTGAGAATGCTTCTCTCTATGTTTTATATGTAATCCCGTTTCCAACGAAATCCTCAAAGCTATCCAAATATCCACTTTCAGATTCCACAAAAAGAGTGTTTCAAAACTGCTCTGTAAAAAGAAAGGTTCATCTCTGTTAGTTGAATACACACATCACAAACAAGTTTCTGAGAATGCTTCTGTCTAGTTTTTATGGGAAGATATTTCCTTTTTCAACATAGGCCTCAAAGCGCTCCAAATGTCCACTTCCAGGTAGTGCAGAAAGAGTGTTTCAAACCTGCTCTATAAAAGGGAATATTCAACTCTGTGACTTGAATGCAAACATCACAAAGCACTTTCTGAGAATGCTTCCGTCTAGATTTTATATGAAGATATTCCCGTTTCCAAGGAAATCTTCCTAGCTATCTAAATATCAACTTGCAGATTCTACTAAAGGAATGTTTCCAAAATGCTGTATCCACACAAAGGTTCAACTCTGTTAATTGAGGACATACAGCACAAAGAAGTTTCTGAGAATGCTTCTGTCTAGATTTTATATGAAGATATCCCGTTTCCAAAGAAATCCTCAAAAGTATCCAAATATCTACTTCCAGATTCTACAAAAAGACTGTTTCAAAACGGCTCTGTCAAAAGTAAGGTTCAACTCTGTTACTTGAGTACACACATCACAAGGAAGTTTCTGAGAATGCTTCTGTCTGGTTTTTAGGAGAAGATATTTCCTTTTTCAACATAGGCCTCAAAGCGCTGCAAATGTCCACTTCCAAATATTACAAAAAGAGTGTTTCAAACCTGCTCTATGAAGGGAAGTGTTCAACTCTATGAGTTGAATGCAAACATCACAGAGAAGTTTCTGAGAATGCTTCTGTCTTGATTTTATATGAAGATATTCCCGTTTCCAACGAAACCTTCAAAGCTATCCAAATATCCACTTGCAGATTCTACAAAAAGAGTGTTTCCAAAATGTTGTATCAAAACAAAGGTTCAACTCTGTTAGTTGAGGACACACATCGCAAATAAGTTTCTGAGAATGCTTCTGTCTAGTTTTTATTTGAAGATATTTCCTTTCTTACCATAGGCCTGAAAGCGCTTGAAATGTCCGTTTGCAGATACTACAGAAAGAGTGTTTCAAACATGCTCTATGAAAGGGAATGTTCAGTTCTGTGACGTGAATGCAAACATCACAAAGAAGTTCCTGAGAATGTTTCTCTCTAGATTTTATATGTAATCCCGTTTCCAACGAAATCCTCAAAGCTATCCAAATATCCACTCTCAGATTCCACAAAAAGAGTGTTTCAAAACTGCTCTGTAAAAAGAAAGGTTCATCTCTGTTAGTTGAATACACACATCACAAACAAGTTTCTGAGAATGCTTCTGTCTAGTTTTTATGGGAAGATATTTCCTTTTTCATCATAGGCCTCAAAGCGCTCCAAATGTCCACTTCCAGATAGTGCAGAAAGAGTGTCTCAAACCTGGTATATAAAAGGGAACATTCTACTCTGTGACTGGAATGAAAACATCACAAAGCAGTTTCTGAGAATGCTTCCGTCTAGATTTTATATGAAGATATTCCCGTTTCCAACGAAACCTTCAAAGCTATCCGAATATGCACCTGCAGATTCTACAAAAAGAGTGTTTCCAAAATGCCGTATCACAACAAAGATTCAATTCTGTTAGTTGAGAACACACATGGCAAATAAGTTTCTGAGAATGCTTCTGTCTAGTTTTTACTTGAAGATATTTCCTTTCTCACCATAGGCCTGAAAGCGCTTGAAACGTCCGCTTGCAGATACTACAGAAAGAGTGTTTCAAACATGCTCTATGAAAGGGAATGTTCAGTTCTGTGACTTGAATGCAAACATCACAAAGAAGTTCCTGAGAATGCTTCTCTCTAGGTTTTATATGTAATCCCGTTTCCAACGAAATCCTCAAAGCTATCCAAATATCCACTTTCAGATTCCACAAAAAGAGTGTTTCAAAACTGCTCTGTAAAAAGAAAGGTTCATCTCTGTTAGTTGAATACACACATCACAAACAAGTTTCTGAGAATGCTTCTGTCTAGTTTTTATGGGAAGATATTTCCTTTTTCAACATAGGCCTCAAAGCGCTCCAAACGTCCACTTCCAGGTAGTGCAGAAAGAGTGTCTCAAACCTGGTATATAACAGGGAACATTCTACTCTGTGACTTGAATGAAAACATCACAAAGCAGTTTCTGAGAATGCTTCCGTCTAGATTTTATATGAAGATATTCCCGTTTCCAACGAAACCTTCAAAGCTATCCGAATATCCACCTGCAGATTCTACAAAAAGAGTGTTTCCAAAATGCCATATCAAAACAAAGGTTCAACTCTGTTAGTTGAGAACACACATCGCAAATAAGTTTCTGAGAATGCTTCTGTCTAGTTTTTACTTGAAGATATTTCCTTTCTCACCATAGGCCTGAAAGCGCTTGAAACGTCAGCTTGCAGATACTACAGAAAGAGTGTTTCAAACCTGCTCTATGAAAGGGAATGTTCAGTCCTGTGACTTGAAGGCAAACATCACAAAGAAGTTCCTGAGAATGCTTCTCCCTGGATTTTATATGTAATCCCGTTTCCAACGAAATCCGCAAAGCTATCCAAATATCCACTTTCAGATTCCACAAAAAGAGTGTTTCAAAACTGCTCTGTAAAAAGAAAGGTTCATCTCTGTTAGTTGAATACACACATCACAAACAAGTTTCTGAGAATGCTTCTGTCTAGTTTTTATGGGAAGATATTTCCTTTTTCAACATAGGCCTCAAAGCGCTCCAAATGTGCACTTCCAGGTAGTGCAGAAAGAGTGTTTCAAACCTGCTCTATAAAAGGGAATATTCAACTCTGTGACTTGAATGCAAACATCACAAAGCACTTTCTGAGAATGCTTCCGTCTATATTTTATATGAAGATATTCCCGTTTCCAAGGAAATCTTCCTAGCTATCTAAATATCAACTTGCAGATTCTACTAAAGGAATGTTTCCAAAATGCTGTATCCACACAAAGGTTCAACTCTGTTAATTGAGGACATACAGCACAAAGAAGTTTCTGAGAATGCTTCTGTCTAGATTTTATATGAAGATATCCCGTGTCCAACGAAATCCTCAAAGGTATCAAAATATCCACTTGCAGATTCTACAAAAAGAGTGCTTCAAAACTGCTCTGTCAAAAGGAAGGTTCAACTCTGTTACTTGAGTACACACATCACAAGGAAGTTTCTGAGAATGCTTCTGTCTGGTTTTTAGGAGAAGATATTTCCTTTTTCAACATAGGCCTCAAAGCGCTGCAAATGTCCACTTCCAAATATTAGAAAAAGAGTGTTTCAAACCTGCTGTATGAAGGGAAGTGTTCAACTCTATGAGTTGAATGCAAACATCACAGAGAAGTTTCTGAGAATGCTTCTGTCTTGATTTTATATGAAGATATTCCCGTTTCCAACGAAACCTTCAAAGCTATTCAAATATCCACTTGCAGATTCTACAAAAAGAGTGTTTCCAAAATGTTGTATCAAAAGAAAGGTTCAACTCTGTTAGTTGAGGACACACATCGCAAATAAGTTTCTGAGAATGCTTCTGTCTAGTTTTTATTTGAAGATATTTCCTTTCTCACCATAGGCCTGAAAGCGTTTGAAATGTCCGTTTGCAGATACTACAGAAAGAGTGTTTCAAACATGCTCTATGAAAGGGAATGTTCAGTTCTGTGACGTGAATGCAAACATCACAAAGAAGTTCCTGAGAATGCTTCTCTCTAGATTTTATATGTAATCCCGTTTCCAACGAAATCCTCAAAGCTATCCAAATATCCACTTTCAGATTCCACAAAAAGAGTGTTTCAAAACTGCTCTGTAAAAAGAAAGGTTCATCTCTGTTAGTTGAATACACACATCAAAAACAAGTTTCTGAGAATGCTTCTGTCTAGTTTTTATGGGAAGATATTTCCTTTTTCATCATAGGCCTCAAAGCGCTGCAAATGTCCACTTCCAGGTAGTGCAGAAAGAGTGTCTCAAACCTGGTATATAACAGGGAACATTCTACTCTGTGACTTGAATGAAAACATCACAAAGCAGTTTCTGAGAATGCTTCCGTCTAGATTTTATATGAAGATATTCCCGTTTCCAACGAAACCTTCAAAGCTATCCGAATATCCACCTGCAGATTCTACAAAAAGAGTGTTTCCAAAATGCCATATCAAAACAAAGGTTCAACTCTGTTAGTTGAGAACACACATCGCAAATAAGTTTCTGAGAATGCTTCTGTCTAGTTTTTATTTGAAGATATTTCCTTTCTCACCACAGGCCTGAAAGCGCTTAAAACGTCTGCTTGCAGATACTACAGAAAGAGTGTTTCAAACCTGCTCTATGAAAGGGAATGTTCAGTTCTGTGACTTGAATGCAAACATCACAAAGAAGTTCCTGAGAATGCTTCTGTCTAGATTTTATATGAGGATATCCCGTGTCCAACGAAATCCTCAAAGGTATCAAAATATCCACTTGCAGATTCTACAAAAAGAGTGCTTCAAAACTGCTCTGTCAAAAGGAAGGTTCAACTCTGTTACTTGAGTACACACATCACAAGGAAGTTTCTGAGAATGCTTCTGTCTGGTTTTTAGGAGAAGATATTTCCTTTTTCAACATAGGCCTCAAAGCGCTGCAAATGTCCACTTCCAAATATTAGAAAAAGAGTGTTTCAAACCTGCTGTATGAAGGGAAGTGTTCAACTCTATGAGTTGAATGCAAACATCACAGAGAAGTTTCTGAGAATGCTTCTGTCTTGATTTCATATGAAGATATTCCCGTTTCCAACGAAACCTTCAAAGCTATCCAAATATCCACTTGCAGATTCTACAAAAAGAGTGTTTCCAAAATGTTGTATCAAAAGAAAGGTTCAACTCTGTTAGTTGAGGACACACATCGCAAATAAGTTTCTGAGAATGCTTCTGTCTAGTTTTTATTTGAAGATATTTCCTTTCTCACCACAGGCCTGAAAGCGCTTAAAACGTCCGCTTGCAGATACTACAGAAAGAGTGTTTCAAACCTGATCTATGAAAGGGAATGTTCAGTTCTGTGACTTGAATGCAAACATCACAAAGAAGTTCCTGAGAATGCTTCTCCCTAGATTTTATATGTAATCCCGTTTCCAACGAAATCCGCAAAGCTATCCAAATATCCACTTTCAGATTCCACAAAAAGAGTGTTTCAAAACTGCTCTGTAAAAAGAAAGGTTCATCTCTCTTAGTTGAATACACACATCACAAACAAGTTTCTGAGAATGCTTCTGTCTAGTTTTTATGGGAAGATATTTCGTTTTTCAACATAGGCCTCAAAGCGCTCCAAATGTCCACTTCCAGGTAGTGCAGAAAGAGTGTTTCAAACCTGCTCTATAAAAGGGAACATTCTACTCTGTGACTTGAATGAAGACATCACAAAGCACTTTCTGAGAATGCTTCCGTCTAGATTTTATATGAAGATATTCCCGTTTCCAAGGAAATCTTCCGAGCTATCTAAATATCAACTTGCAGATTCTACTAAAGGAATGTTTCCAAAATGCTGTATCCACACAAAGGTTCAACTCTGTTAATTGAGGACATACAGCACAAAGAAGTTTCTGAGAATGCTTCTGTCTAGATTTTATATGAAGATATCCCGTGTCCAACGAAATCCTCAAAGGTATCAAAATATCCACTTGCAGATTCTACAAAAAGAGTGCTTCAAAACTGCTCTGTCAAAAGGAAGGTTCAACTCTGTTACTTGAGTACACACATCACAAGGAAGTTTCTGAGAATGCTTCTGTCTGGTTTTTAGGAGAAGATATTTCCTTTTTCAACATAGGCCTCAAAGCGCTGCAAATGTCCACTTCCAAATATTAGAAAAAGAGTGTTTCAAACCTGCTGTATGAAGGGAAGTGTTCAACTCTATGAGTTGAATGCAAACATCACAGAGAAGTTTCTGAGAATGCTTCTGTCTTGATTTCATATGAAGATATTCCCGTTTCCAACGAAACCTTCAAAGCTATCCAAATATCCACTTGCAGATTCTACAAAAAGAGTGTTTCCAAAATGTTGTATCAAAAGAAAGGTTCAACTCTGTTAGTTGAGGACACACATCGCAAATAAGTTTCTGAGAATGCTTCTGTCTAGTTTTTATTTGAAGATATTTCCTTTCTCACCACAGGCCTGAAAGCGCTTAAAACGTCCGCTTGCAGATACTACAGAAAGAGTGTTTCAAACATGCTCTATGAAAGGGAATGTTCAGTTCTGTGACTTGAATGCAAACATCACAAAGAAGTTCCTGAGAATGCTTCTCTCTAGATTTTATATGTAATCCCGTTTCCAACGAAATCCTCAAAGCTATCCAAATATCCACTTTCAGATTCCACAAAAAGAGTGTTTCAAAACTGCTCTGTAAAAAGAAAGGTTCATCTCTGTTAGTTGAATACACACATCACAAACAAGTTTCTGAGAATGCTTCTGTCTAGTTTTTATGGGAAGATATTTCCTTTTTCATCATAGGCCTCAAAGCGCTGCAAATGTCCACTTCCAGGTAGTGCAGAAAGAGTGTCTCAAACCTGGTATATAACAGGGAACATTCTACTCTGTGACTTGAATGAAAACATCACAAAGCAGTTTCTGAGAATGCTTCCGTCTAGATTTTATATGAAGATATTCCCGTTTCCAACGAAACCTTCAAAGCTATCCGAATATCCACCTGCAGATTCTACAAAAAGAGTGTTTCCAAAATGCCATATCAAAACAAAGGTTCAACTCTGTTAGTTGAGAACACACATGGCAAATAAGTTTCTGAGAATGCTTCTGTCTAGTTTTTACTTGAAGATATTTCCTTTCTCACCATAGGCCTGAAAGCGCTTGAAACGTCAGCTTGCAGATACTACAGAAAGAGTGTTTCAAACCTGCTCTATGAAAGGGAATGTTCAGTTCTGTGACTTGAATGCAAACATCACAAAGAAGTTCCTGAGAATGCTTCTCTCTAGGTTTTATATGTAATCCCGTTTCCAACGAAATCCTCAAAGCTATCCAAATATCCACTTTCAGATTCCACAAAAAGAGTGTTTCAAAACTGCTCTGTAAAAAGAAAGGTTCATCTCTGTTAGTTGAATACACACATCACAAACAAGTTTCTGAGAATGCTTCTGTCTAGTTTTTATGGGAAGATATTTCCTTTTTCAACATAGGCCTCAAAGCGCTCCAAATGTCCACTTCCAGGTAGTGCAGAAAGAGTGTTTCAAACCTGCTCTATAAAAGGGAACATTCTACTCTGTGACTTGAATGAAGACATCACAAAGCACTTTCTGAGAATGCTTCTGTCTAGATTTTATATGAAGATATTCCCGTTTCCAAGGAAATCTTCCTAGCTATCTAAATATCAACTTGCAGATTCTACTAAAGGAATGTTTCCAAAATGCTGTATCCACACAAAGGTTCAACTCTGTTAATTGAGGACATACAGCACAAAGAAGTTTCTGAGAATGCTTCTGTCTAGATTTTATATGAAGATATCCCGTGTCCAACGAAATCCTCAAAGGTATCAAAATATCCACTTGCAGATTCTACAAAAAGAGTGCTTCAAAACTGCTCTGTCAAAAGGAAGGTTCAACTCTGTTACTTGAGTACACACATCACAAGGAAGTTTCTGAGAATGCTTCTGTCTGGTTTTTAGGAGAAGATATTTCCTTTTTCAACATAGGCCTCAAAGCGCTGCAAATGTCCACTTCCAAATATTAGAAAAAGAGTGTTTCAAACCTGCTGTATGAAGGGAAGTGTTCAACTCTATGAGTTGAATGCAAACATCACAGAGAAGTTTCTGAGAATGCTTCTGTCTTGATTTCATATGAAGATATTCCCGTTTCCAACGAAACCTTCAAAGCTATCCAAATGTCCACTTGCAGATTCTACAAAAAGAGTGTTTCCAAAATGTTGTATCAAAAGAAAGGTTCAACTCTGTTAGTTGAGGACACACATCGCAAATAAGTTTCTGAGAATGCTTCTGTCTAGTTTTTATTTGAAGATATTTCCTTTCTCACCACAGGCCTGAAAGCGCTTAAAACGTCCGCTTGCAGATACTACAGAAAGAGTGTTTCAAACCTGCTCTATGAAAGGGAATGTTCAGTTCTGTGACTTGAATGCAAACATCACAAAGAAGTTCCTGAGAATGCTTCTCCCTAGATTTTATATGTAATCCCGTTTCCAACGAAATCCGCAAAGCTATCCAAATATCCACTTTCAGATTCCACAAAAAGAGTGTTTCAAAACTGCTCTGTAAAAAGAAAGGTTCATCTCTGTTAGTTGAATACACACATCACAAACAAGTTTCTGAGAAGGCTTCTGTCTAGTTTTTATGGGAAGATATTTCCTTTTTCATCATAGGCCTCAAAGCGCTGCAAATGTCCACTTCCAAATATTACAAAAAGAGTGTTTCAAACCTGCTGTATGAAGGGAAGTGTTCAACTCTATGAGTTGAATGCAAACATCACAGAGAAGTTTCTGAGAATGCTTCTGTCTTGATTTTATATGAAGATATTCCCGTTTCCAACGAAACCTTCAAAGCTATTCAAATATCCACTTGCAGATTCTACAAAAAGAGTGTTTCCAAAATGTTGTATCAAAAGAAAGGTTCAACTCTGTTAGTTGAGGACACACATCGCAAATAAGTTTCTGAGAATGCTTCTGTCTAGTTTTTACTTGAAGATATTTCCTTTCTCACCATAGGCCTGAAAGCGTTTGAAATGTCCGTTTGCAGATACTACAGAAAGAGTGTTTCAAACCTGCTCTATGAAAGGGAATGTTCAGTTCTGTGACGTGAATGCAAACATCACAAAGAAGTTCCTGAGAATGCTTCTCTCTAGCATTTTATATGTAATCCCGTTTCCAACGAATTCCTCAAAGCTATCCAAATATCCACTTTCAGATTCCACAAAAAGAGTGTTTCAAAACTGCTCTGTAAAAAGAAAGGTTCATCTCTGTTAGTTGAATACACACATCAAAAACAAGTTTCTGAGAATGCTTCTGTCTAGTTTTTATGGGAAGATATTTCCTTTTTCATCATAGGCCTCAAAGCGCTGCAAATGTCCACTTCCAGGTAGTGCAGAAAGAGTGTCTCAAACCTGGTATATAACAGGGAACATTCTACTCTGTGACTTGAATGAAAACATCACAAAGCAGTTTCTGAGAATGCTTCCGTCTAGATTTTATATGAAGATATTCCCGTTTCCAACGAAACCTTCAAAGCTATCCGAATATCCACCTGCAGATTCTACAAAAAGAGTGTTTCCAAAATGCCATATCAAAACAAAGGTTCAACTCTGTTAGTTGAGAACACACATCGCAAATAAGTTTCTGAGAATGCTTCTGTCTAGTTTTTACTTGAAGATATTTCCTTTCTCACCATAGGCCTGAAAGCGCTTGAAACGTCAGCTTGCAGATACTACAGAAAGAGTGTTTCAAACCTGCTCTATGAAAGGGAATGTTCAGTCCTGTGACTTGAAGGCAAACATCACAAAGAAGTTCCTGAGAATGCTTCTCTCTAGGTTTTATATGTAATCCCGTTTCCAACGAAATCCTCAAAGCTATCCAAATATCCACTTTCAGATTCCACAAAAAGAGTGTTTCAAAACTGCTCTGTAAAAAGAAAGGTTCATCTCTGTTAGTTGAATACACACATCACAAACAAGTTTCTGAGAATGCTTCTGTCTAGTTTTTATGGGAAGATATTTCGTTTTTCAACATAGGCCTCAAAGCGCTCCAAATGTCCACTTCCAGGTAGTGCAGAAAGAGTGTTTCAAACCTGCTCTATAAAAGGGAATATTCAACTCTGTGACTTGAATGCAAACATCACAAAGCACTTTGCTGAGAATGCTTCTGTGTTGATTTTATATGAAGATATTCCCGTTTCCAACGAAACCTTCAAAGCTATCCAAATATCCACTTGCAGATTCTACAAAAAGAGTGGTTCCAAAATGTTGTATCAAAAGAAAGGTTCAACTCTGTTAGCTGAGGACACACATCGCAAATAAGTTTCTGAGAATGCTTCTGTCTAGATTTTATATGAAGATATCCCGTGTCCAACGAAATCCTCAAAGGTATCAAAATATCCACTTGCAGATTCTACAAAAAGAGTGCTTCAAAACTGCTCTGTCAAAAGGAAGGTTCAACTCTGTTACTTGAGTACACACATCACAAGGAAGTTTCTGAGAATGCTTCTGTCTGGTTTTTAGGAGAAGATATTTCCTTTTTCAACATAGGCCTCAAAGCGCTGCAAATGTCCACTTCCAAATATTAGAAAAAGAGTGTTTCAAACCTGCTGTATGAAGGGAAGTGTTCAACTCTATGAGTTGAATGCAAACATCACAGAGAAGTTTCTGAGAATGCTTCTGTCTTGATTTCATATGAAGATATTCCCGTTTCCAACGAAACCTTCAAAGCTATCCAAATATCCACTTGCAGATTCTACAAAAAGAGTGTTTCCAAAATGTTGTATCAAAAGAAAGGTTCAACTCTGTTAGTTGAGGACACACATCGCAAATAAGTTTCTGAGAATGCTTCTGTCTAGTTTTTATTTGAAGATATTTCCTTTCTCACCACAGGCCTGAAAGCGCTTAAAACGTTCGCTTGCAGATACTACAGAAAGAGTGTTTCAAACCTGCTCTATGAAAGGGAATGTTGAGTTCTGTGACTTGAATGCAAACATCATAAAGAAGTTCCTGAGAATGCTTCTCCCTAGATTTTATATGTAATCCCGTTTCCAACGAAATCCGCAAAGCTATCCAAATATCCACTTTCAGATTCCACAAAAAGAGTGTTTCAAAACTGCTCTGTAAAAAGAAAGGTTCATCTCTGTTAGTTGAATACACACATCACAAACAAGTTTCTGAGAATGCTTCTGTCTAGTTTTTATGGGAAGATATTACCTTTTTCATCATAAGCCTCAAAGCGCTGCAAAAGTCCACTTCCAAATATTACAAAAAGAGTGTTTCAAACCTGCTGTATGAAGGGAAGTGTTCAACTCTATGAGTTGAATGCAAACATCACAGAGAAGTTTCTGAGAATGCTTCTGTCTTGATTTTATATGAAGATATTCCCGTTTCCAACGAAACCTTCAAAGCTATTCAAATATCCACTTGCAGATTCTACAAAAAGAGTGTTTCCAAAATGTTGTATCAAAAGAAAGGTTCAACTCTGTTAGTTGAGGACACACATCGCAAATAAGTTTCTGAGAATGCTTCTGTCTAGTTTTTATTTGAAGATATTTCCTTTCTCACCATAGGCCTGAAAGCGTTTGAAATGTCCGCTTGTAGATACTACAGAAAGAGTGTTTCAAACATGCTCTATGAAAGGGAATGTTCAGTTCTGTGACGTGAATGCAAACATCACAAAGAAGTTCCTGAGAATGCTTCTCTCTAGATTTTATATGTAATCCCGTTTCCAACGAAATCCTCAAAGCTATCCAAATATCCACTTTCAGATTCCACAAAAAGAGTGTTTCAAAACTGCTCTGTAAAAAGAAAGGTTCATCTCTGTTAGTTGAATACACACATCACAAACAAGTTTCTGAGAATGCTTCTGTCTAGTTTTTATGGGAAGATATTTCCTTTTTCAACATAGGCCTCAAAGCGCTCCAAACGTCCACTTCCAGGTAGTGCAGAAAGAGTGTCTCAAACCTGGTATATAACAGGGAACATTCTACTCTGTGACTTGAATGAAAACATCACAAAGCAGTTTCTGAGAATGCTTCCGTCTAGATTTTATATGAAGATATTCCCGTTTCCAACGAAACCTTCAAAGCTATCCGAATATCCACCTGCAGATTCTACAAAAAGAGTGTTTCCAAAATGCCATATCAAAACAAAGGTTCAACTCTGTTAGTTGAGAACACACATCGCAAATAAGTTTCTGAGAATGCTTCTGTCTAGTTTTTACTTGAAGATATTTCCTTTCTCACCATAGGCCTGAAAGCGCTTGAAACGTCAGCTTGCAGATACTACAGAAAGAGTGTTTCAAACCTGCTCTATGAAAGGGAATGTTCAGTCCTGTGACTTGAAGGCAAACATCACAAAGAAGTTCCTGAGAATGCTTCTCTCTAGGTTTTATATGTAATCCCGTTTACAACGAAATCCTCAAAGCTATCCAAATATCCACTTTCAGATTCCACAAAAAGAGTGTTTCAAAACTGCTCTGTAAAAAGAAAGGTTCATCTCTGTTAGTTGAATACACACATCACAAACAAGTTTCTGAGAATGCTTCTGTCTAGTTTTTATGGGAAGATATTTCCTTTTTCAACATAGGCCTCAAAGCGCTCCAAATGTCCACTTCCAGGTAGTGCAGAAAGAGTGTTTCAAACCTGCTCTATAAAAGGGAATATTCAACTCTGTGACTTGAATGCAAACATCACAAAGCACTTTCTGAGAATGCTTCCGTCTAGATTTTATATGAAGATATTCCCGTTTCCAACGAAACCTTCAAAGCTATCCGAATATCCACCTGCAGATTCTACAAAAAGAGTGTTTCCAAAATGCCGTATCAAAACAAAGGTTCAACTGCTGTTAGTTGAGAACACACATGGCAAATAAGTTTCTGAGAATGCTTCTGTCTAGTTTTTACTTGAAGATATTTCCTTTCTCACCATAGGCCTGAAAGCGCTTGAAACGTCAGCTTGCAGATACTACAGAAAGAGTGTTTCAAACCTGCTCTATGAAAGGGAATGTTCAGTCCTGTGACTTGAAGGCAAACATCACAAAGAAGTTCCTGAGAATGCTTCTCTCTAGGTTTTATATGTAATCCCGTTTCCAACGAAATCCTCAAAGCTATCCAAATATCCACTTTCAGATTCCACAAAAAGAGTGTTTCAAAACTGCTCTGTAAAAAGAAAGGTTCATCTCTGTTAGTTGAATACACACATCACAAACAAGTTTCTGAGAATGCTTCTGTCTAGTTTTTATGGGAAGATATTTCCTTTTTCAACATAGGCCTCAAAGCGCTCCAAATGTCCACTTCCAGGTAGTGCAGAAAGAGTGTTTCAAACCTGCTCTATAAAAGGGAATATTCAACTCTGTGACTTGAATGCAAACATCACAAAGCACTTTCTGAGAATGCTTCCGTCTAGATTTTATATGAAGATATTCCCGTTTCCAAGGAAATCTTCCTAGCTATCTAAATATCAACTTGCAGATTCTACTAAAGGAATGTTTCCAAAATGCTGTATCGAAACATAGGTTCAACTCTGTTAATTGAGGACATACAGCACAAAGAAGTTTCTGAGAATGCTTCTGTCTAGTTTTTATTTGAAGATATTTCCTTTCTCACCATAGGCCTGAAAGCGTTTGAAATGTCCGTTTGCAGATACTACAGAAAGAGTGTTTCAATATTCTCTATGAAAGGGAATGTTCAGTTCTGTGACGTGAATGCAAACATCACAAAGAAGTTCCTGAGAATGCTTCTGTCTGGTTTTTAGGAGAAGATATTTCCTTTTTCAACATAGGCCTCAAATTGCTGCAAATGTCCACTTCCAAATATTAGAAAAAGAGTGTTTCAAACCTGCTGTATGAAGGGAAGTGTTCAACTCTATGAGTTGAATGCAAACATCACAGAGAAGTTTCTGAGAATGCTTCTGTCTTGATTTCATATGAAGATATTCCCGTTTCCAACGAAACCTTCAAAGCTATCCAAATATCCACTTGCAGATTCTACAAAAAGAGTGTTTCCAAAATGTTGTATCAAAAGAAAGGTTCAACTCTGTTAGTTGAGGACACACATCGCAAATAAGTTTCTGAGAATGCTTCTGTCTAGTTTTTATTTGAAGATATTTCCTTTCTCACCACAGGCCTGAAAGCGCTTAAAACGTCCGCTTGCAGATACTACAGAAAGAGTGTTTCAAACCTGCTCTATGAAACGGAATGTTCAGTTCTGTGACTTGAATGCAAACATCACAAAGAAGTTCCTGAGAATGCTTCTCCCTAGATTTTATATGTAATCCCGTTTCCAACGAAATCCGCAAAGCTATCCAAATATCCACTTTCAGATTCCACAAAAAGAGTGTTTCAAAACTGCTCTGTAAAAAGAAAGGTTCATCTCTGTTAGTTGAATACACACATCACAAACAAGTTTCTGAGAATGCTTCTGTCTAGTTTTTATGGGAAGATATTTCCTTTTTCAACAAAGGCCTCAAAGCGCTCCAAATGTCCACTTCCAGGTAGTGCAGAAAGAGTGTTTCAAACCTGCTCTATAAAAGGGAATATTCAACTCTGTGACTTGAATGCAAACATCACAAAGCACTTTCTGAGAATGCTTCCGTCTAGATTTTATATGAAGATATTCCCGTTTCCAAGGAAATCTTCCTAGCTATCTAAATATCAACTTGCAGATTCTACTAAATGAATGTTTCCAAAATGCTGTATCCACACAAAGGTTCAACTCTGTTAATTGAGGACATACAGCACAAAGAAGTTTCTGAGAATGCTTCTGTCTAGATTTTATATGAAGATATCCCGTGTCCAACGAAATCCTCAAAGGTATCAAAATATCCACTTGCAGATTCTACAAAAAGAGTGCTTCAAAACTGCTCTGTCAAAAGGAAGGTTCAACTCTGTTACTTGAGTACACACATCACAAGGAAGTTTCTGAGAATGCTTCTGTCTGGTTTTTAGGAGAAGATATTTCCTTTTTCAACATAGGCCTCAAAGCGCTGCAAATGTCCACTTCCAAATATTACAAAAAGAGTGTTTCAAACCTGCTGTATGAAGGGAAGTGTTCAACTCTATGAGTTGAATGCAAACATCACAGAGAAGTTTCTGAGAATGCTTCTGTCTTGATTTCATATGAAGATATTCCCGTTTCCAACGAAACCTTCAAAGCTATCCAAATATCCACTTGCAGATTCTACAAAAAGAGTGTTTCCAAAATGTTGTATCAAAAGAAAGGTTCAACTCTGTTAGTTGAGGACACACATCGCAAATAAGTTTCTGAGAATGCTTCTGTCTAGTTTTTATTTGAAGATATTTCCTTTCTCACCATAGGCCTGAAAGCGTTTGAAATGTCCGTTTGCAGATACTACAGAAAGAGTGTTTCAAACATGCTCTATGAAAGGGAATGTTCAGTTCTGTGACGTGAATGCAAACATCACAAAGAAGTTCCTGAGAATGCTTCTCTCTAGATTTTATATGTAATCCCGTTTCCAACGAAATCCTCAAAGCTATCCAAATATCCACTTTCAGATTCCACAAAAAGAGTGTTTCAAAACTGCTCTGTAAAAAGAAAGGTTCATCTCTGTTAGTTGAATACACACATCACAAACAAGTTTCTGAGAATGCTTCTGTCTAGTTTTTATGGGAAGATATTTCCTTTTTCATCATAGGCCTCAAAGAGCTCCAAATGTCCACTTCCAGGTAGTGCAGAAATAGTGTCTCAAACCTGGTATATAACAGGGAACATTCTACTCTGTGACTCGAATGAAAACATCACAAAGCAGTTTCTGAGAATGCTTCCGTCTAGATTTTATATGAAGATATTCCCGTTTCCAACGAAACCTTCAAAGCTATCCGAATATCCACCTGCAGATTCTACAAAAAGAGTGTTTCCAAAATGCCGTATCAAAACAAACGTTCAACTCTGTTAGTTGAGAACACACATCGCAAATAAGTTTCTGAGAATGCTTCTGTCTAGTTTTTACTTGAAGATATTTCCTTTCTCACCATAGGCCTGAAAGCGCTTGAAACGTCAGCTTGCAGATACTACAGAAAGAGTGTTTCAAACCTGCTCTATGAAAGGGAATGTTCAGTTCTGTGACTTGAATGCAAACATCACAAAGAAGTTCCTGAGAATGCTTCTCTCTAGGTTTTATATGTAATCCCGTTTCCAACAAAATCCTCAAAGCCATCCAAATATCCACTTTCAGAATCCACAAAAAGAGTGTTTCAAAACTGCTCTGTAAAAAGAAAGGTTCATCTCTGTTAGTTGAATACACACATCACAAACAAATTTCTGAGAATGCTTTCTGTCTAGTTTTTATGGGAAGATATTTCCTTTTTCAACATAGGCCTCAAAGCGCTCCAAATGTCCACTTCCAGGTAGTGCAGAAAGAGTGTTTCAAACCTGCTCTATAAAAGGGAATATTCAACTCTGTGACTTGAATGCAAACATCACAAAGCACTTTCTGAGAATGCTTCCGTCTAGATTTTATATGAAGATATTCCCGTTTCCAAGGAAATCTTCCTAGCTATCTAAATATCAACTTGCAGATTCTACTAAAGGAATGTTTCCAAAATGCTGTATCCACACAAAGGTTCAACTCTGTTAATTGAGGACATACAGCACAAAGAAGTTTCTGAGAATGCTTCTGTCTAGATTTTATATGAAGATATCCCGTGTCCAACGAAATCCTCAAAGGTATCAAAATATCCACTTGCAGATTCTACAAAAAGAGTGCTTCAAAACTGCTCTGTCAAAAGGAAGGTTCAACTCTGTTACTTGAGTACACACATCACAAGGAAGTTTCTGAGAATGCTTCTGTCTGGTTTTTAGGAGAAGATATTTCCTTTTTCAACATAGGCCTCAAAGCGCTGCAAATGTCCACTTCCAAGTATTACAAAAAGAGTGTTTCAAACCTGCTGTATGAAAGGAAGTGTTCAACTCTATGAGTTGAATGCAAACATCACAGAGAAGTTTCTGAGAATGCTTCTGTCTTGATTTTATATGAAGATATTCCCGTTTCCAACGAAACCTTCAAAGCTATCCAAATATCCACTTGCAGATTCTACAAAAAGAGTGTTTCCAAAATGTTGTATCAAAAGAAAGGTTCAACTCTGTTAGTTGAGGACACACATCGCAAATAAGTTTCTGAGAATGCTTCTGTCTAGTTTTTATTTGAAGATATTTCCTTTCTCACCATAGGCCTGAAAGCGTTTGAAATGTCCGTTTGCAGATACTACAGAAAGAGTGTTTCAAACATGCTCTATGAAAGGGAATGTTCAGTTCTGTGACGTGAATGAAAACATCACAAAGAAGTTCCTGAGAATGCTTCTCTCTAGATTTTATATGTAATCCCGTTTCCAACGAAATCCTCAAAGCTATCCAAATATCCACTTTCAGATTCCACAAAAAGAGTGTTTCAAAACTGCTCTGTAAAAAGAAAGGTTCATCTCTGTTAGTTGAATACACACATCACAAACAAGTTTCTGAGAATGCTTCTGTCTAGTTTTTATGGGAAGATATTTCCTTTTTCAACATAGGCCTCAAAGCGCTCCAAACGTCCACTTCCAGGTAGTGCAGAAAGAGTGTCTCAAACCTGGTATATAACAGGGAACATTCTACTCTGTGACTTGAATGAAAACATCACACAGCAGTTTCTGAGAATGCTTCCGTCTAGATTTTATATGAAGATATTCCCGTTTCCAACGAAACCTTCAAAGCTATCCGAATATCCACCTGCAGATTCTACAAAAAGAGTGTTTCCAAAATGCCATATCAAAACAAAGGTTCAACTCTGTTAGTTGAGAACACACATCGCAAATAAGTTTCTGAGAATGCTTCTGTCTAGTTTTTACTTGCAGAAATTTCCTTTCTCACCGTAGGCCTGAAAGCGCTTGAAACGTCAGCTTGCAGATACTACAGAAAGAGTGTTTCAAACCTGCTCTATGAAAGGGAATGTTCAGTTCTGTGACTTGAATGCAAACATCGCAAAGTAGTTCCTGAGAATGCTTCTCTCTAGGTTTTATATGTAATCCCGTTTCCAACGAAATCCGCAAAGCTATCCAAATATCCACTTTCAGATTCCACAAAAAGAGTGTTTCAAAACTGCTCTGTAAAAAGAAAGGTTCATCTCTGTTAGTTGAATACACACATCACAAACAAGTTTCTGAGAATGCTTCTGTCTAGTTTTTATGGGAAGATATTTCCTTTTTCATCATAGGCCTCAAAGCGCTCCAAATGTCCACTTCCAGGTAGTGCAGAAAGAGTGTCTCAAACCTGGTATATAAAAGGGAACATTCTACTCTGTGACTTGAATGAAAACATCACAAAGCAGTTTACTGAGAATGCTTCCGTCTAGATTTTATATGAAGATATTCCCGTTTCCAAGGAAATCTTCCTAGCTATCTAAATATCAACTTGCAGATTCTACTAAAGGAATGTTTCCAAAATGCTGTATCCACACAATGGTTCAACTCTGTTAATTGAGGACATACAGCACAAAGAAGTTTCTGAGAATGCTTCTGTCTAGATTTTATATGAAGATATCCCGTGTCCAACGAAATCCTCAAAGGTATCAAAATATCCACTTGCAGATTCTACAAAAAGAGTGCTTCAAAACTGCTCTGTCAAAAGGAAGGTTCAACTCTGTTACTTGAGTACACACATCACAAGGAAGTTTCTGAGAATGCTTCTGTCTGGTTTTTAGGAGAAGATATTTCCTTTTTCAACATAGGCCTCAAAGCGCTGCAAATGTCCACTTCCAAATATTAGAAAAAGAGTGTTTCAAACCTGCTGTATGAAGAGAAGTGTTCAACTCTATGAGTTGAATGCAAACATCACAGAGAAGTTTCTGAGAATGCTTCTGTCTTGATTTCATATGAAGATATTCCCGTTTCCAACGAAACCTTCAAAGCTATCCAAATATCCACTTGCAGATTCTACAAAAAGAGTGTTTCCAAAATGTTGTATCAAAAGAAAGGTTCAACTCTGTTAGTTGAGGACACACATCGCAAATAAGTTTCTGAGAATGCTTCTGTCTAGTTTTTATTTGAAGATATTTCCTTTCTCACCACAGGCCTGAAAGCGCTTAAAACGTCCGCTTGCAGATACTACAGAAAGAGTGTTTCAAACCTGCTCTATGAAAGGGAATGTTCAGTTCTGTGACTTGAATGCAAACATCACAAAGAAGTTCCTGAGAATGCTTCTCCCTAGATTTTATATGTAATCCCGTTTCCAACGAAATCCGCAAAGCTATCCAAATATCCACTTTCAGATTCCACAAAAAGAGTGTTTCAAAACTGCTCTGTAAAAAGAAAGGTTCATCTCTGTTAGTTGAATACACACATCACAAACAAGTTTCTGAGAATTCTTCTGTCTAGTTTTTATTGGAAGATATTTCCTTTTTCATCATAGGCCTCAAAGCGCTGCAAATGTCCACTTCCAAATATTACAAAAAGAGTGTTTCAAACCTGCTGTATGAAGGGAAGTGTTCAACTCTATGAGTTGAATGCAAACATCACAGAGAAGTTTCTGAGAATGCTTCTGTCTTGATTTTATATGAAGATATTCCCGTTTCCAACGAAACCTTCAAAGCTATCCAAATATCCCCTTACAGATTCCACAAAAAGAGTGTTTCCAAAATGTTGTATGAAAAGAAAGGTTCAACTCTGTTAGTTGAGGACACACATCGCAAATAAGTTTCTGAGAATGCTTCTGTCTAGTTTTTATTTGAAGATATTTCCTTTCTCACCATAGGCCTGAAAGCGTTTGAAATGTCCGTTTGCAGATACTACAGAAAGAGTGTTTCAAACATGCTCTATGAAAGGGAATGTTCAGTTCTGTGACGTGAATGCAAACATCACAAAGAAGTTCCTGAGAATGCTTCTCTCTAGGTTTTATATGTAATCCCGTTTCCAACGAAATCCTCAAAGCTATCCAAATATCCACTTTCAGATTCCACAAAAAGAGTGTTTCAAAACTGCTCTGTAAAAAGAAAGGTTCATCTCTGTTAGTTGAATACACACATCACAAACAAGTTTCTGAGAATGCTTCTGTCTAGTTTTTATGGGAAGATATTTCCTTTTTCATCATAGGCCTCAAAGCGCTGCAAATGTCCACTTCCAGGTAGTGCAGAAAGAGTGTCTGAAACCTGGTATATAACAGGGAAGATTCTACTCTGTGACTTGAATGAAAACATCACAAAGCAGTTTCTGAGAATGCTTCCGTCTAGATTTTATATGAAGATATTCCCGTTTCCAACGAAACCTTCAAAGCTATCCGAATATCCACCTGCAGATTCTACAAAAAGAGTGTTTCCAAAATGCCGTATCAAAACAAAGGTTCAACTCTGTTAGTTGAGAACACACATGGCAAATAAGTTTCTGAGAATGCTTCTGTCTTGTTTTTATTTGAAGATATTTCCTTTCTCACCATAGGCCTGAAAGCGTTTGAAATGTCCGTTTGCAGATACTACAGAAAGAGTGTTTCAAACATGCTCTATGAAAGGGAATGTTCAGTTCTGTGACGTGAATGCAAACATCACAAAGAAGTTCCTGAGAATGCTTCTCTCTAGATTTTATATGTAATCCCGTTTCCAACGAAATCCTCAAAGCTATACAAATATCCACTTTCAGATTCCACAAAAAGAGTGTTTCAAAACTACTCTGTAAAAAGAAAGGTTCATCTCTGTTAGTTGAATACACACATCACAAACAAGTTTCTGAGAATGCTTCTGTCTTGTTTTTATGGGAAGATATTTCCTTTTTCATCATAGGCCTCAAAGCGCTCCAAATGTCCACTTCCAGGTAGTGCAGAAAGAGTGTCTCAAACCTGGTATATAACAGGGAACATTCTACTCTGTGAGTTGAATGAAAACATCACAAAGCAGTTTCTGAGAATGCTTCCGTCTAGATTTTATATGAAGATATTCCCGTTTCCAACGAAACCTTCAAAGCTATCCGAATATCCACCTGCAGATTCTACAAAAAGAGTGTTTCCAAAATGCCGTATCAAAACAAAGGTTCAACTCTGTTAGTTGAGAACACACATGGCAAATAAGTTTCTGAGAATGCTTCTGTCTAGTTTTTAGTTGAAGATATTTCCTTTCTCACCATAGGCCTGAAAGCGCTTGAAACGTCAGCTTGCAGATACTACAGAAAGAGTGTTTCAAACCTGCTCTATGAAAGGGAATGTTCAGTTCTGTGACTTGAATGCAAACATCACAAAGAAGTTCCTGAGAATGCTTCTCTCTAGGTTTTATATGTAATCCCGTTTCCAACGAAATCCTCAAAGCTATCCAAATATCCACTTTCAGATTCCACAAAAAGAGTGTTTCAAAACTGCTCTGTAAAAAGAAAGGTTCATCTCTGTTAGTTGAATACACACATCACAAACAAGTTTCTGAGAATGCTTCTGTCTAGTTTTTACGGGAAGATATTACCTTTTTCATCATAGGCCTCAAAGAGCTGCAAATGTCCACTTCCAAATATTACAAAAAGAGTGTTTCAAACCTGCTGTATGAAGGGAAGTGTTCAACTCTATGAGTTGAATGCAAACATCACAGAGAAGTTTCTGAGAATGCTTCTGTCTTGATTTTATATGAAGATATTCCCGTTTCCAACGAAACCTTCAAAGCTATTCAAATATCCACTTGCAGATTCTACAAAAAGAGTGTTTCCAAAATGTTGTATCAAAAGAAAGGTTCAACTCTGTTAGTTGAGGACACACATCGCAAATAAGTTTCTGAGAATGCTTCTGTCTAGTTTTTATTTGAAGATATTTCCTTTCTCACCATAGGCCTGAAAGCGTTTGAAATGTCCGTTTGCAGATACTACAGAAAGAGTGTTTCAAACATGCTCTATGAAAGGGAATGTTCAGTTCTGTGACGTGAATGCAAACATCACAAAGAAGTTCCTGAGAATGCTTCTCTCTAGATTTTATATGTAATCCCGTTTCCAACGAAATCCTCAAAGCTATCCAAATATCCACTTTCAGATTCCACAAAAAGAGTGTTTCAAAACTGCTCTGTAAAAAGAAAGGTTCATCTCTGTTAGTTGAATACACACATCACAAACAAGTTTCTGAGAATGCTTCTGTCTAGTTTTTATGGGAAGATATTTCCTTTTTCAACATAGGCCTCAAAGCGCTCCAAACGTCCACTTCCAGGTAGTGCAGAAAGAGTGTCTCAAACCTGGTGTATAACAGGGAACATTCTACTCTGTGACTTGAATGAAAACATCACAAAGCAGTTTCTGAGAATGCTTCCGTCTAGATTTTATATGAAGATATTCCCGTTTCCAACGAAACCTTCAAAGCTATCCGAATATCCACCTGCAGATTCTACAAAAAGAGTGTTTCCAAAATGCCGTATCAAAACAAAGGTTCAACTCTGTTAGTTGAGAACACACATGGCAAAGAAGTTTCTGAGAATGCTTCTGTCTAGTTTTTACTTGAAGATATTTCCTTTCTCACCATAGGCCTGAAAGCGCTTGAAACGTCAGCTTGCAGATACTACAGAAAGAGTGTTTCAAACCTGCTCTATGAAAGGGAATGTTCAGTCCTGTGACTTGAAGGCAAACATCACAAAGAAGTTCCTGAGAATGCTTCTCTCTAGGTTTTATATGTAATCCCGTTTCCAACGAAATCCTCAAAGCTATCCAAATATCCACTTTCAGATTCCACAAAAAGAGTGTTTCAAAACTGCTCTGTAAAAAGAAAGGTTCATCTCTGTTAGTTGAATACACACATCACAAACAAGTTTCTGAGAATGCTTCTGTCTAGTTTTTAGGGGAAGATATTTCCTTTTTCAACATAGGCCTCAAAGCGCTCCAAATGTCCACTTCCAGGTAGTGCAGAAAGAGTGTTTCAAACCTGCTCTATAAAACGGAATATTCAACTCTGTGACTTGAATGCAAACATCACAAAGCACTTTCTGAGAATGCTTCCGTCTAGATTTTATATGAAGATATTCCCGTTTCCAAGGAAATCTTCCTAGCTATCTAAATATCAACTTGCAGATTCTACTAAAGGAATGTTTCCAAAATGCTGTATCCACACAAAGGTTCAACTCTGTTAATTGAGGACATACAGCACAAAGAAGTTTCTGAGAATGCTTCTGTCTAGATTTTATATGAGGATATCCCGTGTCCAACGAAATCCTCAAAGGTATCAAAATATCCACTTGCAGATTCTACAAAAAGAGTGCTTCAAAACTGCTCTGTCAAAAGGAAGGTTCAACTCTGTTACTTGAGTACACACATCACAAGGAAGTTTCTGAGAATGCTTCTGTCTGGTTTTTAGGAGAAGATATTTCCTTTTTCAACATAGGCCTCAAAGCGCTGCAAATGTCCACTTCCAAATATTAGAAAAAGAGTGTTTCAAACCTGCTGTATGAAGGGAAGTGTTCAACTCTATGAGTTGAATGCAAACATCACAGAGAAGTTTCTGAGAATGCTTCCGTCTAGATTTTATATGAAGATATTCCCGTTTCCAAGGAAATCTTCCTAGCAATCTAAATATCAACTTGCAGATTCTACTAAAGGAATGTTTCCAAAATGCTGTATCCACACAAAGGTTCAACTCTGTTAATTGAGGACATACAGCACAAAGAAGTTTCTGAGAATGCTTCTGTCTAGTTTTTATTTAAAGATATTTCCTTTCTCACCACAGGCCTGAAAGCGCTTAAAACGTCCGCTTGCAGATACTACAGAAAGAGTGTTTCAAACCTGCTCTATGAAAGGGAATGTTCAGTTCTGTGACTTGAATGCAAACATCACAAAGAAGTTCCTGAGAATGCTTCTCCCTAGATTTTATATGTAATCCCGTTTCCAACGAAATCCGCAAAGCTATCCAAATATCCACTTTCAGATTCCACAAAAAGAGTGTTTCAAAACTGCTCTGTAAAAAGAAAGGTTCATCTCTGTTAGTTGAATACACACATCACAAACAAGTTTCTGAGAATGCTTCTGTCTAGTTTTTATGGGAAGATATTACCTTTTTCATCATAGGCCTCAAAGCGCTGCAAATGTCCACTTCCAAATATTACAAAAAGAGTGTTTCAAACCTGCTGTATGAAGGGAAGCATTCAACTCTATGAGTTGAATGCAAACATCACAGAGAAGTTTCTGAGAATGCTTCTGTCTTGATTTTATATGAAGATATTCCCGTTTCCAACGAAACCTTCAAAGCTATCCAAATATCCACTTGCAGATTCTACAAAAAGAGTGTTTCCAAAATGTTGTATCAAAAGAAAGGTTCAACTCTGTTAGTTGAGGACACACATCGCAAATAAGTTTCTGAGAATGCTTCTGTCTAGTTTTTATTTGAAGATATTTCCTTTCTCACCATAGGCCTGAAAGCGTTTGAAATGTCCGTTTGCAGATACTACAGAAAGAGTGTTTCAAACATGCTCTATGAAAGGGAATGTTCAGTTCTGTGACTTGAATGCAAACATCACAAAGAAGTTCCTGAGAATGCTTCTCTCTAGGTTTTATATGTAATCCCGTTTCCAACGAAATCCTCAAAGCTATCCAAATATCCACTTTCAGATTCCACAAAAAGAGTGTTTCAAAACTGCTCTGTAAAAAGAAAGGTTCATCTCTGTTAGTTGAATACACACATCACAAACAAGTTTCTGAGAATGCTTCTGTCTAGTTTTTATGGGAAGATATTTCCTTTTTCAACATAGGCCTCAAAGCGCTCCAAACGTCCACTTCCAGGTAGTGCAGAAAGAGTGTCTCAAACCTGGTATATAACAGGGAACATTCTACTCTGTGACTTGAATGAAAACATCACAAAGCAGTTTCTGAGAATGCTTCCGTCTAGATTTTATATGAAGATATTCCCGTTTCCAACGAAACCTTCAAAGCTATCCGAATATCCACCTGCAGATTCTACAAAAAGAGTGTTTCCAAAATGCCATATCAAAACAAAGGTTCAACTCTGTTAGTTGAGAACACACATCGCAAATAAGTTTCTGAGAATGCTTCTGTCTAGTTTTTACTTGAAGATATTTCCTTTCTCACCATAGGCCTGAAAGCGCTTGAAACGTCAGCTTGCAGATACTACAGAAAGAGTGTTTCAAACCTGCTCTATGAAAGGGAATGTTCAGTTCTGTGACTTGAATGCAAACATCGCAAAGAAGTTCCTGAGAATGCTTCTCTCTAGGTTTTATATGTAATCCCGTTTCCAACAAAATCCTCAAAGCTATCCAAATATCCACTTTCAGATGCCACAAAAAGAGTGTTTCAAAACTGCTCTGTAAAAAGAAAGGTTCATCTCTGTTAGTTGAATACACACATCACAAACAAGTTTCTGAGAATGCTTCTGTCTAGTTTTTATGGGAAGATATTACCTTTTTCATCATAGGCCTCAAAGCGCTGCAAATGTCCACTTCCAAATATTACAAAAAGAGTGTTTCAAACCTGCTGTATGAAGGGAAGTGTTCAACTCTATGAGTTGAATGCAAACATCACAGAGAAGTTTCTGAGAATGCTTCTGTCTTGATTTTATATGAAGATATTCCCGTTTCCAACGAAACCTTCAAAGCTATTCAAATATCCACTTGCAGATTCTACAAAAAGAGTGTTTCCAAAATGTTGTATCAAAAGAAAGGTTCAACTCTGTTAGTTGATGACACACATCGCAAATAAGTTTCTGAGAATGCTTCTGTCTAGTTTTTATTTGAAGATATTTCCTTTCTCACCATAGGCCTGAAAGCGTTTGAAATGTCCGTTTGCAGATACTACAGAAAGAGTGTTTCAAACATGCTCTATGAAAGGGAATGTTCAGTTCTGTGACGTGAATGCAAACATCACAAAGAAGTTCCTGAGAATGCTTCTCTCTAGGTTTTATATGTAATCCCGTTTCCAACGAAATCCTCAAAGCTATCCAAATATCCACTTTCAGATTCCACAAAAAGAGTGTTTCAAAACTGCTCTGTAAAAAGAAAGGTTCATCTCTGTTAGTTGAATACACACATCACAAACAAGTTTCTGAGAATGCTTCTGTCTAGTTTTTATGGGAAGATATTTCCTTTTTCAACATAGGCCTCAAAGCGCTCCAAATGTCCACTTCCAGGTAGTGCAGAAAGAGTGTTTCAAACCTGCTCTATAAAAGGGAATATTCAACTCTGTGACTTGAATGCAAACATCACAAAGCACTTTCTGAGAATGCTTCCGTCTAGATTTTATATGAAGATATTCCCGTTTCCAAGGAAATCTTCCTAGCTATCTAAATATCAACTTGCAGATTCTACTAAAGGAATGTTTCCAAAATGCTGTATCCACACAAAGGTTCAACTCTGTTAATTGAGGACATACAGCACAAAGAAGTTTTTGAGAATGCTTCTGTCTAGATTTTATATGAAGATATCCCGTGTCCAACGAAATCCTCAAAGGTATCAAAATATCCACTTGCAGATTCTACAAAAAGAGTGCTTCAAAACTGCTCTGTCAAAAGGAAGGTTCAACTCTGTTACTTGAGTACACACATCACAAGGAAGTTTCTGAGAATGCTTCTGTCTGGTTTTTAGGAGAAGATATTTCCTTTTTCAACATAGGCCTCAAAGCGCTGCAAATGTCCACTTCCAAATATTAGAAAAAGAGTGTTTCAAACCTGCTGTATGAAGGGAAGTGTTCAACTCTATGAGTTGAATGCAAACATCACAGAGAAGTTTCTGAGAATGCTTCTGTCTTGATTTCATATGAAGATATTCCCGTTTCCAACGAAACCTTCAAAGCTATCCAAATATCCACTTGCAGATTCTACAAAAAGAGTGTTTCCAAAATGTTGTATCAAAAGAAAGGTTCAACTCTGTTAGTTGAGGACACACATCGCAAATAAGTTTCTGAGAATGCTTCTGTCTAGTTTTTATTTGAAGATATTTCCTTTCTCACCACAGGCCTGAAAGCGCTTAAAACGTCCGCTTGCAGATACTACAGAAAGAGTGTTTCAAACCTGCTCTATGAAAGGGAATGTTCAGTTCTGTGACTTGAATGCAAACATCACAAAGAAGTTCCTGAGAATGCTTCTCCCTAGATTTTATATGTAATCCCGTTTCCAACGAAATCCGCAAAGCTATCCAAATATCCACTTTCAGATTCCACAAAAAGAGTGTTTCAAAACTGCTCTGTAAAAAGAAAGGTTCATCTCTGTTAGTTGAATACACACATCACAAACAAGTTTCTGAGAATGCTTCTGTCTAGTTTTTATGGGAAGATATTTCCTTTTTCATCATAGGCCTCAAATCGCTGCAAATGTCCACTTCCAAATATTACAAAAAGAGTGTTTCAAACCTGCTGTATGAAGGGAAGTGTTCAACTCTATGAGTTGAA
Source organism: Homo sapiens (assembly GCF_000001405.40). Taxonomy (NCBI): domain Eukaryota; kingdom Metazoa; phylum Chordata; class Mammalia; order Primates; family Hominidae; genus Homo; species Homo sapiens. Next base: position 43,887,118 of record NC_000009.12, on the reverse strand, counting down.
TGCAAACATCACAGAGAAGTTTCTGAGAATGCTTCTGTCTTGATTTTATATGAAGATATTCCCGTTTCCAACGAAACCTTCAAAGCTATTCAAATATCCACTTGCTGATTCTACAAAAAGAGTGTTTCCAAAATGTTGTATCAAAAGAAAGGTTCAACTCTGTTAGTTGAGGACACACATCGCAAATAAGTTTCTGAGAATGCTTCTGTCTAGTTTTTACTTGAAGATATTTCCTTTCTCACCATAGGCCTGAAAGCGCTTGAAACGTCCGTTTGCAGATACTACAGAAAGAGTGTTTCAAACCTGCTCTATGAAAGGGAATGTTCAGTCCTGTGACTTGAAGGCAAACATCACAAAGAAGTTCCTGAGAATGCTTCTCTCTAGGTTTTATATGTAATCCCGTTTCCAACGAAATCCTCAAAGCTATCCAAATATCCACTTTCAGATTCCACAAAAAGAGTGTTTCAAAACTGCTCTGTAAAAAGAAAGGTTCATCTCTGTTAGTTGAATACACACATCACAAACAAGTTTCTGAGAATGCTTCTGTCTAGTTTTTATGGGAAGATATTTCCTTTTTCAACATAGGCCTCAAAGCGCTCCAAATGTCCACTTCCAGGTAGTGCAGAAAGAGTGTTTCAAACCTGCTCTATAAAAGGGAATATTCAACTCTGTGACTTGAATGCAAACATCACAAAGCACTTTCTGAGAATGCTTCCGTCTAGATTTTATATGAAGATATTCCCGTTTCCAAGGAAATCTTCCTAGCTATCTAAATATCAACTTGCAGATTCTACTAAAGGAATATTTCCAAAATGCTGTATCCACACAAAGGTTCAACTCTGTTAATTGAGGACATACAGCACAAAGAAGTTTCTGAGAATGCTTCTAGTCTAGATTTTATATGAAGATATCCCGTGTCCAACGAAATCCTCAAAGGTATCAAAATATCCACTTGCAGATTCTACAAAAAGAGTGCTTCAAAACTGCTCTGTCAAAAGGAAGGTTCAACTCTGTTACTTGAGTACACACATCACAAGGAAGTTTCTGAGAATGCTTCTGTCTGGTTTTTAGGAGAAGATATTTCCTTTTTCAACATAGGCCTCAAAGCGCTGCAAATGTCCACTTCCAAATATTACAAAAAGAGTGTTTCAAACCTGCTGTATGAAGGGAAGTGTTCAACTCTATGAGTTGAATGCAAACATCACAGAGAAGTTTCTGAGAATGCTTCTGTCTTGATTTCATATGAAGATATTCCCGTTTCCAACGAAACCTTCAAAGCTATCCAAATATCCACTTGCAGATTCTACAAAAAGAGTGTTTCCAAAATGTTGTATCAAAAGAAAGGTTCAACTCTGTTAGTTGAGGACACACATCGCAAATAAGTTTCTGAGAATGCTTCTGTCTAGTTTTTATTTGAAGATATTTCCTTTCTCACCATAGGCCTGAAAGCGTTTGAAATGTCCGTTTGCAGATACTACAGAAAGAGTGTTTCAAACATGCTCTATGAAAGGGAATGTTCAGTTCTGTGACGTGAATGCAAACATCACAAAGAAGTTCCTGAGAATGCTTCTCTCTAGATTTTATATGTAATCGCGTTTCCAACGAAATCCTCAAAGCTATCCAAATATCCACTTTCAGATTCCACAAAAAGAGTGTTTCAAAACTGCTCTGTAAAAAGAAAGGTTCATCTCTGTTAGTTGAATACACACATCACAAACAAGTTTCTGAGAATGCTTCTGTCTAGTTTTTATGGGAAGATATTTCCTTTTTCATCATAGGCCTCAAAGCGCTCCAAATGTCCACTTCCAGGTAGTGCAGAAAGAGTGTCTCAAACCTGGTATATAACAGGGAACATTCTACTCTGTGACTTGAATGAAAACATCACAAAGCAGTTTCTGAGAATGCTTCCGTCTAGATTTTATATGAAGATACTCCCGTTTCCAACGAAACCTTCAAAGATATCCGAATATCCACCTGCAGATTCTACAAAAAGAGTGTTTCCAAAATGCCATATCAAAACAAAGGTTCAACTCTGTTAGTTGAGAACACACATCGCAAATAAGTTTCTGAGAATGCTTCTGTCTAGTTTTTACTTGAAGATATTTCCTTTCTCACCATAGGCCTGAAAGCGCTTGAAACGTCAGCTTGCAGATACTACAGAAAGAGTGTTTCAAACCTGCTCTATGAAAGGGAATGTTCAGTTCTGTGACTTGAATGCAAACATCACAAAGAAGTTCCTGAGAATGCTTCTCTCTAGGTTTTATATGTAATCCCGTTTCCAACGAAATCCTCAAAGCTATCCAAATATCCACTTTCAGATTCCACAAAAAGAGTGTTTCAAAACTGCTCTGTAAAAAGAAAGGTTCATCTCTGTTAGTTGAATACACACATCACAAACAAGTTTCTGAGAATGCTTCTGTCTAGTTTTTATGGGAAGATATTTCGTTTTTCAACATAGGCCTCAAAGCGCTCCAAATGTCCACTTCCAGGTAGTGCAGAAAGAGTGTTTCAAACCTGCTCTATAAAAGGGAATATTCAACTCTGTGACTTGAATGCAAACATCACAAAGCACTTTCTGAGAATGCTTCCGTTTAGATTTTATATGAAGATATTCCCGTTTCCAAGGAAATCTTCCTAGCTATCTAAATATCAACTTGCAGATTCTACTAAAGGAATGTTTCCAAAATGCTGTATCCAGACAAAGGTTCAACTCTGTTAATTGAGGACATACAGCACAAAGAAGTTTCTGAGAATGCTTCTGTCTAGATTTTATATGAAGATATCCCGTGTCCAACGAAATCCTCAAAGGTATCAAAATATCCACTTGCAGATTCTACAAAAAGAGTGCTTCAAAACTGCTCTGTCAAAAGGAAGGTTCAACTCTGTTACTTGAGTACACACATCACAAGGAAGTTTCTGAGAATGCTTCTGTCTGGTTTTTAGGAGAAGATATTTCCTTTTTCAACATAGGCCTCAAAGCGCTGCAAATGTCCACTTCCAAATATTACAAAAAGAGTGTTTCAAACCTGCTGTATGAAGGGAAGTGTTCAACTCTATGAGTTGAATGCAAACATCACAGAGAAGTTTCTGAGAATGCTTCTGTCTTGATTTCATATGAAGATATTCCCGTTTCCAACGAAACCTTCAAAGCTATCCAAATATCCACTTGCAGATTCTACAAAAAGAGTGTTTCCAAAATGTTGTATCAAAAGAAAGGTTCAACTCTGTTAGTTGAGGACACACATCGCAAATAAGTTTCTGAGAATGCTTCTGTCTAGTTTTTATTTGAAGATATTTCCTTTCTCACCACAGGCCTGAAAGCGCTTAAAACGTCCGCTTGCAGATACTACAGAAAGAGTGTTTCAAACCTGCTCTATGAAAGGGAATGTTCAGTTCTGTGACTTGAATGCAAACATCACAAAGAAGTTCCTGAGAATGCTTCTCCCTAGATTTTATATGTAATCCCGTTTCCAACGAAATCCGCAAAGCTATCCAAATATCCACTTTCAGATTCCACAAAAAGAGTGTTTCAAAACTGCTCTGTAAAAAGAAAGGTTCATCTCTGTTAGTTGAATACACACATCACAAACAAGTTTCTGAGAATGCTTCTGTCTAGTTTTTATGGGAAGATATTTCCTTTTTCATCATAGGCCTCAAAGCGCTGCAAATGTCCACTTCCAAATATTACAAAAAGAGTGTTTCAAACCTGCTGTATGAAGGGAAGTGTTCAACTCTATGAGTTGAATGCAAACATCACAGAGAAGTTTCTGAGAATGCTTCTGTCTTGATTTTATATGAAGATATTCCCGTTTCCAACGAAACCTTCAAAGCTATTCAAATATCCACTTGCAGATTCTACAAAAAGAGTGGTTCCAAAATGTTGAATCAAAAGAAAGGTTCAACTCTGATAGTTGAGGACACACATCGCAAATAAGTTTCTGAGAATGCTTCTGTCTAGTTTTTATTTGAAGATATTTCCTTTCTCACCATAGGCCTGAAAGCGTTTGAAATGTCCGCTTGCAGATACTACAGAAAGAGTGTTTCAAACATGCTCTATGAAAGGGAATGTTCAGTTCTGTGACGTGAATGCAAACATCACAAAGAAGTTCCTGAGAATGCTTCTCTCTAGATTTTATATGTAATCCCGTTTCCAACGAAATCCTCAAAGCTATCCAAATATCCACTTTCAGATTCCACAAAAAGAGTGTTTCAAAACTGCTCTGTAAAAAGAAAGGTTCATCTCTGTTAGTTGAATACACACATCACAAACAAGTTTCTGAGAATGCTTCTGTCTAGTTTTTATGGGAAGATATTTCCTTTTTCAACATAGGCCTCAAAGCGCTCCAAACGTCCACTTCCAGGTAGTGCAGAAAGAGTGTCTCAAACCTGGTATATAACAGGGAACATTCTACTCTGTGACTTGAATGAAAACATCACAAAGCAGTTTCTGAGAATGCTTCCGTCTAGATTTTATGTGAAGATATTCCCGTTTCCAAGGAAATCTTCCTAGCTATCTAAATATCAACTTGCAGATTCTACTAAAGGAATATTTCCAAAATGCTGTATCCACACAAAGGTTCAACTCTGTTAATTGAGGACATACAGCACAAAGAAGTTTCTGAGAATGCTTCTGTCTAGATTTTATATGAAGATATCCCGTGTCCAACGAAATCCTCAAAGGTATCAAAATATCCACTTGTAGATTCTACAAAAAGAGTGCTTCAAAACTGCTCTGTCAAAATGAAGGTTCAACTCTGTTACTTGAGTACACACATCACAAGAAAGATTCTGAGAATGCTTCTGTCTGTTTTTTAGGAGAAGATATCTCCTTTTTCACCACAGGCTTCAAAGCGCTGCCAATGTCCACTTCCAAATATTACAAAAAGAGTATTTCAAACCAGCTCTATGAAAGGAAGTGTTCAACTCTATGAGTTCAATGCAAACATCACAGAGAAGTTTCTGAGAAGGCTTCTGTGTTGATTTTATATGAAGATATTCCCGTTTCCAACGAAACCTTCAAATCTATCCAAATATCCACCTGCAGATCCTACAAAAAGAGTGTTTCCAAAATGCTGTATCAAAACAAAGGTTCAACTCTGTTAGTTGAGAACACCCATCGCAAATAAGTTTCTGAGAATGCTTCTGTCTAGTTTTTATTTGAAGATATTTCCTTTTTCACCACAGGCCTGAAAGCGCTTGAAACGTCCGCTTGCAGATACTACAGAAAGAGTGTTTCAAACCTGCTCTATGAAAGGGAATGTTCAGTTCTGTGACTTGAATGCAAACATCACAAAGAAGTTCCTGAGAATGCTTCTGTCTAGATTTTATATGAAGATATCCCGTTTCCAAAGAAATCCTCAAAGGTATCCAAATATCTACTTCCAGATTCTACAAAAAGACTGTTTCAAAACGGCTCTGTCAAAAGTAAGGTTCAACTCTGTTACTTGAGTACACACATCACAAGGAAGTTTCTGAGAATGCTTCTGTCTGCTTTTTAGGAGAAGATATTTCCTTTTTCAACATAGGCCTCAAAGCGCTGCAAATGTCCACTTCCAAATATTACAAAAAGAGTGTTTCAAACCTGCTCTATGAAGGGAAGTGTTCAACTCTATGAGTTGAATGCAAACATCACAGAGAAGTTTCTGAGAATGCTTCTGTCTTGATTTTATATGAAGATATTCCCGTTTCCAACGAAACCTTCAAAGCTATCCAAATATCCACTTGCAGATTCTACAAAAAGAGTGTTTCCAAAATGTTGTATCAAAAGAAAGGTTCAACTCTGTTAGTTGAGGACACACATCGCAAATAAGTTTCTGAGAATGCTTCTGTCTAGTTTTTATTTGAAGATATTTCCTTTCTCACCATAGGCCTGAAAGCGTTTGAAATGTCCGTTTGCAGATACTACAGAAAGAGTGTTTCAAACATGCTCTATGAAAGGGAATGTTCAGTTCTGTGACGTGAATGCAAACATCACAAAGAAGTTCCTGAGAATGCTTCTCTCTAGCATTTTATATGTAATCCCGTTTCCAACGAAATCCTCAAAGCTATCCAAATATCCACTCTCAGATTCCACAAAAAGAGTGTTTCAAAACTGCTCTGTAAAAAGAAAGGTTCATCTCTGTTAGTTGAATACACACATCACAAACAAGTTTCTGAGAATGCTTCTGTCTAGTTTTTATGGGAAGATATTTCCTTTTTCAACATAGGCCTCAAAGCGCTCCAAACGTCCACTTCCAGGTAGTGCAGAAAGAGTGTCTCAAACCTGGTATATAACAGGGAACATTCTACTCTGTGACTTGAATGAAAACATCACAAAGCAGTTTCTGAGAATGCTTCCGTCTAGATTTTATATGAAGATATTCCCGTTTCCAACGAAACCTTCAAAGCTATCCGAATATCCACCTGCAGATTCTACAAAAAGAGTGTTTCCAAAATGCTATATCAAAACAAAGGTTCAACTCTGTTAGTTGAGAACACACATCGCAAATAAGTTTCTGAGAATGCTTCTGTCTAGTTTTTACTTGAAGATATTTCCTTTCTCACCATAGGCCTGAAAGCGCTTGAAACGTCAGCTTGCAGATACTACGGAAAGAGTGTTTCAAACCTGCTCTATGAAAGGGAATGTTCAGTTCTGTGACTTGAATGCAAACATCACAAAGAAGTTCCTGAGAATGCTTCTCTCTAGGTTTTATATGTAATCCCGTTTCCAACGAAATCCTCAAAGCTATCCAAATATCCACTTTCAGATTCCACAAAAAGAGTGTTTCAAAACTGCTCTGTAAAAAGAAAGGTTCATCTCTGTTAGTTGAATACACACATCACAAACAAGTTTCTGAGAATGCTTCTGTCTAGTTTTTATGGGAAGATATTTCCTTTTTCAACATAGGCCTCAAAGCGCTCCAAATGTCCACTTCCAGGTAGTGCAGAAAGAATGTTTCAAACCTGCTCTATAAAAGGGAATATTCAACTCTGTGACTTGAATGCAAACATCACAAAGCACTTTCTGAGAATGCTTCTGTCTTGATTTCATATGAAGATATTCCCGTTTCCAACGAAACCTTCAAAGCTATCCAAATATCCACTTGCACATTCTACAAAAAGAGTGTTTCCAAAATGTTGTATCAAAAGAAAGGTTCAACTCTGTTAGTTGAGGACACACATCGCAAATAAGTTTCTGAGAATGCTTCTGTCTAGTTTTTACTTGAAGATATTTCCTTTCTCACCATAGGCCTGAAAGCGCTTGAAACGTCAGCTTGCAGATACTACAGAAAGAGTGTTTCAAACCTGCTCTATGAAAGGGAATGTTCAGTCCTGTGACTTGAAGGCCAACATCACAAAGAAGTTCCTGAGAATGCTTCTCTCTAGGTTTTATATGTAATCCCGTTTCCAACGAAATCCTCAGAGGTATCAAAATATCCACTTGCAGATTCTACAAAAAGAGTGCTTCAAAACTGCTCTGTCAAAAGGAAGGTTCAACTCTGTTACTTGAGTACACACATCACAAGGAAGTTTCTGAGAATGCTTCTGTCTGGTTTTTAGGAGAAGATATTTCCTTTTTCAACATAGGCCTCAAAGCGCTGCAAATGTCCACTTCCAAATATTACAAAAAGAGTGTTTCAAACCTGCTGTATGAAGGGAAGTGTTCAACTCTATGAGTTGAATGCAAACATCACAGAGAAGTTTCTGAGAATGCTTCTGTCTTGATTTCATATGAAGATATTCCCGTTTCCAACGAAACTTTCAAAGCTATCCAAATATCCACTTGCAGATTCTACAAAAAGAGTGTTTCCAAAATGTTGTATCAAAAGAAAGGTTCAACTCTGTTAGTTGAGGACACACATCGCAAATAAGTTTCTGAGAATGCTTCTGTCTAGTTTTTATTTGAAGATATTTCCTTTCTCACCACAGGCCTGAAAGCGCTTAAAACGTCCGCTTGCAGATACTACAGAAAGAGTGTTTCAAACCTGCTCTATGAAAGGGAATGTTCAGTTCTGTGACTTGAATGCAAACATCACAAAGAAGTTCCTGAGAATGCTTCTCCCTAGATTTTATATGTAATCCCGTTTCCAACGAAATCCGCAAAGCTATCCAAATATCCACTTTCAGATTCCACAAAAAGAGTGTTTCAAAACTGCTCTGTAAAAAGAAAGGTTCATCTCTGTTAGTTGAATACACACATCACAAACAAGTTTCTGAGAATGCTTCTGTCTAGTTTTTATGGGAAGATAATACCTTTTTCATCATAGGCCTCAAAGCGCTGCAAATGTCCACTTCCAAATATTACAAAAAGAGTGTTTCAAACCTGCTGTATGAAGGGAAGTGTTCAACTCTATGAGTTGAATGCAAACATCACAGAGAAGTTTCTGAGAATGCTTCTGTCTTGATTTTATATGAAGATATTCCCGTTTCCAACGAAATCTTCAAAGCTATACAAATATCCACTTGCAGATTCCACAAAAAGAGTGTTTCCAAAATGTTGTATCAAAAGAAAGGTTCAACTCTGTTAGTTGAGGACACACATCGCAAATAAGTTTCTGAGAATGCTTCTGTTTAGTTTTTATTTGAAGATATTTCCTTTCTCACCATAGGCCTGAAAGCGTTTGAAATGTCCGTTTGCAGATACTACAGAAAGAGTGTTTCAAACATGCTCTATGAAAGGGAATGTTCAGCTCTGTGACGTGAATGCAAACATCACAAAGAAGTTCCTGAGAATGCTTCTCTCTAGATTTTATATGTAATCCCGTTTCCAACGAAATCCTCAAAGCTATCCAAATATCCACTTTCAGATTCCACAAAAAGAGTGTTTCAAAACTGCTCTGTAAAAAGAAAGGTTCATCTCTGTTAGTTGAATACACACATCACAAACAAGTTTCTGAGAATGCTTCTGTCTAGTTTTTATGGGAAGATATTTCCTTTTTCAACATAGGCCTCAAAGCGCTCCAAATGTCCACTTCCAGGTAGTGCAGAAAGAGTGTTTCAAACCTGCTCTATAAAAGGGAATATTCAACTGTGTGACTTGAATGCAAACATCACAAAGCACTTTCTGAGAATGCTTCTGTCTTGATTTTATATGAAGATATTCCCGTTTCCAACGAAACCTTCAAAGCTAACCGAATATCCACCTGCAGATTCTACAAAAAGAGTGTTTCCAAAATGCCGTATCAAAACAAAGGTTCAACTCTGTTAGTTGAGAACACACATCTCAAATAAGTTTCTGAGAATGCTTCTGTCTAGTTTTTACTTGAAGATATTTCCTTTCTCACCATAGGCCTGAAAGCGCTTGAAACGTCAGCTTGCAGATACTACAGAAAGAGTGTTTCAAACCTGCTCTATGAAAGGGAATGTTCAGTCCTGTGACTTGAAGGCAAACATCACAAAGAAGTTCCTGAGAATGCTTCTCTCTAGGTTTTATATGTAATCCCGTTTCCAACGAAATCCTCAAAGCTATCCAAATATCCACTTTCAGATTCCACAAAAAGAGTGTTTCAAAACTGCTCTGTAAAAAGAAAGGTTCATCTCTGTTAGTTGAATACACACATCACAAACAAGTTTCTGAGAATGCTTCTGTCTAGTTTTTATGGGAAGATATTTCGTTTTTCAACATAAGCCTCAAAGCGCTCCAAATGTCCACTTCCAGGTAGTGCAGAAAGAGTGTTTCAAACCTGCTCTATAAAAGGGAATATTCAACTCTGTGACTTGAATGCAAACATCACAAAGCACTTTCTGAGAATGCTTCCGTCTAGATTTTATATGAAGATATTCCCGTTTCCAAGGAAATCTTCCTAGCTATCTAAATATCAACTTGCAGATTCTACTAAAGGAATGTTTCCAAAATGCTGTATCCACACAAAGGTTCAACTCTGTTAATTGAGGACATACAGCACAAAGAAGTTTCTGAGAATGCTTCTAGTCTAGATTTTATATGAAGATATCCCGTGTCCAACGAAATCCTCAAAGGTATCAAAATATCCACTTGCAGATTCTACAAAAAGAGTGCTTCAAAACTGCTCTGTCAAAAGGAAGGTTCAACTCTGTTACTTGAGTACACACATCACAAGGAAGTTTCTGAGAATGCTTCTGTCTGGTTTTTAGGAGAAGATATTTCCTTTTTCAACATAGGCCTCAAAGCGCTGCAAAAGTCCACTTCCAAATATTAGAAAAAGAGTGTTTCAAACCTGCTGTATGAAGGGAAGTGTTCAACTCTATGAGTTGAATGCAAACATCACAGAGAAGTTTCTGAGAATGCTTCTGTCTTGATTTCATATGAAGATATTCCCGTTTCCAACGAAACCTTCAAAGCTATCCAAATATCCACTTGCAGATTCTACAAAAAGAGTGTTTCCAAAATGTTGTATCAAAAGAAAGGTTCAACTCTGTTAGTTGAGGACACACATCGCAAATAAGTTTCTGAGAATGCTTCTGTCTAGTTTTTATTTGAAGATATTTCCTTTCTCACCACAGGCCTGAAAGCGCTTAAAACGTCCGCTTGCAGATACTACAGAAACAGTATTTCAAACCTGCTCTATGAAAGGGAATGTTCAGTTCTGTGACTTGAATGCAAACATCACAAAGAAGTTCCTGAGAATGCTTCTCCCTAGATTTTATATGTAATCCCGTTTCCAACGAAATCCGCAAAGCTATCCAAATATCCACTTTCAGATTCCACAAAAAGAGTGTTTCAAAACTGCTCTGTAAAAAGAAAGGTTCATCTCTGTTAGTTGAATACACACATCACAAACAAGTTTCTGAGAATGCTTCTGTCTAGTTTTTATGGGAAGATATTACCTTTTTCATCATAGGCCTCAAAGCGCTGCAAATGTCCACTTCCAAATATTACAAAAAGAGTGTTTCAAACCTGCTGTATGAAGGGAAGTGTTCAACTCTATGAGTTGAATGAAAACATCACAAAGCAGTTTCTGAGAATGCTTCCGTCTAGATTTTATATGAAGATATTCCCGTTTCCAACGAAACCTTCAAAGCTATCCGAATATCCACCTGCAGATTCTACAAAAAGAGTGTTTCCAAAATGCCATATCAAAACAAAGGTTCAACTCTGTTAGTTGAGAACACACATCGCAAATAAGTTTCTGAGAATGCTTCTGTCTAGTTTTTACTTGAAGATATTTCCTTTCTCACCATAGGCCTGAAAGCGCTTGAAACGTCAGCTTGCAGATACTACAGAAAGAGTGTTTCAAACCTGCTCTATGAAAGGGAATGTTCAGTTCTGTGACTTGAATGCAAACATCACAAAGAAGTTCCTGAGAATGCTTCTCTCTAGGTTTTATCTGTAATCCCGTTTCCAACGAAATCCTCAAAGCTATCCAAATATCCACTTTCAGATTCCACAAAAAGAGTGTTTCAAAACTGCTCTGTAAAAAGAAAGGTTCATCTCTGTTAGTTGAATACACACATCACAAACAAGTTTCTGAGAATGCTTCTGTCTAGTTTTTATGGGAAGATATTTCCTTTTTCAACATAGGCCTCAAAGCGCTCCAAACGTCCACTTCCAGGTAGTGCAGAAAGAGTGTCTCAAACCTGGTATATAACAGGGAAACATTCTACTCTGTGACTTGAATGAAAACATCACAAAGCAGTTTCTGAGAATGCTTCCGTCTAGATTTTATATGAAGATATTCCCGTTTCCAACGAAACCTTCAAAGCTATCCGAATATCCACCTGCAGATTCTACAAAAAGATTGTTTCCAAAATGCCGTATCAAAACAAAGGTTCAACTCTGTTAGTTGAGAACACACATGGCAAATAAGTTTCTGAGAATTCTTCTGTCTAGTTTTTACTTGAAGATATTTCCTTTCTCACCATAGGCCTGAAAGCGCTTGAAACGTCAGCTTGCAGATACTACAGAAAGAGTGTTTCAAACCTGCTCTATGAAAGGGAATGTTCAGTTCTGTGACTTGAATGCAAACATCACAAAGAAGATCCTGAGAATGCTTCTCCCTAGGTTTTTATATGTAATCCCGTTTCCAACGAAATCCTCAAAGCTATCCAAATATCCACTTTCAGATTCCACAAAAAGAGTGTTTCAAAACTGCTCTGTAAAAAGAAAGGTTCATCTCTGTTAGTTGAATACACACATCACAAACAAGTTTCTGAGAATGCTTCTGTCTAGTTTTTATGGGAAGATATTTCCTTTTTCATCATAGGCCTCAAAGCGCTGCAAATGTCCACTTCCAGGTAGTGCAGAAAGAGTGTCTCAAACCTGGTATATAACAGGGAACATTCTACTCTGTGACTTGAATGAAAACATCACAAAGCAGTTTCTGAGAATGCTTCCGTCTAGATTTTATATGAAGATATTCCCGTTTCCAACGAAACCTTCAAAGCTATCCGAATATCCACCTGCAGATTCTACAAAAAGAGTGTTTCCAAAATGCCATATCAAAACAAAGGTTCAACTCTGTTAGTTGAGAACACACATCGCAAATAAGTTTCTGAGAATGCTTCTGTCTAGTTTTTACTTCAAGATATTTCCTTTCTCACCATAGGCCTGAAAGCGCATGAAACGTCAGCTTGCAGATACTACAGAAAGAGTTTTTCAAACCTGCTCTATGAAAGGGAATGTTCAGTCCTGTGACTTGAAGGCAAACATCACAAAGAAGTTCCTGAGAATGCTTCTCTCTAGGTTTTATATGTAATCCCGTTTCCAACGAAATCCTCAAAGCTATCCAAATATCCACTTTCAGATTCCACAAAAAGAGTGTTTCAAAACTGCTCTGTAAAAAGAAAGGTTCATCTCTGTTAGTTGAATACACACATCACAAACAAGTTTCTGAGAATGCTTCTGTCTAGTTTTTATGGGAAGATATTTCCTTTTTCAACATAGGCCTCAAAGCGCTCCAAATGTCCACTTCCAGGTAGTGCAGAAAGAGTGTTTCAAACCTGCTCTATAAAAGGGAATATTCAACTCTGTGACTTGAATGCAAACATCACAAAGCACTTTCTGAGAATGCTTCCGCCTAGATTTTATATGAAGATATCCCGTTTCCAAAGAAATCCTCAAAGGTATCCAAATATCTACTTCCAGATTCTACAAAAAGACTGTTTCAAAACGGCTCTGTCAAAAGTAAGGTTCAACTCTGTTACTTGAGTACACACATCACAAGGAAGTTTCTGAGAATGCTTCTGTCTGGTTTTTAGGAGAAGATATTTCCTTTTTCAACATAGGCCTCAAAGCGCTGCAAATGTCCACTTCCAAATATTACAAAAAGAGTGTTTCAAACCTGCTCTATGAAGGGAAGTGTTCAACTCTATGAGTTGAATGCAAACATCACAGAGAAGTTTCTGAGAATGCTTCTGTCTTGATTTTATATGAAGATATTCCCGTTTCCAACGAAACCTTCAAAGCTATCCAAATATCCACTTGCAGATTCTACAAAAAGAGTGTTTCCAAAATGTTGTATCAAAACAAAGGTTCAACTCTGTTAGTTGAGGACACACATCGCAAATAAGTTTCTGAGAATGCTTCTGTCTAGTTTTTATTTGAAGATATTTCCTTTCTTACCATAGGCCTGAAAGCGCTTGAAATGTCCGTTTGCAGATACTACAGAAAGAGTGTTTCAAACATGCTCTATGAAAGGGAATGTTCAGTTCTGTGACTTGAATGCAAACATCACAAAGAAGTTCCTGAGAATGCTTCTCTCTAGATTTTATATGTAATCCCGTTTCCAACGAAATCCTCAAAGCTATCCAAATATCCACTTTCAGATTCCACAAAAAGAGTGTTTCAAAACTGCTCTGTAAAAAGAAAGGTTCATCTCTGTTAGTTGAATACACACATCACAAACAAGTTTCTGAGAATGCTTCTGTCTAGTTTTTATGGGAAGATATTTCCTTTTTCAGCATAGGCCTCAAAGCGCTCCAAATGTCCACTTCCAGGTAGTGCAGAAAGCGTGTCTCAAACCTGGTATATAACAGGGAACATTCTACTCTGTGACTTGAATGAAAACATCACAAAGCAGTTTCTCAGAATGCTTCCGTCTAGATTTTATATGAAGATATTCCCGTTTCCAACGAAACCTTCAAAGCTATCCGAATATCCACCTGCACATTCTACAAAAAGAGTGTTTCCAAAATGCCGTATCAAAAAAAAGTTTCAACTATGTTAGTTGAGAACACACATGGCAAATAAGTTTCTGAGAATGCTTCTGTCTAGTTTTTACTTGAAGATATTTCCTTTCTCACCATAGGCCTGAAAGCGCTTGAAACGTCAGCTTGCAGATACTACAGAAAGAGTGTTTCAAACCTGCTCTATGAAAGGGAATGTTCAGTTCTGTGACTTGAATGCAAACATCACAAAGAAGTTCCTGAGAATGCTTCTCTCTAGGTTTTATATGTAATCCCGTTTCCAACGAAATCCTCAAAGCTATCCAAATATCCACTTTCAGATTCCACAAAAAGAGTGTTTCAAAACTGCTCTGTAAAAAGAAAGGTTCATCTCTGTTAGTTGAATACACACATCACAAACAAGTTTCTGAGAATGCTTCTGTCTAGTTTTTATGGGAAGATATTTCCTTTTTCAACATAGGCCTCAAAGCGCTCCAAACGTCCACTTCCAGGTAGTGCAGAAAGAGTGTCTCAAACCTGGTATATAACAGGGAACATTCTACTCTGTGACTTGAATGAAAACATCACAAAGCAGTTTCTGAGAATGCTTCCGTCTAGATTTTATATGAAGATATTCCCGTTTCCAACGAAACCTTCAAAGCTATCCGAATATCCACCTGCAGATTCTACAAAAAGAGTGTTTCCAAAATGCCGTATCAAAACAAAGGTTCAACTCTGTTAGTTGAGAACACACATGGCAAATAAGTTTCTCAGAATGCTTCTGTCTAGTTTTTACTTGAAGATATTTCCTTTCTCACCATAGGCCTGAAAGCGCTTGAAACGTCAGCTTGCAGATACTACAGAAAGAGTGTTTCAAACCTGCTCTATGAAAGGGAATGTTCAGTCCTGTGACTTGAATGCAAACATCACAAAGAAGTTCCTGAGAATGCTTCTCTCTAGGTTTTATATGTAATCCCGTTTCCAACGAAATCCACAAAGCTATCGAAATATCCACTTTCAGATTCCACAAAAAGAGTGTTTCAAAACTGCTCTGTAAATAGAAAGGTTCATCTCTGTTAGTTGAATACACACATCACAAACAAGTTTCTGAGAATTCTTCTGTCTAGTTTTTATGGGAAGATATTTCCTTTTTCAACATAGGCCTCAAAGCGCTCCAAACGTCCACTTCCAGGTAGTGCAGAAAGAGTGTCTCAAACCTGGTATATAACAGGGAACATTCTACTCCTGTGACTTGAATGAAAACATCCCAAAGCAGTTTCTGAGAATGCTTCCGTCTAGTATTTTATATGAAGATATTCCCGTTTCCAACGAAACCTTCAAAGCTATCCGAATATCCACCTGCAGATTCTACAAAAAGAGTGTTTCCAAAATGCCGTATCAAAACAAAGGTTCAACTCTGTTAGTTGAGAACACACATCGCAAATAAGTTTCTGAGAATGCTTCTGTCTAGTTTTTATTTGAAGATATTTCCTATCTCACCACAGGCCTGAAAGCGCTTAAAACGTCCGCTTGCAGATACTACAGAAAGAGTGTTTCAAACCTGCTCTATGAAAGGGAATGTTCAGTTCTGTGACTTGAATGCAAACATCACAAAGAAGTTCCTGAGAATGCTTCTCCCTAGATTTTATATGTAATCCCGTTTCCAACGAAATCCGCAAAGCTATCCAAATATCCACTTTCAGATTCCACAAAAAGAGTGTTTCAAAACTGCTCTGTAAAAAGAAAGGTTCATCTCTGTTAGTTGAATACACACGTCACAAACAAGTTTCTGAGAATGCTTCTGTCTAGTTTTTATGGGAAGATATTACCTTTTTCATCATAGGCCTCAAAGCGCTGCAAATGTCCACTTCCAAATATTACAAAAAGAGTGTTTCAAACCTGCTGTATGAAGGGAAGCGTTCAACTCTATGAGTTGAATGCAAACATCACAGAGAAGTTTCTGAGAATGCTTCTGTCTAGTTTTTATGGGAAGATATTTCCTTTTTCATCATAGGCCTCAAAGCGCTGCAAATGTCCACTTCCAGGTAGTGCAGAAAGAGTGTCTCAAACCTGGTATATAACAGGGAACAATCTACTCTGTGACTTGAATGAAAACATCACAAAGCAGTTTCTGAGAATGCTTCCGTCTAGATTTTATATGAACATATTCCCGTTTCCAACGAAACCTTCAAAGCTATCCGAATATCCACCTGCAGATTCTACAAAAAGAGTGTTTCCAAAATGCCATATCAAAACAAAGGTTCAACTCTGTTAGTTGAGAACACACATCGCAAAGAAGTTTCTGAGAATGCTTCTGTCTAGTTTTTACTTGAAGATATTTCCTTTCTCACCATAGGCCTGAAAGCGCTTGAAACGTCAGCTTGCAGATACTACAGAAAGAGTGTTTCAAACCTGCTCTATGAAAGGGAATGTTCAGTTCTGTGACTTGAATGAAAACATCACAAAGAAGTTCCTGAGAATGCTTCTGTCTAGATTTTATATGAAGATATCCCGTGTCCAACGAAATCCTCAAAGGTATCAAAATATCCACTTGTAGATTCTACAAAAAGAGTGCTTCAAAACTGCTCTGTCAAAATGAAGGTTCAACTCTGTTACTTGAGTACACACATCACAAGAAAGATTCTGAGAATGCTTCCTGTCTGGTTTTTAGGAGAAGATATTTCCTTTTTCAACATAGGCCTCAAAGCGCTGCAAATGTCCACTTCCAAATATTAGAAAAAGAGTGTTTCAAACCTGCTGTATGAAGGGAAGTGTTCAACTCTATGAGTTGAATGCAAACATCACAGAGAAGTTTCTGAGAATGCTTCTGTCTTGATTTCATATGAAGATATTCCCGTTTCCAACGAAACCTTCAAAGCTATCCAAATATCCACTTGCAGATTCTACAAAAAGAGTGTTTCCAAAATGTTGTATCAAAAGAAAGGT
This sequence comes from Homo sapiens, assembly GCF_000001405.40. Taxonomy (NCBI): domain Eukaryota; kingdom Metazoa; phylum Chordata; class Mammalia; order Primates; family Hominidae; genus Homo; species Homo sapiens. The sequence goes on along the minus strand of NC_000009.12, from coordinate 43,870,111 downwards.
TCAACTCTGTTAGTTGAGGACACACATCGCAAATAAGTTTCTGAGAATGCTTCTGTCTAGTTTTTATTTGAAGATATTTCCTTTCTCACCACAGGCCTGAAAGCGCTTAAAACGTCCGCTTGCAGATACTACAGAAAGAGTGTTTCAAACATGCTCTATGAAAGGGAATGTTCAGTTCTGTGACTTGAATGCAAACATCACAAAGAAGTTCCTGAGAATGCTTCTCCCTAGATTTTATATGTAATCCCGTTTCCAACGAAATCCGCAAAGCTATCCAAATATCCACTTTCAGATTCCACAAAAAGAGTGTTTCAAAACTGCTCTGTAAAAAGAAAGGTTCATCTCTGTTAGTTGAATACACACATCACAAACAAGTTTCTGAGAATGCTTCTGTCTAGTTTTTATGGGAAGATATTACCTTTTTCATCATAGGCCTCAAAGCGCTGCAAATGTCCACTTCCAAATATTACAAAAAGAGTGTTTCAAACCTGCTGTATGAAGGGAAGTGTTCAACTCTATGAGTTGAATGCAAACATCACAGAGAAGTTTCTGAGAATGCTTCTGTCTTGATTTTATATGAAGATATTCCCGTTTCCAACGAAACCTTCAAAGCTATTCAAATATCCACTTGCAGATTCTACAAAAAGAGTGTTTCCAAAATGTTGTATCAAAAGAAAGGTTCAACTCTGTTAGTTGAGGACACACATCGCAAATAAGTTTCTGAGAATGCTTCTGTCTAGTTTTTACTTGAAGATATTTCCTTTCTCACCATAGGCCTGAAAGCGTTTGAAATGTCCGTTTGCAGATACTACAGAAAGAGTGTTTCAAACATGCTCTATGAAAGGGAATGTTCAGTTCTGTGACGTGAATGCAAACATCACAAAGAAGTTACCTGAGAATGCTTCTCTCTAGGTTTTATATGTAATCCCGTTTCCAACGAAATCCTCAAAGCTATCCAAATATCCACTTTCAGATTCCACAAAAAGAGTGTTTCAAAACTGCTCTGTAAAAAGAAAGGTTCATCTCTGTTAGTTGAATACACACATCACAAACAAGTTTCTGAGAATGCTTCTGTCTAGTTTTTATGGGAAGATATTTCCCTTTTCATCATAGGCCTCAAAGCGCTGCAAATGTCCACTTCCAGGTAGTGCAGAAAGAGTGTCTGAGACCTGGTATATAACAGGGAAGATTCTACTCTGTGACTTGAATGAAAACATCACAAAGCAGTTTCTGAGAATGCTTCCGTTTAGATTTTATATGAAGATATTCCCGTTTCCAAGGAAATCTTCCTAGCTATCTAAATATCAACTTGCAGATTCTACTAAAGGAATGTTTCCAAAATGCTGTATCCAGACAAAGGTTCAACTCTGTTAATTGAGGACATACAGCACAAAGAAGTTTCTGAGAATGCTTCTGTCTAGATTTTATATGAAGATATCCCGTGTCCAACGAAATCCTCAAAGGTATCAAAATATCCACTTGCAGATTCTACAAAAAGAGTGCTTCAAAACTGCTCTGTCAAAAGGAAGGTTCAACTCTGTTACTTGAGTACACACATCACAAGGAAGTTTCTGAGAATGCTTCTGTCTGGTTTTTAGGAGAAGATATTTCCTTTTTCAACATAGGCCTCAAAGCGCTGCAAATGTCCACTTCCAAATATTAGAAAAAGAGTGTTTCAAACCTGCTGTATGAAGGGAAGTGTTCAACTCTATGAGTTGAATGCAAACATCACAGAGAAGTTTCTGAGAATGCTTCTGTCTTGATTTCATATGAAGATATTCCCGTTTCCAACGAAACCTTCAAAGCTATCCAAATATCCACTTGCAGATTCTACAAAAAGAGTGTTTCCAAAATGTTGTATCAAAAGAAAGGTTCAACTCTGTTAGTTGAGGACACACATCGCAAATAAGTCTCTGAGAATGCTTCTGTCTAGTTTTTATTTGAAGATATTTCCTTTCTCACCACAGGCCTGAAAGCGCTTAAAACGTCCGCTTGCAGATACTACAGAAAGAGTGTTTCAAACCTGCTCTATGAAAGGGAATGTTCAGTTCTGTGACTTGAATGCAAACATCACAAAGAAGTTCCTGAGAATGCTGCTCCCTAGATTTTATATGTAATCCCGTTTCCAACGAAATCCGCAAAGCTATCCAAATATCCACTTTCAGATTCCACAAAAAGAGTGTTTCAAAACTGCTCTGTAAAAAGAAAGGTTCATCTCTGTTAGTTGAATACACACATCTCAAACAAGTTTCTCAGAATGCTTCTGTCTAGTTTTTATGGGAAGATATTTCCTTTTTCATCATAGGCCTCAAAGCGCTGCAAATGTCCACTTCCAAATATTACAAAAAGAGTGTTTCAAACCTGCTGTATGAAGGGAAGTGTTCAACTCTATGAGTTGAATGCAAACATCACAGAGAAGTTTCTGAGAATGCTTCTGTCTTGATTTTATATGAAGATATTCCCGTTTCCAACGAAACCTTCAAAGCTATTCAAATATCCACTTGCAGATTCTACAAAAAGAGTGGTTCCAAAATGTTGTATCAAAAGAAAGGTTCAACTCTGATAGTTGAGGACACACATCGCAAATAAGTTTCTGAGAATGCTTCTGTCTAGTTTTTATTTGAAGATATTTCCTTTCTCACCATAGGCCTGAAAGCGTTTGAAATGTCCGTTTGCAGATACTACAGAAAGAGTGTTTCAAACATGCTCTATGAAAGGGAATGTTCAGTTCTGTGACGTGAATGCAAACATCACAAAGAAGTTCCTGAGAATGCTTCTCTCTAGATTTTATATGTAATCCCGTTTCCAACGAAATCCTCAAAGCTATCCAAATATCCACTTTCAGATTCCACAAAAAGAGTGTTTCAAAACTGCTCTGTAAAAAGAAAGGTTCATCTCTGTTAGTTGAATACACACATCAAAAACAAGTTTCTGAGAATGCTTCTGTCTAGTTTTTATGGGAAGATATTTCCTTTTTCAACATAGGCCTCAAAGCGCTCCAAACGTCCACTTCCAGGTAGTGCAGAAAGAGTGTCTCAAACCTGGTATATAACAGGGAACATTCTACTCTGTGACTTGAATGAAAACATCACAAAGCAGTTTCTGAGAATGCTTCCGTCTAGATTTTATATGAAGATATTCCCGTTTCCAACGAAACCTTCAAAGCTATCCGAATATCCACCTGCAGATTCTACAAAAAGAGTGTTTCCAAAATGCCATATCAAAACAAAGGTTCAACTCTGTTAGTTGAGAACACACATCGCAAATAAGTTTCTGAGAATGCTTCTGTCTAGTTTTTACTTGCAGAAATTTCCTTTCTCACCGTAGGCCTGAAAGCGCTTGAAACGTCAGCTTGCAGATACTACAGAAAGAGTGTTTCAAACCTGCTCTATGAAAGGGAATGTTCAGTTCTGTGACTTGAATGCAAACATCGCAAAGTAGTTCCTGAGAATGCTTCTCTCTAGGTTTTATATGTAATCCCGTTTCCAACGAAATCCTCAAAGCTATCCAAATATCCACTTTCAGATTCCACAAAAAGAGTGTTTCAAAACTGCTCTGTAAAAAGAAAGGTTCATCTCTGTTAGTTGAATACACACATCACAAACAAGTTTCTGAGAATGCTTCTGTCTAGTTTTTATGGGAAGATATTACCTTTTTCATCATAGGCCTCAAAGCGCTGCAAATGTCCACTTCCAAATATTACAAAAAGAGTGTTTCAAACCTGCTGTATGAAGGGAAGTGTTCAACTCTATGAGTTGAATGCAAACATCACAGAGAAGTTTCTGAGAATGCTTCCGTCTTGATTTTATATGAAGATATTCCCAGTTTCCAACGAAACCTTCAAAGCTATTCAAATATCCACTTGCAGATTCTACAAAAAGAGTGTTTCCAAAATGTTGTATCAAAAGAAAGGTTCAACTCTGTTAGTTGAGGACACACATCGCAAATAAGTTTCTGAGAATGCTTCTGTCTAGTTTTTATTTGAAGATATTTCCTTTCTCACCACAGGCCTGAAAGCGCTTAAAACGTCCGCTTGCAGATACTACAGAAAGAGTGTTTCAAACCTGCTCTATGAAAGGGAATGTTCAGTTCTGTGACTTGAATGCAAACATCACAAAGAAGTTCCTGAGAATGCTTCTCCCTAGATTTTATATGTAATCCCGTTTCCAACGAAATCCGCAAAGCTATCCAAATATCCACTTTCAGATTCCACAAAAAGAGTGTTTCAAAACTGCTCTGTAAAAAGAAAGGTTCATCTCTGTTAGTTGAATACACACATCACAAACAAGTTTCTGAGAATGCTTCTGTCTAGTTTTTATGGGAAGATATTACCTTTTTCATCATAGGCCTCAAAGCGCTGCAAATGTCCACTTCCAAATATTACAAAAAGAGTGTTTCAAACCTGCTGTATGAAGGGAAGTGTTCAACTCTATGAGTTGAATGCAAACATCACAGAGAAGTTTCTGAGAATGCTTCTGTCTTGATTTTATATGAAGATATTCCCGTTTCCAACGAAACCTTCAAAGCTATTCAAATATCCACTTGCAGATTCTACAAAAAGAGTGGTTCCAAAATGTTGTATCAAAAGAAAGGTTCAACTCTGATAGTTGAGGACACACATCGCAAATAAGTTTCTGAGAATGCTTCTGTCTAGTTTTTATTTGAAGATATTTCCTTTCTCACCATAGGCCTGAAAGCGTTTGAAATGTCCGTTTGCAGATACTACAGAAAGAGTGTTTCAAACATGCTCTATGAAAGGGAATGTTCAGTTCTGTGACGTGAATGCAAACATCACAAAGAAGTTCCTGAGAATGCTTCTCTCTAGATTTTATATGTAATCCCGTTTCCAACGAAATCCTCAAAGCTATCCAAATATCCACTTTCAGATTCCACAAAAAGAGTGTTTCAAAACTGCTCTGTAAAAAGAAAGGTTCATCTCTGTTAGTTGAATACACACATCACAAACAAGTTTCTGAGAATGCTTCTGTCTAGTTTTTATGGGAAGATATTTCCTTTTTCAACATAGGCCTCAAAGCGCTCCAAATGTCCACTTCCAGGTAGTGCAGAAAGAGTGTTTCAAACCTGCTCTATAAAAGGGAATATTCAACTCTGTGACTTGAATGCAAACATCACAAAGCACTTTCTGAGAATGCTTCCGTCTAGATTTTATATGAAGATATTCCCGTTTCCAACGAAACCTTCAAAGCTATCCGAATATCCACCTGCAGATTCTACAAAAAGTGTGTTTCCAAAATGCCGTATCAAAACAAAGGTTCAACTCTGTTAGTTGAGAACACACATGGCAAATAAGTTTCTGAGAATGCTTCTGTCTAGTTTTTACTTGAAGATATTTCCTTTCTCACCATAGGCCTGAAAGCGCTTGAAACGTCAGCTTGCAGATACTACAGAAAGAGTGTTTCAAACCTGCTCTATGAAAGGGAATGTTCAGTTCTGTGACTTGAATGCAAACATCACAAAGAAGTTCCTGAGAATGCTTCTCTCTAGGTTTTATATGTAATCCCGTTTCCAACGAAATCCTCAAAGCTATCCAAATATCCACTTTCAGATTCCACAAAAAGAGTGTTTCAAAACTGCTCTGTAAAAAGAAAGGTTCATCTCTGTTAGTTGAATACACACATCACAAACAAGTTTCTGAGAATGCTTCTGTCTAGTTTTTATGTGAAGATATTTCCTTTTTCAACATAGGCCTCAAAGCGCTCCAAATGTCCACTTCCAGGTAGTGCAGAAAGAGTGTTTCAAACCTGCTCTATAAAAGGGAATATTCAACTCCTGTGACTTGAATGCAAACATCACAAAGCACTTTCTGAGAATGCTTCCGTCTAGATTTTATATGAAGATATTCCCGTTTCCAAGGAAATCTTCCTAGCTATCTAAATATCAACTTGCAGATTCTACTAAAGGAATGTTTCCAAAATGCTGTATCCACACAAAGGTTCAACTCTGTTAATTGAGGACATACAGCACAAAGAAGTTTCTGAGAATGCTTCTGTCTAGATTTTATATGAAGATATCCCGTGTCCAACGAAATCCTCAAAGGTATCAAAATATCCACTTGCAGATTCTACAAAAAGAGTGCTTCAAAACTGCTCTGTCAAAAGGAAGGTTCAACTCTGTTACTTGAGTACACACATCACAAGGAAGTTTCTGAGAATGCTTCTGTCTGGTTTTTAGGAGAAGATATTTCCTTTTTCAACATAGGCCTCAAAGCGCTGCAAATGTCCACTTCCAAATATTACAAAAAGAGTGTTTCAAACCTGCTGTATGAAGGGAAGTGTTCAACTCTATGAGTTGAATGCAAACATCACAGAGAAGTTTCTGAGAATGCTTCTGTCTTGATTTCATATGAAGATATTCCCGTTTCCAACGAAACCTTCAAAGCTATCCAAATATCCACTTGCAGATTCTACAAAAAGAGTGTTTCCAAAATGTTGTATCAAAAGAAAGGTTCAACTCTGTTAGTTGAGGACACACATCGCAAATAAGTTTCTGAGAATGCTTCTGTCTAGTTTTTATTTGAAGATATTTCCTTTCTCACCACAGGCCTGAAAGCGCTTAAAACGTCCGCTTGCAGATACTACAGAAAGAGTGTTTCAATCCTGCTCTATGAAAGGGAATGTTCAGTTCTGTGACTTGAATGCAAACATCACAAAGAAGTTCCTGAGAATGCTCTCCCTAGATTTTATATGTAATCCCGTTTCCAACGAAATCCGCAAAGCTATCCAAATATCCACTTTCAGATTCCACAAAAAGAGTGTTTCAAAACTGCTCTGTAAAAAGAAAGGTTCATCTCTGTTAGTTGAATACACACATCACAAACAAGTTTCTGAGAATGCTTTCTGTCTAGTTTTTATGGGAAGATATTTCCTTTTTCATCATAGGCCTCAAAGCGCTGCAAATGTCCACTTCCAGGTAGTGCAGAAAGAGTGTCTCAAACCTGGTATATAACAGGGAAACATTCTACTCTGTGACTTGAATGAAAACATCACAAAGCAGTTTCTGAGAATGCTTCCGTCTAGATTTTATATGAAGATATTCCCGTTTCCAACGAAACCTTCAAAGCTATCCGAATATCCACCTGCAGATTCTACAAAAAGAGTGTTTCCAAAATGCCATATCAAAACAAAGGTTCAACTCTGTTAGTTGAGAACACACATCGCAAATAAGTTTCTGAGAATGCTTCTGTCTACTTTTTATTTGAAGATATTTCCTTTTTCACCACAGGCCTGAAAGCGCTTGAAACGTCCGCTTGCAGATACTACAGAAAGAGTGTTTCAAACATGCTCTATGAAAGGGAATGTTCAGTTCTGTGACTTGAATGCAAACATCACAAAGAAGTTCCTGAGAATGCTTCTCCCTAGATTTTATATGTAATCCCGTTTCCAACGAAATCCTCAAAGCTATCCAAATATCCACTTTCAGATTCCACAAAAAGAGTGTTTCAAAACTGCTCTGTAAAAAGAAAGGTTCATCTCTGTTAGTTGAATACACACATCACAAACAAGTTTCTGAGAATGCTTCTGTCTAGTTTCTATGGGAAGATATTTCCTTTTTCAACATAGGCCTCAAAGCGCTCCAAATGTCCACTTCCAGGTAGTGCACAGAGTGTTTCAAACCTGCTCTATAATAGGGAACATTCTACTCTGTGACTTGAATGAAGACATCACAAAGCAGTTTCCGAGAATGCTTCCGTCAAGATTTTATATGAAGATATTCCCGTTTCCAAGGAAATCTTCCTAGCTATCTAAATATCAACTTGCAGATTCTACTAAAGGAATATTTCCAAAATGCTGTATCCACACAAAGGTTCAACTCTGTTAATTGAGGACATACAGCACAAAGAAGTTTCTGAGAATGCTTCTGTCTAGATTTTATATGAAGATATCCCGTGTCCAACGAAATCCTCAAAGGTATCAAAATATCCACTTGCAGATTCCACAAAAAGACTGCTTCAAAACTGCTCTGTCAAAAGGAAGGTTCAACTCTGTTACTTGAGTACACACATCACAAGGAAGTTTCTGAGAATGCTTCTGTCTGGTTTTTAGGAGAAGATATTTCCTTTTTCAACATAGGCCTCAAAGCGCTGCAAATGTCCACTTCCAAATATTAGAAAAAGAGTGTTTCAAACCTGCTGTATGAAGGGAAGTGTTCAACTCTATGAGTTGAATGCAAACATCACAGAGAAGTTTCTGAGAATGCTTCTGTCTTGATTTTATATGAAGATATTCCCGTTTCCAACGAAACCTTCAAAGCTATCCAAATATCCACTTGCAGATTCTACAAAAAGAGTGTTTCCAAAATGTTGTATCAAAAGAAAGGTTCAACTCTGTTAGTTGAGGACACACATCGCAAATAAGTTTCTGAGAATGCTTCTGTCTAGTTTTTATTTGAAGATATTTCCTTTCTCACCATAGGCCTGAAAGCGTTTGAAATGTCCGTTTGCAGATACTACAGAAAGAGTGTTTCAAACATGCTCTATGAAAGGGAATGTTCAGTTCTGTGACGTGAATGCAAACATCACAAAGAAGTTCCTGAGAATGCTTCCGTCTAGATTTTATATGAAGATATCCCGTTTCCAAAGAAATCCTCAAATGTATCCAAATATCTACTTCCAGATTCTACAAAAAGACTGTTTCAAAACGGCTCTGTCCAAAGTAAGGTTCAACTCTGTTACTTGAGTACACACATCACAAGGAAGTTTCTGAGAATGCTTCTGTCTGGTTTTTAGGAGAAGATATTTCCTTTTTCAACATAGGCCTCAAAGCGCTGCAAATGTCCACTTCCAAATATTACAAAAAGAGTGTTTCAAACCTGCTCTATGAAGGGAAGTGTTCAACTCTATGAGTTGAATGCAAACATCACAGAGAAGTTTCTGAGAATGCTTCTGTCTTGATTTTATATGAAGATATTCCCGTTTCCAACGAAACCTTCAAAGCTATCCGAATATCCACCTGCAGATTCTACAAAAAGAGTGTTTCCAAAATGCCGTATCCAAACAAAGGTTCAACTCTGTTAGTTGAGAACACACATGGCAAATAAGTTTCTGAGAATGCTTCTGTCTAGTTTTTACTTGAAGATATTTCCTTTCTCACCATAGGCCTGAAAGCGCTTGAAACGTCCGCTTGCGGATACTACAGAAAGAGTGTTTCAAACATGCTCTATGAAAGGGAATGTTCAGTTCTGTGACTTGAATGCAAACATCACAAAGAAGTTCCTGAGAATGCTTCTCTCTAGATTTTATATGTAATCCCGTTTCCAACGAAATCCTCAAAGCTATCCAAATATCCACTTTCAGATTCCACAAAAAGAGTGTTTCAAAACTGCTCTGTAAAAAGAAAGGTTCATCTCTGTTAGTTGAATACACACATCACAAACAAGTTTCTGAGAATGCTTCTGTCTAGTTTTTATGGGAAGATATTTCCTTTTTCAACATAGGCCTCAAAGCGCTCCAAATGTCCACTTCCAGGTAGTGCAGAAAGAGTGTTTCAAACCTGCTCTATAAAAGGGAACATTCAACTCTGTGACTTGAATGCAAACATCACAAAGCACTTTCTGAGAATGCTTCCGTCTAGATTTTATATGAAGATATTCCCGTTTCCAAGGAACTCTTCCTAGCTATCTAAATATCAACTTGCAGATTCTACTAAAGGAATGTTTCCAAAATGCTGTATCCACACAAAGGTTCAACTCTGTTAATTGAGGACATACAGCACAAAGAAGTTTCTGAGAATGCTTCTGTCTAGATTTTATATGAAGATATCCCGTGTCCAACGAAATCCTCAATGGTATCAAAATATCCACTTGCAGATTCTACAAAAAGAGTGCTTCAAAACTGCTCTGTCAAAAGGAAGGTTCAACTCTGTTACTTGAGTACACACATCACAAGGAAGTTTCTGAGAATGCTTCCTGTCTGGTTTTTAGGAGAAGATATTTCCTTTTTCAACATAGGCCTCAAAGCGCTGCAAATGTCCACTTCCAAATATTAGAAAAAGAGTGTTTCAAACCTGCTGTATGAAGGGAAGTGTTCAACTCTATGAGTTGAATGCAAACATCACAGAGAAGTTTCTGAGAATGCTTCTGTGTTGATTTTATATGAAGATATTCCCGTTTCCAACGAAACCTTCAAAGCTATCCAAATATCCACCTGCAGATCCTACAAAAAGAGTGTTTCCAAAATGCTGTATCAAAACAAAGGTTCAACTCTGTTAGTTGAGAACACACATCGCAAATAAGTTTCTGAGAATGCTTCTGTCTAGTTTTTATTTGAAGATATTTCCTTTTTCACCACAGGCCTGAAAGCGCTTGAAACGTCCGCTTGCAGATACTACAGAAAGAGTGTTTCAAACCTGCTCTATGAAAGGGAATGTTCAGTTCTGTGACTTGAATGCAAACATCACAAAGAAGTTCCTGAGAATGCTTCTCCCTAGATTTTATATGTAATCCCGTTTCCAACGAAATCTTCAAAGCTATCCAAATATCCACTTTCAGATTCCACAAAAAGAGTGTTTCAAAACTGCTCTGTAAAAAGAAAGTTTCATCTCTGTTAGTTGAATACACACATCACAAACAAGTTTCTGAGTATGCTTCTGTCTAGTTTTTATGGGAAGATATTTCCTTTTTCATCATAGGCCTCAAAGCGCTCCAAATGTCCACTTCCAGATAGTGCAGAAAGAGTGTCTCAAACCTGGTATATAAAAGGGAACATTCTACTCTGTGACTTCAATGAAAACATCACAAAGCAGTTTCTGAGAATGCTTCCGTCTAGATTTTATATGAAGATATTCCCGTTTCCAACGAAACCTTCAAAGCTATCCGAATATCCACCTGCAGTTTCTACAAAAAGAGTTTTTCCAAAATGCCGTATCAAAACAAAGGTTCAACTCTGTTAGTTGAGAACACACATGACAAATAAGTTTCTGAGAATGCTTCTGTCTAGTTTTTACTTGAAGATATTTCCTTTCTCACCATAGGCCTGAAAGCGCTTGAAACGTCCGCTTGCAGATACTACAGAAAGAGTGTTTCAAACATGCTCTATGAAAGGGAATGTTCAGTTCTGTGACTTGAATGCAAACATCACAAAGAAGTTCCTGAGAATGCTTCTCTCTAGATTTTATATGTAATCCCGTTTCCAACGAAATCCTCAAAGCTATCCAAATATCCACTTTCAGATTCCACAAAAAGAGTGTTTCAAAACTGCTCTGTAAAAAGAAAGGTTCATCTCTGTTAGTTGAATACACACATCACAAACAAGTTTCTGAGAATGCTTCTGTCTAGTTTTTATGGGAAGATATTACCTTTTTCATCATAGGCCTCAAAGCGCTGCAAAAGTCCACTTCCAAATATTACAAAAAGAGTGTTTCAAACCTGCTGTATGAAGGGAAGTGTTCAACTCTATGAGTTGAATGCAAACATCACAGAGAAGTTTCTGAGAATGCTTCTGTCTTGATTTTATATGAAGATATTCCCGTTTCCAACGAAACCTTCAAAGCTATTCAAATATCCACTTGCAGATTCTACAAAAAGAGTGTTTCCAAAATGTTGTATCAAAAGAAAGGTTCAACTCTGTTAGTTGAGGACACACATCGCAAATAAGTTTCTGAGAATGCTTCTGTCTAGTTTTTACTTGAAGATATTTCCTTTCTCACCATAGGCCTGAAAGCGTTTGAAATGTCCGTTTGCAGATACTACAGAAAGAGTGTTTCAAACATGCTCTATGAAAGGGAATGTTCAGTTCTGTGACGTGAATGCAAACATCACAAAGAAGTTCCTGAGAATGCTTCTCTCTAGATTTTATATGTAATCCCGTTTCCAACGAAATCCTCAAAGCTATCCAAATATCCACTTTCAGATTCCACAAAAAGAGTGTTTCAAAACTGCTCTGTAAAAAGAAAGGTTCATCTCTGTTAGTTGAATACACACATCACAAACAAGTTTCTGAGAATGCTTCTGTCTAGTTTTTATGGGAAGATATTTCCTTTTTCAACATAGGCCTCAAAGCGCTCCAAACGTCCACTTCCGGGTAGTGCAGAAAGAGTGTCTCAAACCTGGTATATAACAGGGAACATTCTACTCTGTGACTTGAATGAAAACATCACAAAGCAGTTTCTGAGAATGCTTCCGTCTAGATTTTATATGAAGATATTCCCGTTTCCAACGAAACCTTCAAAGCTATCCGAATATCCACCTGCAGATTCTACAAAAAGAGTGTTTCCAAAATGCCGTATCAAAACAAAGGTTCAACTCTGTTAGTTGAGAACACACATGGCAAATAAGTTTCTGAGAATCCTTCTGTCTAGTTTTTACTTGAAGATATTTCCTTTCTCACCATAGGCCTGAAAGCGCTTGAAACGTCAGCTTGCAGATACTACAGAAAGAGTGTTTCAAACCTGCTCTATGAAAGGGAATGTTCAGTTCTGTGACTTGAATGCAAACATCACAAAGAAGTTCCTGAGAATGCTTCTCTCTAGGTTTTATATGTAATCCCGTTTCCAACGAAATCCTCATAGCTATCCAAATATCCACTTTCAGATCCCACAAAAAGAGTGTTTCAAAACTGCTCTGTAAAAAGAAAGGTTCATCTCTGTTAGTTGAATACACACATCACAAACAAGTTTCTGAGAATGCTTCTGTCTAGTTTTTATGGGAAGATATTTCCTTTTTCAACATAGGCCTCAAAGCGCTCCAAATGTCCACTTCCAGGTAGTGCAGAAAGAGTGTTTCAAACCTGCTCTATTAAAGGGAATATTCAACTCTGTGACTTGAATGCAAACATCACAAAGCACTTTCTGAGAATGCTTCCGTCTAGATTTTATATGAAGATATTCCCGTTTCCAAGGAAACTCTTCCTAGCTATCTAAATATCAACTTGCAGATTCTACTAAAGGAATGTTTCCAAAATGCTGTATCCACACAAAGGTTCAACTCTGTTAATTGAGGACATACAGCACAAAGAAGTTTCTGAGAATGCTTCTGTCTAGATTTTATATGAAGATATCCCGTGTCCAACGAAATCCTCAAAGGTATCAAAATATCCACTTGCAGATTCTACAAAAAGAGTGCTTCAAAACTGCTCTGTCAAAAGGAAGGTTCAACTCTGTTACTTGAGTACACACATCACAAGGAAGTTTCTGAGAATGCTTCTGTCTGGTTTTTAGGAGAAGATATTTCCTTTTTCAACATAGGCCTCAAAGCGCTCCAAACGTCCACTTCCAGGTAGTGCAGAAAGAGTGTCTCAAACCTGGTATATAACAGGGAACATTCTACTCTGTGACTTGAATGAAAACATCACAAAGCAGTTTCTGAGAATGCTTCCGTCTAGGATTTTATATGAAGATATTCCCGTTTCCAACGAAACCTTAAAAAGCTATCCGAATATCCACCTGCAGCTTCTACAAAAAGAGTGTTTCCAAAATGCCGTATCAAAACAAAGGTTCAACTCTGTTAGTTGAGAACACACATGGCAAATAAGTTTCTGAGAATGCTTCTGTCTAGTTTTTACTTGAAGATATTTCCTTTCTCACCATAGGCCTGAAAGCGCTTGAAACGTCAGCTTGCAGATACTACAGAAAGAGTGTTTCAAACCTGCTCTATGAAAGGGAATGTTCAGTCCTGTGACTTGAAGGCAAACATCAAAAAGAAGTTCCTGAGAATACTTCTCTCTAGGTTTTATATGTAATCCCGTTTCCAACGAAATCCTCAAATCTATCCAAATATCCACTTTCAGATTCCACAAAAAGAGTGTTTCAAAACTGCTCTGTAAAAAGAAAGGTTCATCTCTGTTAGTTGAATACACACATCACAAACAAGTTTCTGAGAATGCTTCTGTCTAGTTTTTATGGGAAGATATTACCTTTTTCATCATAGGCCTCAAAGCGCTGCAAATGTCCACTTCCAAATATTACAAAAAGAGTGTTTCAAACCTGCTGTATGAAGGGAAGTGTTCAACTCTGTGAGTTGAATGCAAACATCACAGAGAAGTTTCTGAGAATGCTTCTGTCTTGATTTTATATGAAGATATTCCCGTTTCCAACGAAACCTTCAAAGCTATTCAAATATCCACTTGCAGATTTTACAAAAAGAGTGTTTCCAAAATGTTGCATCAAAAGAAAGGTTCAACTCTGTTAGTTGAGGACACAAATCGCAAATAAGTTTCTGAGAATGCTTCTGTCTAGTGTTTACTTGAAGATATTTCCTTTCTCACCATAGGCCTGAAAGCGTTTGAAATGTCCGTTTGCAGATACTACAGAAAGAGTGTTTCAAACATGCTCTATGAAAGGGAATGTTCAGTTCTGTGACGTGAATGCAAACATCACAAAGGAGTTCCTGAGAATGCTTCTCTCTAGATTTTATATGTAATCCCGTTTCCAACGAAATCCTCAAAGCTATCCAAATATCCACTTTCAGATTCCACAAAAAGAGTGTTTCAAAACTGCTCTGTAAAAAGAAAGGTTCATCTCTGTTAGTTGAATAGACACATCACAAACAAGTTTCTGAGAATGCTTCTGTCTAGTTTTTATGGGAAGATATTTCCTTTTTCAACATAGGCCTCAAAGCGCTCCAAACGTCCACTTCCAGGTAGTGCAGAAAGAGTGTCTCAAACCTGGTATATAACAGGGAACATTCTACTCTGTGACTTGAATGAAAACATCACAAAGCAGTTTCTGAGAATGCTTCCGTCTAGATTTTATATGAAGATATTCCCGTTTCCAAGGAACTCTTCCTAGCTATCTAAATGTCAACTTGCAGATTCTACTAAAGGAATGTTTCCAAAATGCTGTATCCACACAAAGGTTCAACTCTGTTAATTGAGGACATACAGCACAAAGAAGTTTCTGAGAATGCTTCTGTCTAGATTTTATATGAAGATATCCCGTGTCCAACGAAATCCTCAATGGTATCAAAATATCCACTTGCAGATTCTACAAAAAGAGTGCTTCAAAACTGCTCTGTCAAAAGGAAGGTTCAACTCTGTTACTTGAGTACACACATCACAAGGAAGTTTCTGAGAATGCTTCTGTCTGGTTTTTAGGAGAAGATATTTCCTTTTTCAACATAGGCCTCAAAGCGCTGCAAATGTCCACTTCCAAATATTAGAAAAAGAGTGTTTCAAACCTGCTGTATGAAGAGAAGTGTTCAACTCTATGAGTTGAATGCAAACATCACAGAGAAGTTTCTGAGAATGCTTCTGTCTTGATTTCATATGAAGATATTCCCGTTTCCAACGAAACCTTCAAAGCTATCCAAATATCCACTTGCAGATTCTACAAAAAGAGTGTTTCCAAAATGTTGTATCAAAAGAAAGGTTCAACTCTGTTAGTTGAGGACACACATCGCAAATAAGTTTCTGAGAATGCTTCTGTCTAGTTTTTATTTGAAGATATTTCCTTTCTCACCACAGGCCTGAAAGCGCTTAAAACGTCCGCTTGCAGATACTACAGAAAGAGTGTTTCAAACCTGCTCTATGAAAGGGAATGTTCAGTTCTGTGACTTGAATGCAAACATCACAAAGAAGTTCCTGAGAATGCTTCTGTCTAGATTTTATATGAAGATATCCCGTGTCCAACGAAATCCTCAAAGGTATCAAAATATCCACTTGCAGATTCTACAAAAAGAGTGCTTCAAAACTGCTCCGTCAAAAGGAAGGTTCAACTCTGTTACTTGAGTACACACATCACAAGGAAGTTTCTGAGAATGCTTCTGTCTGGTTTTTAGGAGAAGATATTTCCTTTTTCAACATAGGCCTCAAAGCGCTGCAAATGTCCACTTCCAAATATTACAAAAAGAGTGTTTCAAACCTGCTGTATGAAGGGAAGTGTTCAACTCTATGAGTTGAATGCAAACATCACAGAGAAGTTTCTGAGAATGCTTCCGTCTAGATTTTATATGAAGATATTCCCGTTTCCAACGAAACCTTCAAAGCTATCCAAATATACACCTGCAGATTCTACAAAAAGAGTGTTTCCAAAATGCCGCATCAAAACAAAGGTTCAACTCTGTTAGTTGAGAACACACATGGCAAATAAGTTTGCTGAGAATGCTTCTGTCTAGTTTTCACTTGAAGATATTTCCTTTCTCACCGTAGGCCTGAAAGCGCTTGAAACGTCAGCTTGCAGATACTACAGAAAGAGTGTTTCAAACATGCTCTATGAAAGGGAATGTTCAGTCCTGTGACTAGAAGGCAAACATCACAAAGAAGTTCCTGAGAATGCTTCTCTCTAGGTTTTATATGTAATCCCGTTTCCAACGAAATCCTCAAAGCTATCCAAATATCCACTTTCAGATTCCACAAAAAGAGTGTTTCAAAACTGCTCTGTAAAAAGAAAGGTTCATCTCTGTTAGTTGAATACACACATCACAAACAAGTTTCTGAGAATGCTTCTGTCTAGTTTTTATGGGAAGATATTTCCTTTTTCAACATAGGCCTCAAAGCGCTCCAAATGTCCACTTCCAGGTAGTGCAGAAAGAGTGTTTCAAACCTGCTCTATAAAAGGGAATATTCAACTCTGTGACTTGAATGCAAACATCACAAAGCACTTTCTGAGAATGCTTCCGTCTAGATTTTATATGAAGATATTCCCGTTTCCAAGGAAATCTTCCTAGCTATCTAAATATCAACTTGCAGATTCTACTAAAGGAATGTTTCCAAAATGCTGTATCCACACAAAGGTTCAACTCTGTTAATTGAGGACATACAGCACAAAGAATTTTCTGAGAATGCTTCTGTCTAGATTTTATATGAAGATATCCCGTGTCCAACGAAATCCTCAAAGGTATCAAAATATCCACTTGCAGATTCTACAAAAAGAGTGCTTCAAAACTGCTCTGTCAAAAGGAAGGTTCAACTCTGTTACTTGAGTACACACATCACAAGGAAGTTTCTGAGAATGCTTCTGTCTGGTTTTTAGGAGAAGATATTTCCTTTTTCAACATAGGCCTCAAAGCGCTGCAAATGTCCACTTCCAAATATTAGAAAAAGAGTGTTTCAAACCTGCTGTATGAAGGGAAGTGTTCAACTCTATGAGTTGAATGCAAACATCACAGAGAAGTTTCTGAGAATGCTTCTGTCTTGATTTCATATGAAGATATTCCCGTTTCCAACGAAACCTTCAAAGCTATCCAAATATCCACTTGCAGATTCTACAAAAAGAGTGTTTCCAAAATGTTGTATCAAAAGAAAGGTTCAACTCTGTTAGTTGAGGACACACATCGCAAATAAGTTTCTGAGAATGCTTCTGTCTAGTTTTTATTTGAAGATATTTCCTTTCTCACCACAGGCCTGAAAGCGCTTAAAACGTCCGCTTGCAGATACTACAGAAAGAGTGTTTCAAACCTGATCTATGAAAGGGAATGTTCAGTTCTGTGACTTGAATGTAAACATCACAAAGAAGTTCCTGAGAATGCTTCTCCCTAGATTTTATATGTAATCCCGTTTCCAACGAAATCCGCAAAGCTATCCAAATATCCACTTTCAGATTCCACAAAAAGAGTGTTTCAAAACTGCTCTGTAAAAAGAAAGGTTCATCTCTGTTAGTTGAATACACACATCACAAACAAGTTTCTGAGAATGCTTCTGTCTAGTTTTTATGGGAAGATATTACCTTTTTCATCATAGGCCTCAAAGCGCTGCAAATGTCCACTTCCAAATATTACAAAAAGAGTGTTTCAAACCTGCTGTATGAAGGGAAGTGTTCAACTCTATGAGTTGAATGCAAACATCACAGAGAAGTTTCTGAGAATGCTTCCGTCTAGATTTTATATGAAGATATTCCCGTTTCCAAGGAAATCTTCCTAGCTATCTAAATATCAACTTGCAGATTCTACTAAAGGAATGTTTCCAAAATGCTGTATCCACACAAAGGTTCAACTCTGTTAATTGAGGACATACTGCACAAAGAAGTTTCTGAGAATGCTTCTGTCTAGATTTTATATGAAGATATCCCGTGTCCAACGAAATCCTCAAAGGTATCAAAATATCCACTTGCAGATTCTACAAAAAGAGTGCTTCAAAACTGCTCTGTCAAAAGGAAGGTTCAACTCTGTTACTTGAGTACACACATCACAAGGAAGTTTCTGAGAATGCTTCTGTCTGGTTTTTAGGAGAAGATATCTCCTTTTTCTCCATAGGCTTCAAAGCGCTGCCAATGTCCACTTCCAAATATTACAAAAACAGTATTTCAAACCAGCTCTATCAAAGGAAGTGTTCAACTCTATGAGTTGAATGCAAGCATCACAGAGAAGTTTGTGAGAATGCTTCCGTCTAGATTTTATGTGAAGATATTCCCGTTTCCAAGGAAATCTTCCTAGCTATCTAAATATCAACTTGCAGATTCTACTAAAGGAGTGTTTCCAAAGTGCTGTATCCGCACAAAGGTTCAACTCTGTTAATTGAGGACATACAGCACAAAGAAGTTTCTGAGAATGCTTCTGTCTAGTTTTTATTTGAAGATATTTCCTTTCTCACCACAGGCCTGAAAGCGCTTAAAACGTCCGCTTGCAGATACTACAGAAAGAGTGTTTCAAACATGCTCTATGAAAGGGAATGTTCAGTTCTGTGACTTGAATGCAAACATCACAAAGAAGTTCCTGAGAATGCTTCTCCCTAGATTTTATATGTAATCCCGTTTCCAACGAAATCCGCAAAGCTATCCAAATATCCACTTTCAGATTCCACAAAAAGAGTGTTTCAAAACTGCTCTGTAAAAAGAAAGGTTCATCTCTGTTAGTTGAATACACACATCACAAACAAGTTTCTGAGAATGCTTCTGTCTAGTTTTTATGGGAAGATATTTCCTTTTTCATCATAGGCCTCAAAGCGCTGCAAATGTCCACTTCCAAATATTACAAAAAGAGTGTTTCAAACCTGCTGTATGAAGGGAAGTGTTCAACTCTATGAGTTGAATGCAAACATCACAGAGAAGTTTCTGAGAATGCTTCTGTCTTGATTTTATATGAAGATATTCCCGTTTCCAACGAAACCTTCAAAGCTATCCAAATATCCACTTGCAGATTCTACAAAAAGAGTGTTTCCAAAATGTTGTATCAAAAGAAAGGTTCAACTCTGTTAGTTGAGGACACACATCGCAAATAAGTTTCTGAGAATGCTTCTGTCTAGTTTCTATTTGAAGATATTTCCTTTCTCACCGTAGGCCTGAAAGTGCTTGAAATGTCCGTTTGCAGATACTACAGAAAGAGTGTTTCAAACATGCTCTATGAAAGGGAATGTTCAGTTCTGTGACTTGAATGCAAGCATCACAAAGAAGCTCCTGAGAATGCTTCTGCCTAGATTTTATATGAAGATATCCCGTGTCCAACGAAATCCTCAAAGGTATCAAAATATCCACTTGCAGATTCTACAAAAAGAGTGCTTCAAAACTGCTCCGTCAAAAGGAAGGTTCAACTCTGTTATTTGAGTACACACATCACAAGGAAGTTTCTGAGAATGCTTCTGTCTGGTTTTTAGGAGAAGATATTTCCTTTTTCAACATAGGCCTCAAAGCGCTGCAAATGTCCACTTCCAAATATTACAAAAAGAGTGTTTCAAACCTGCTGTATGAAGGGAAGTGTTCAACTCTATGAGTTGAATGCAAACATCACAGAGAAGTTTCTGAGAATGCTTCTGTCTTGATTTCATATGAAGATATTCCCGTTTCCAACGAAACCTTCAAAGCTATCCAAATATCCACTTGCAGATTCTACAAAAAGAGTGTTTCCAAAATGTTGTATCAAAAGAAAGGTTCAACTCTGTTAGTTGAGGACACACATCGCAAATAAGTTTCTGAGAATGCTTCTGTCTAGTTTTTATTTGAAGATATTTCCTTTCTCACCACAGGCCTGAAAGCGCTTAAAACGTCCGCTTGCAGATACTACAGAAAGAGTGTTTCAAACATGCTCTATGAAAGGGAATGTTCAGTTCTGTGACTTGAATGCAAACATCACAAAGAAGTTCCTGAGAATGCTTCTGTCTAGATTTTATATGAAGATATCCTGTGTCCAACGAAATCCTCAAAGGTATCAAAATATCCACTTGCAGATTCTACAAAAAGAGTGCTTCAAAACTGCTCTGTCAAAAGGAAGGTTCAACTCTGTTACTTGAGTACACACATCACAAGGAAGTTTCTGAGAATGCTTCTGTCTGGTTTTTAGGAGAAGATATTTCCTTTTTCAACATAGGCCTCAAAGCGCTGCAAATGTCCACTTCCAAATATTACAAAAAGAGTGTTTCAAACCTGCTGTATGAAGGGAAGTGTTCAACTCTATGAGTTGAATGCAAACATCACAGAGAAGTTTCTGAGAATGCTTCTGTCTTGATTTCATATGAAGATATTCCCGTTTCCAACGAAACCTTCAAAGCTATCCAAATATCCACTTGCAGATTCTACAAAAAGAGTGTTTCCAAAATGTTGTATCAAAAGAAAGGTTCAACTCTGTTAGTTGAGGACACACATCGCAAATAAGTTTCTGAGAATGCTTCTGTCTAGTTTTTATTTGAAGATATTTCCTTTCTCACCACAGGCCTGAAAGCGCTTAAAACGTCCGCTTGCAGATACTACAGAAAGAGTGTTTCAAACCTGCTCTATGAAAGGGAATGTTCAGTTCTGTGACTTGAATGCAAACATCACAAAGAAGTTCCTGAGAATGCTTCTGTCTAGATTTTATATGAAGATATCCCGTGTCCAACGAAATCCTCAAAGGTATCAAAATATCCACTTGCAGATTCTACAAAAAGAGTGCTTCAAAACTGCTCTGTCAAAAGGAAGGTTCAACTGTGTTACTTGAGTACACACATCACAAGGAAGTTTCTGAGAATGCTTCTGTCTGGTTTTTAGGAGAAGATATTTCCTTTTTCAACATAGGCCTCAAAGCGCTGCAAATGTCCACTTCCAAATATTACAAAAAGAGTGTTTCAAACCTGCTGTATGAAGGGAAGTGTTCAACTCTATGAGTTGAATGCAAACATCACAGAGAAGTTTCTGAGAATGCTTCTGTCTTGATTTCATATGAAGATATTCCCGTTTCCAACGAAACCTTCAAAGCTATCCAAATATCCACTTGCAGATTCTACAAAAAGAGTGTTTCCAAAATGTTGTATCAAAAGAAAGGTTCAACTCTGTTAGTTGAGGACACACATCGCAAATAAGTTTCTGAGAATGCTTCTGTCTAGTTTTTATTTGAAGATATTTCCTTTCTCACCACAGGCCTGAAAGCGCTTAAAACGTCCGCTTGCAGATACTACAGAAAGAGTGTTTCAAACCTGCTCTATGAAAGGGAATGTTCAGTTCTGTGACTTGAATGCAAACATCACAAAGAAGTTCCTGAGAATGCTTCTCCCTAGATTTTATATGTAATCCCGTTTCCAACGAAATCCGCAAAGCTATCCAAATATCCACTTTCAGATTCCACAAAAAGAGTGTTTCAAAACTGCTCTGTAAAAAGAAAGGTTCATCTCTGTTAGTTGAATACACACATCACAAACAAGTTTCTGAGAATGCTTCTGTCTAGTTTTTATGGGAAGATATTACCTTTTTCATCATAGGCCTCAAAGCGCTGCAAATGTCCACTTCCAAATATTACAAAAAGAGTGTTTCAAACCTGCTGTATGAAGGGAAGTGTTCAACTCTATGAGTTGAATGCAAACATCACAGAGAAGTTTCTGAGAATGCTTCTGTCTTGATTTTATATGAAGATATTCCCGTTTCCAAAGAAACCTTCAAAGCTATCCAAATATCCACTTGCAGATTCTACAAAAAGAGTGTTTCCAAAATGTTGTGTCAAAAGAAAGGTTCAACTCTGTTAGTTGAGGAAACACATCGCAAACAAGTTTCTGAGAATGCTTCTGTCTAGTTTTTATTTGAAGATATTTCCTTTCTCACCATAGGCCTGAAAGCGTTTGAAATGTCCGTTTGCAGATACTACAGAAAGAGTGTTTCAAACATGCTCTATGAAAGGGAATGTTCAGTTCTGTGACTTGAATGCAAACATCACAAAGAAGTTCCTGAGAATGCTTCTCTCTAGGTTTTATATGTAATCCCGTTTCCAACGAAATCCTCAAAGCTATCCAAATATCCACTTTCAGATTCCACAAAAAGAGTGTTTCAAAACTGCTCTGTAATAAGAAAGGTTCATCCCTGTTAGTTGAATACACACATCACAAACAAGTTTCTGAGAATGCTTCTGTCTAGTTTTTATGGGAAGATATTTCCTTTTTCAACATAGGCCTCAAAGCGCTCCAAACGTCCACTTCCAGGTAGTGCAGAAAGAGTGTCTCAAACCTGGTATATAACAGGGAACATTCTACTCTGTGACTTGAATGAAAACATCACAAAGCAGTTTCTGAGAATGCTTCCGTCTAGATTTTATATGAAGATATTCCCGTTTCCAACGAAACCTTCAAAGCTATCCGAATATCCACCTGCAGATTCTACAAAAAGAGTGTTTCCAAAATGCCGTATCAAAACAAAGGTTCAACTCTGTTAGTTGAGAACACACATGGCAAATAAGTTTCTGAGAATGCTTCTGTCTAGTTTTTACTTGAAGATATTTCCTTTCTCACCATAGGCCTGAAAGCGCTTGAAACGTCAGCTTGCAGATACTACAGAAAGAGTGTTTCAAACCTGCTCTATGAAAGGGAATGTTCAGTCCTGTGACTTGAATGCAAACATCACAAAGAAGTTCCTGAGAATGCTTCTCTCTAGGTTTTATATGTAATCCCGTTTCCAACGAAATCCTCAAAGCTATCCAAATATCCACTTTCAGATTCCACAAAAAGAGTGTTTCAAAACTGCTCTGTAAAAAGAAAGGTTCATCTCTGTTAGTTGAATACACACATCACAAACAAGTTTCTGAGAATGCTTCTGTCCAGTTTTTATGGGAACATATTTCCTTTTTCAACATAGGCCTCAAAGCGCTCCAAATGTCCACTTCCAGGTAGTGCAGAAAGAGTGTTTCAAACCTGCTCTATAAAAGGGAATATTCAACTCTGTGACTTGAATGCAAACATCACAAAGCACTTTCTGAGAATGCTTCTGTCTTGATTTTATATGAAGATATTCCCGTTTCCAACGAAACCTTCAAAGCTATTCAAATATCCACTTGCAGATTCTACAAAAAGAGTGTTTCCAAAATGTTGAATCAAAAGAAAGGTTCAACTCTGTTAGTTGAGGACACACATCGCAAATAAGTTTTTGAGAATGCTTCTGTCTAGTTTTTACTTGAAGATATTTCCTTTCTCACCATAGGCCTGAAAGCGTTTGAAATGTCCGTTTGCAGATACTACAGAAAGAGTGTTTCAAACATGCTCTATGAAAGGGAATGTTCAGTTCTGTGACGTGAATGCAAACATCACAAAGAAGTTCCTGAGAATGCTTCTCTCTAGATTTTATATGTAATCCCGTTTCCAACGAAATCCTCAAAGCTATCCAAATATCCACTTTCAGATTCCACAAAAAGAGTGTTTCAAAACTGCTCTGTAAAAAGAAAGGTTCATCTCTGTTAGTTGAATACACACATCACAAACAAGTTTCTGAGAATGCTTCTGTCTAGTTTTTATGGGAAGTTATTTCCTTTTTCAACATACGCCTCAAAGCGCTCCAAACGTCCACTTCCAGGTAGTGCAGAAAGAGTGTCTCAAACCTGGTATATAACAGGGAACATTCTACTCTGTGACTTGAATGAAAACATCACAAAGCAGTTTCTGAGAATGCTTCCGTCTAGATTTTATATGAAGATATTCCCGTTTCCAACGAAACCTTCAAAGCTATCCGAATATCCACCTGCAGATTCTACAAAAAGAGTGTTTCCAAAATGCCGTATCAAAACAAAGGTTCAACTCTGTTAGTTGAGAACACACATGGCAAATAAGTTTCTGAGAATGCTTCTGTCTAGTTTTTACTTGAAGATATTTCCTTTCTCACCATAGGCCTGAAAGCGCTTGAAACGTCAGCTTGCAGATACTACAGAAAGAGTGTTTCAAACCTGCTCTATGAAAGGGAATGTTCAGTTCTGTGACTTGAATGCAAACATCACAAAGAAGTTCCTGAGAATGCTTCTCTCTAGGTTTTATATGTAATCCCGTTTCCAACGAAATCCTCAAAGCTATCCAAATATCCACTTTCAGATTCCACAAAAAGAGTGTTTCAAAACTGCTCTGTAAAAAGAAAGGTTCATCTCTGTTAGTTGAATACACACATCACAAACAAGTTTGTGAGAATGCTTCTGTCTAGTTTTTATGGGAAGATATTTCCTTTTTCATCATAGGCCTCAAAGCGCTGCAAATGTCCACTTCCAGGTAGTGCAGAAAGAGTGCCTGAAACCTGGTATATAACAGGGAAGATTCTACTCTGTGACTTGAATGAAAACATCACAAAGCAGTTTCTGAGAATGCTTCCGTCTAGATTTTATATGAAGATATTCCCGTTTCCAACGAAACCTTCAAAGCTATCCGAATATCCACCTGCAGATTCTACAAAAAGAGTGTTTCCAAAATGCCGTATCAAAACAAAGGTTCAACTCTGTTAGTTGAGAACACACATGGCAAATAAGTTTCTGAGAATGCTTCTGTCTAGTTTTTACTTGAAGATATTTCCTTTCTCACCATAGGCCTGAAAGCGCTTGAAACGTCAGCTTGCAGATACTACAGAAAGAGTGTTTCAAACCTGCTCTATGAAAGGGAATGTTCAGTCCTGTGACTTGAAGGCAAACATCACAAAGAAGTTCCTGAGAATGCTTCTCTCTAGGTTTTATATGTAATCCCTTTTCCAACGAAATCCTCAAAGCTATCCAAATATCCACTTTCAGATTCCACAAAAAGAGTGTTTCAAAACTGCTCTGTAAAAAGAAAGGTTCATCTCTGTTAGTTGAATACACACATCACAAACAAGTTTCTGAGAATGCTTCTGTCTAGTTTTTATGGGAAGATATTTCCTTTTTCAACATAGGCCTCAAAGCGCTCCAAATGTCCACTTCCAGGTAGTGCAGAAAGAGTGTTTCAAACCTGCTCTATAAAAGGGAATATTCAACTCTGTGACTTGAATGCAAACATCACAAAGCACTTTCTGAGAATGCTTCCGTCTAGATTTTATATGAAGATATTCCCGTTTCCAAGGAAATCTTCCTAGCTATCTAAATATCAACTTGCAGATTCTTCTAAAGGAATGTTTCCAAAATGCTGTATCCACACAAAGGTTCAACTCTGTTAATTGAGGACATACAGCACAAAGAAGTTTCTGAGAATGCTTCTGTCTAGATTTTATATGAAGATATCCCGTGTCCAACGAAATCCTCAAAGGTATCAAAATATCCACTTGCAGATTCTACAAAAAGAGTGCTTCAAAACTGCTCTGTCAAAAGGAAGGTTCAACTCTGTTACTTGAGTACACACATCACAAGGAAGTTTCTGAGAATGCTTCTGTCTGGTTTTTAGGAGAAGATATTTCCTTTTTCAACATAGGCCTCAAAGCGCTGCAAATGTCCACTTCCAAATATTACAAAAAGAGTGTTTCAAACCTGCTGTATGAAGGGAAGTGTTCAACTCTATGAGTTGAATGCAAACATCACAGAGAAGTTTCTGAGAATGCTTCTGTCTTGATTTCATATGAAGATATTCCCGTTTCCAACGAAACCTTCAAAGCTATCCAAATATCCACTTGCAGATTCTACAAAAAGAGTGTTTCCAAAATGTTGTATCAAAAGAAAGGTTCAACTCTGTTAGTTGAGGACACACATCGCAAATACGTTTCTGAGAATGCTTCTGTCTAGTTTTTATTTGAAGATATTTCCTTTCTCACCACAGGCCTGAAAGCGCTTAAAACGTCCGCTTGCAGATACTACAGAAAGAGTGTTTCAAACCTGCTCTATGAAAGGGAATGTTCAGTTCTGTGACTTGAATGCAAACATCACAAAGAAGTTCCTGAGAATGCTTCTCCCTAGATTTTATATGTAATCCCGTTTCCAACGAAATCCGCAAAGCTATCCAAATATCCACTTTCAGATTCCACAAAAAGAGTGTTTCAAAACTGCTCTGTAAAAAGAAAGGTTCATCTCTGTTAGTTGAATACACACATCACAAACAAGTTTCTGAGAATGCTTCTGTCTAGTTTTTATGGGAAGATATTACCTTTTTCATCATAGGCCTCAAAGCGCTGCAAATGCCCACTTCCAAATATTACAAAAAGAGTGTTTCAAGCCTGCTGTATGAAGGGAAGTGTTCAACTCTATGAGTTGAATGCAAACATCACAGAGAAGTTTTTGAGAATGCTTCTGTCTTGATTTTTTATGAAGATATTCCCGTTTCCAACGAAACCTTCAAAGCTATTCAAATATCCACTTGCAGATTCTACAAAAAGAGTGTTTCCAAAATGTTGTATCAAAAGAAAGGTTCAACTCTGTTAGTTGAGGACACACATCGCAAATAAGTTTCTGAGAACGCTTCTGTCTAGTTTTTATTTGAAGATATTTCCTTTCTCACCATAGGCCTGAAAGCGTTTGAAATGTCCGTTTGCAGATACTACAGAAAGAGTGTTTCAAACATGCTCTATGAAAGGGAATGTTCAGTTCTGTGACGTGAATGCAAACATCACAAAGAAGTTCCTGAGAATGCTTCTCTCTAGGTTTTATATGTAATCCCGTTTCCAACGAAATCCTCAAAGCTATCCAAATATCCACTTTCAGATTCCACAAAAAGAGTGTTTCAAAACTGCTCTGTAAAAAGAAAGGTTCATCTCTGTTAGTTGAATACACACATCACAAACAAGTTTCTGAGAATGCTTCCTGTCTAGTTTTTATGGGAAGATATTTCCTTTTTCATCATAGGCCTCAAAGCGCTGCAAATGTCCACTTCCAAATATTACAAAAAGAGTGTTTCAAACCTGCTGTATGAAGGGAAGTGTTCAACTCTATGAGTTGAATGCAAACATCACAGAGAAGTTTCTGAGAATGCTTCTGTCTTGATTTTATATGAAGATATTCCCGTTTCCAACGAAACCTTCAAAGCTATCCAAATATCCACTTGCAGATTCTACAAAAAGAGTGTTTCCAAAATGTTGTATCAAAAGAAAGGTTCAACTCTGTTAGTTGAGGACACACATCGCAAATAAGTTTCTGAGAATGCTTCTGTCTACTTTTTACTTGAAGATATTTCCTTTCTCACCATAGGCCTGAAAGCGTTTGAAATGTCCGTTTGCAGATACTACAGAAAGAGTGTTTCAAACATGCTCTATGAAAGGGAATGTTCAGTTCTGTGACGTGAATGCAAACATCACAAAGAAGTTCCTGAGAATGCTTCTCTCTAGGTTTTATATGTAATCCCGTTTCCAACGAAATCCTCAAAGCTATCCAAATATCCACTTTCAGATTCCACAAAAAGAGTGTTTCAAAACTGCTCTGTAGAAAGAAAGGTTCATCTCTGTTAGTTGAATACACACATCACAAACAAGTTTCTGAGAATGCTTCTGTCTAGTTTTTATGGGAAGATATTTCCTTTTTCAACATAGGCCTCAAAGCGCTCCAAACGTCCACTTCCAGGTAGTGCAGAAAGAGTGTCTCAAACCTGGTATATAACAGGGAACATTCTACTCTGTGACTTGAATGAAAACATCACAAAGCAGTTTCTGAGAATGCTTCCGTCTAGATTTTATATGAAGATATTCCCGTTTCCAACGAAACCTTCAAAGCTATCTGAATATCCACCTGCAGATTCTACAAAAAGAGTGTTTCCAAAATGCCGTATCAAAACAAAGGTTCAACTCTGTTAGTTGAGAACACGCATGGCAAATAAGTTTCTGAGAATGCTTCTGTCTAGTTTTTACTTAAAGATATTTCCTTTCTCACCATAGGCCTGAAAGCGCTTGAAACGTCAGCTTGCAGATACTACAGAAAGAGTGTTTCAAACCTGCTCTATGAAAGGGAATGTTCAGTCCTGTGACTTGAAGGCAAACATCACAAAGAAGTTCCTGAGAATGCTTCTCTCTAGGTTTTATATGTAATCCCGTTTCCAACGAAATCCTCAAAGCTATCCAAATATCCACTTTCAGATTCCACAAAAAGAGTGTTTCAAAACTGCTCTGTAAAAAGAAAGGTTCATCTCTGTTAGTTGAATACACACATCACAAACAAGTTTCTGAGAATGCTTATCTGTCTAGTTTTTATGGGAAGATATTGCCTTTTTCAACATAGGCCTCAAAGCGCTCCAAATGTCCACTTCCAGGTAGTGCAGAAAGAGTGTTTCAAACCTGCTCTATAAAAGGGAATATTCAACTCTGTGACTTGAATGCAAACATCACAAAGCACTTTCTGAGAATGCTTCCGTCTAGATTTTATATGAAGATATTCCCGTTTCCAAGGAAATCTTCCTAGCTATCTAAATATCAACTTGCAGATTCTACTAAAGGAATGTTTCCAAAATGCTGTATCCACACAAAGGTTCAACTCTGTTAATTGAGGACATACAGCACAAAGAAGTTTCTGAGAATGCTTCTGTCTAGTTTTTATTTGAAGATATTTCCTTTCTCACCACAGGCCTGAAAGCGCTTAAAACGTCGCCTTGCAGATACTACAGAAAGAGTGTTTCAAACCTGCTCTATGAAAGGGAATGTTCAGTTCTGTGACTTGAATGCAAACATCACAAAGAAGTTCCTGAGAATGCTTCTCCCTAGATTTTATATGTAATCCCGTTTCCAACGAAATCCGCAAAGCTATCCAAATATCCACTTTCAGATTCCACAAAAAGAGTGTTTCAAAACTGCTCTGTAAAAAGAAAGGTTCATCTCTGTTAGTTGAATACACACATCACAAACAAGTTTCTGAGAATGCTTCTGTCTAGTTTTTATGGGAAGATATTACCTTTTTCATCATAGGCCACAAAGCGCTGCAAAAGTCCACTTCCAAATATTACAAAAAGAGTGTTTCAAACCTGCTGTATGAAGGGAAGTGTTCAACTCTATGAGTTGAATGCAAACATCACAGAGAAGTTTCTGAGAATGCTTCCGTCTTGATTTTATATGAAGATATTCCCGTTTCCAACGAAACCTTCAAAGCTATTCAAATATCCACTTGCAGATTCTACAAAAAGAGTGTTTCCAAAATGTTGTATCAAAAGAAAGGTTCAACTCTGTTAGTTGAGGACACACATCGCAAATAAGTTTCTGAGAATGCTTCTGTCTAGTTTTTACTTGAAGATATTTCCTTTCTCACCATAGGCCTGAAAGCGTTTGAAATGTCCGTTTGCAGATACTACAGAAAGAGTGTTTCAAACATGCTCTATGAAAGGGAATGTTCAGTTCTGTGACGTGAATGCAAACATCACAAAGAAGTTCCTGAGAATGCTTCTCTCTAGATTTTATATGTAATCCCGTTTCCAACGAAATCCTCAAAGCTATCCAAATATCCACTTTCAGATTCCACAAAAAGAGTGTTTCAAAACTGCTCTGTAAAAAGAAAGGTTCATCTCTGTTAGTTGAATACACACATCACAAACAAGTTTCTGAGAATGCTTCTGTCTAGTTTTTATGGGAAGATATTTCCTTTTTCAACATAGGCCTCAAAGCGCTCCAAACGTCCACTTCCAGGTAGTGCAGAAAGAGTGTCTCAAACCTGGTGTATAACAGGGAACATTCTACTCTGTGACTTGAATGAAAACATCACAAAGCAGTTTCTGAGAATGCTTCCGTCTAGATTTTATATGAAGATATTCCCGTTTCCAACGAAACCTTCAAAGCTATCCGAATATCCACCTGCAGATTCTACAAAAAGAGTGTTTCCAAAATGCCGTATCAAAACAAAGGTTCAACTCTGTTAGTTGAGAACACACATGGCAAATAAGTTTCTGAGAATGCTTCTGTCTAGTTTTTACTTGAAGATATTTCCTTTCTCACCATAGGCCTGAAAGCGCTTGAAACGTCAGCTTGCAGATACTACAGAAAGAGTGTTTCAAACCTGCTCTATGAAAGGGAATGTTCAGTCCTGTGACTTGAAGGCAAACATCACAAAGAAGTTCCTGAGAATGCTTCTGTCTAGATTTTATATGAAGATATCCCGTGTCCAACGAAATCCTCAAAGGTATCAAAATATCCACTTGCAGATTCTACAAAAAGAGTGCTTCAAAACTGCTCTGTCAAAAGGAAGGTTCAACTCTGTTACTTGAGTACACACATCACAAGGAAGTTTCTGAGAAGGCTTCTGTCTGGTTTTTAGGAGAAGATATTTCCTTTTTCAACATAGGCCTCAAAGCGCTGCAAATGTCCACTTCCAAATATTAGAAAAAGAGTGTTTCAAACCTGCTGTATGAAGGGAAGTGTTCAACTCTATGAGTTGAATGCAAACATCACAGAGAAGTTTCTGAGAATGCTTCTGTCTTGATTTCATATGAAGATATTCCCGTTTCCAACGAAACCTTCAAAGCTATCCAAATATCCACTTGCAGATTCTACAAAAAGAGTGTTTCCAAAATGTTGTATCAAAAGAAAGGTTCAACTCTGTTAGTTGAGGACACACATCGCAAATAAGTTTCTGAGAATGCTTGTGTCTAGTTTTTACTTGAAGATATTTCCTTTCTCACCATAGGCCTGAAAGCGCATGAAACGTCAGCTTGCAGATACTACAGAAAGAGTGTTTCAAACCTGCTCTATGAAAGGGAATGTTCAGTCCTGTGACTTGAAGGCAAACATCACAAAGAAGTTCCTGAGAATGCTTCTCTCTAGATTTTATATGTAATCCCGTTTCCAACGAAATCCGCAAGCTATCCAAATATCCACTTTCAGATTCCACAAAAAGAGTGTTTCAAAACTGCTCTGTAAAAAGAAAGGTTCATCTCTGTTAGTTGAATACACACATCACAAACAAGTTTCTGAGAATGCTTCTGTCTAGTTTTTATGGGAAGATATTACCTTTTTCATCATAGGCCTCAAAGCGCTGCAAATGTCCACTTCCAAATATTACAAAAAGAGTGTTTCAAACCTGCTGTATGAAGGGAAGTGTTCAACTCTATGAGTTGAATGCAAACATCACAGAGAAGTTTCTGAGAATGCTTCTGTCTTGATTTTATATGAAGATATTCCCGTTTCCAACGAAATCTTCAAAGCTATCCAAATATCCACTTGCAGATTCCACAAAAAGAGTGTTTCCAAAATGTTGTATCAAAAGAAAGGTTCAACTCTGTTAGTTGAGGACACACATCGCAAATAAGTTTCTGAGAATGCTTCTGTCTAGTTTTTATTTGAAGATATTTCCTTTCTCACCATAGGCCTGAAAGCGTTTGAAACGTCCGTTTGCAGATACTACAGAAAGAGTGTTTCAAACATGCTCTATGAAAGGGAATGTTCAGTTCTGTGACTTGAATGCAAACATCACAAAGAAGTTCCTGAGAATGCTTCTCCCTAGATTTTATATGTAATCCCGTTTCCAACGAAATCCGCAAAGCTATCCAAATATCCACTTTCAGATTCCACAAAAAGAGTGTTTCAAAACTGCTCTGTAAAAAGAAAGGTTCATCTCTGTTAGTTGAATACACACATCACAAACAAGTTTCTGAGAATGCTTCTGTCTAGTTTTTATGGGAAGATATTACCTTTTTCATCATAGGCCTCAAAGCGCTGCAAAAGTCCACTTCCAAATATTACAAAAAGAGTGTTTCAAACCTGCTGTATGAAGGGAAGTGTTCAACTCTATGAGTTGAATGCAAACATCACAGAGAAGTTTCTGAGAATGCTTCTGTCTTGATTTTATATGAAGATATTCCCGTTTCCAACGAAACCTTCAAAGCTATCCAAATATCCACTTGCAGATTCTACAAAAAGAGTGTTTCCAAAATGTTGTATCAAAACAAAGGTTCAACTCTGTTAGTTGAGGACACACATCCCAAATAAGTTTCTGAGAATGCTTCTGTCTAGTTTTTACTTGAAGATATTTCCTTTCTCACCATAGGCCTGAAAGCGCTTGAAACGTCAGCTTGCAGATACTACAGAAAGAGTGTTTCAAACCTGCTCTATGAAACGGAATGTTCAGTTCTGTGACTTGAATGCAAACATCACAAAGAAGTTCCTGAGAATGCTTCTCTCTAGGTTTTATATATAATCCCGTTTCCAAAGAAATCCTCAAAGCTATCCAAATATCCACTTTCAGATTCCACAAAAAGAGTGTTTCAAAACTGCTCTGTAAAAAGAAAGGTTCATTTCTGTTAGTTGAATACACACATCACAAACAAGTTTCTGAGAATGCTTCTGTCTAGTTTTTATGGGAAGATATTTCCTTTTTCAACATAGGCCTCAAAGCGCTCCAAATGTCCACTTCCAGGTAGTGCAGAAAGAGTGTTTCAAACCTGCTCTATAAAAGGGAATATTCAACTCTGTGACTTGAATGCAAACATCACAAAGCACTTTCTGAGAATGCTTCCGTCTAGATTTTATATGAAGATATTCCCGTTTCCAAGGAAATCTTCCTAGCTATCTAAATATCAACTTGCAGATTCTACTAAAGGAATGTTTCCAAAATGCTGTATCCACACAAAGGTTCAACTCTGTTAATTGAGGACATACAGCACAAAGAAGTTTCTGAGAATGCTTCTGTCTAGTTTTTAGTTGAAGATATTTCCTTTCTCACCATAGGCCTGAAAGCGTTTGAAATGTCCGTTTGCAGATACTACAGAAAGAGTGTTTCAAACATGCTCTATGAAAGGGAATGTTCAGTTCTGTGACGTGAATGCAAACATCACAAAGAAGTTCCTGAGAATGCTTTCTGTCTGGTTTTTAGGAGAAGATATTTCCTTTTTCAACATAGGCCTCAAAGCGCTGCAAATGTCCACTTCCAAATATTAGAAAAAGAGTGTTTCAAACCTGCTGTATGAAGAGAAGTGTTCAACTCTATGAGTTGAATGCAAACATCACAGAGAAGTTTCTGAGAATGCTTCTGTCTTGATTTCATATGAAGATATTCCCGTTTCCAACGAAACCTTCAAAGCTATCCAAATATCCACTTGCAGATTCTACAAAAAGAGTGTTTCCAAAATGTTGTATCAAAAGAAAGGTTCAACTCTGTTAGTTGAGGACACACATCGCAAATAAGTTTCTGAGAATGCTTCTGTCTAGTTTTTATTTGAAGATATTTCCTTTCTCACCACAGGCCTGAAAGCGCTTAAAACGTCCGCTTGCAGATACTACAGAAAGAGTGTTTCAAACATGCTCTATGAAAGGGAATGTTCAGTTCTGTGACTTGAATGCAAACATCACAAAGAAGTTCCTGAGAATGCTTCTCCCTAGATTTTATATGTAATCCCGTTTCCAACGAAATCCGCAAAGCTATCCAAATATCCACTTTCAGATTCCACAAAAAGAGTGTTTCAAAACTGCTCTGTAAAAAGAAAGGTTCATCTCTGTTAGTTGAATACACACATCACAAACAAGTTTCTGAGAATGCTTCTGTCTAGTTTTTATGGGAAGATATTTCCTTCTTCATCATAGGCCTCAAAGCGCTCCAAATATCCACTTCCAGGTAGTGCAGAAAGAGTGTCTCAAACCTGGTATATAACAGGGAACATTCTACTCTGTGACTTGAATGAAAACATCACAAAGCAGTTTCTGAGAATGCTTCCGTCTAGATTTTATATGAAGATATTCCCGTTTCCAACGAAACGTTCAAAGCTATCCGAATATCCACCTGCAGATTCTACAAAAAGAGTGTTTCCAAAATGCCATATCAAAACAAAGGTTCAACTCTGTTAGTTGAGAACACACATCGCAAATAAGTTTCTGAGAATGCTTCTGTCTAGTTTTTACTTGAAGATATTTCCTTTCTCACCATAGGCCTGAAAGCGCTTGAAACGTCAGCTTGCAGATACTACAGAAAGAGTGTTTCAAACCTGCTCTATGAAAGGGAATGTTCAGTTCTGTGACTTGAATGCAAACATCACAAAGAAGTTCCTGAGAATGCTTCTGTCTAGATTTTATATGAAGATATCCCGTGTCCAACGAAATCCTCAAAGGTATCAAAATATCCACTTGCAGATTCCACAAAAAGACTGCTTCAAAACTGCTCTGTCAAAAGGAAGGTTCAACTCTGTTACTTGAGTACACACATCACAAGGAAGTTTCTGAGAATGCTTCTGTCTGGTTTTTAGGAGAAGATATTTCCTTTTTCAACATAGGCCTCAAAGCGCTGCAAATGTCCACTTCCAAATATTACAAAAAGAGTGTTTCAAACCTGCTGTATGAAGGGAAGTGTTCAACTCTATGAGTTGAATGCAAACATCACAGAGAAGTTTCTGAGAATGCTTCTGTCTTGATTTCATATGAAGATATTCCCGTTTCCAACGAAACCTTCAAAGCTATCCAAATATCCACTTGCAGATTCTACAAAAAGAGTGTTTCCAAAATGTTGTATCAAAAGAAAGGTTCAACTCTGTTAGTTGAGGACACACATCGCAAATAAGTTTCTGAGAATGCTTCTGTCTAGTTTTTATTTGAAGATATTTCCTTTCTCACCACAGGCCTGAAAGCGCTTAAAACGTCCGCTTGCAGATACTACAGAAAGAGTGTTTCAAACCTGCTCTATGAAAGGGAACGTTCAGTTCTGTGACTTGAATGCAAACATCACAAAGAAGTTCCTGAGAATGCTTCTCCCTAGATTTTATATGTAATCCCGTTTCCAACGAAATCCGCAAAGCTATCCAAATATCCACTTTCAGATTCCACAAAAAGAGTGTTTCAAAACTGCTCTGTAAAAAGAAAGGTTCATCTCTGTTAGTTGAATACACACATCACAAACAAGTTTCTGAGAATGCTTCTGTCTAGTTTTTATGGGAAGATATTACCTTTTTCATCATAGGCCTCAAAGCGCTGCAAATGTCCACTTCCAAATATTACAAAAAGAGTGTTTCAAACCTGCTGTATGAAGGGAAGTGTTCAACTCTATGAGTTGAATGCAAACATCACAGAGAAGTTTCTGAGAATGCTTCTGTCTTGATTTTATATGAAGATATTCCCGTTTCCAACGAAACCTTCAAAGCTATCCAAATATCCACTTGCAGATTCCACAAAAAGAGTGTTTCCAAAATGTTGTATCAAAAGAAAGGTTCAACTCTGTTAGTTGAGGACACACATCGCAAATAAGTTTCTGAGAATGCTTCTGTCTAGTTTTTATTTGAAGATATTTCCTTTCTCACCATAGGCCTGAAAGCGTTTGAAATGTCCGTTTGCAGATACTACAGAAAGAGTGTTTCAAACATGCTCTATGAAAGGGAATGTTCAGTTCTGTGACGTGAATGCAAACATCACAAAGAAGTTCCTGAGAATGCTTCTCTCTAGATTTTATATGTAATCCGGTTTCCAACGAAATCCTCAAAGCTATCCAAATATCCACTTTCAGATTCCACAAAAAGAGTGTTTCAAAACTGCTCTGTAAAAAGAAAGGTTCATCTCTGTTAGTTGAATACACACATCACAAACAAGTTTCTGAGAATGCTTCTGTCTAGTTTTTATGGGAAGATATTTCCTTTTTCATCATAGGCCTCAAAGCGCTGCAAATGTCCACTTCCAGGTAGTGCAGAAAGAGTGTCTCAAACCTGGTATATAACAGGGAACATTCTACTCTGTGACTTGAATGAAAACATCACAAAGCAGTTTCTGAGAATGCTTCCGTCTAGATTTTATATGAAGATATTCCCGTTTCCAACGAAACCTTCAAAGCTATCCGAATATCCACCTGCAGATTCTACAAAAAGAGTGTTTCCAAAATGCCATATCAAAACAAAGGTTCAACCCTGTTAGTTGAGAACACACATCGCAAATAAGTTTCTGAGAATGCTTCTGTCTAGTTTTTACTTGAAGATATTTCCTTTCTCACCATAGGCCTGAAAGCGCTTGAAACGTCAGCTTGCAGATACTACAGAAAGAGTGTTTCAAACCTGCTCTATGAAAGGGAATGTTCAGTTCTGTGACTTGAATGCAAACATCACAAAGAAGTTCCTGAGAATGCTTCTCTCTAGGTTTTATATGTAATCCCGTTTCCAACGAAATCCTCAAAGCTATCCAAATATCCACTTTCAGATTCCACAAAAAGAGTGTTTCAAAACTGCTCTGTAAAAAGAAAGGTTCATCTCTGTTAGTTGAATACACACATCACAAACAAGTTTCTGTGAATGCTTCTGTCTAGTTTTTATGGGAAGATATTTCGTTTTTCAACATAGGCCTCAAAGCGCTCCCAATGTCCACTTCCAGGTAGTGCAGAAAGAGTGTTTCAAACCTGCTCTATAAAAGGGAATATTCAACTCTGTGACTTGAATGCAAACATCACAAAGCACTTTCTGAGAATGCTTCCGTCTAGATTTTATATGAAGATATTCCCGTTTCCAAGGAAATCTTCCTAGCTATCTAAATATCAACTTGCAGATTCTACTAAAGGAATGTTTCCAAAATGCTGTATCCACACAAAGGTTCAACTCTGTTAATTGAGGACATACAGCACAAAGAAGTTTCTGAGAATGCTTCTGTCTAGATTTCATATGAAGATATCCCGTGTCCAACGAAATCCTCAAAGGTATCAAAATATCCACTTGCAGATTCTACAAAAAGAGTGCTTCAAAACTGCTCTGTCAAAAGGAAGGTTCAACTCTGTTACTTGAGTACACACATCACAAGGAAGTTTCTGAGAATGCTTCTGTCTGGTTTTTAGGAGAAGATATTTCCTTTTTCAACATAGGCCTCAAAGCGCTGCAAATGTCCACTTCCAAATATTAGAAAAAGAGTGTTTCAAACCTGCTGTATGAAGGGAAGTGTTCAACTCTATGAGTTGAATGCAAACATCACAGAGAAGTTTCTGAGAATGCTTCTGTCTTGATTTCATATGAAGATATTCCCGTTTCCAACGAAACCTTCAAAGCTATCCAAATATCCACTTGCAGATTCTACAAAAAGAGTGTTTCCAAAATGTTGTATCAAAAGAAAGGTTCAACTCTGTTAGTTGAGGACACACATCGCAAATAAGTTTCTGAGAATGCTTCTGTCTAGTTTTTATTTGAAGATATTTCCTTTCTCACCACAGGCCTGAAAGCGCTTAAAACGTCCGCTTGCAGATACTACAGAAAGAGTGTTTCAAACCTGCTCTATGAAAGGGAATGTTCAGTTCTGTGACTTGAATGCAAACATCACAAAGAAGTTCCTGAGAATGCTTCTCCCTAGATTTTAAATGTAATCCCGTTTCCAACGAAATCCGCAAAGCTATCCAAATATCCACTTTCAGATTCCACAAAAAGAGTGTTTCAAAACTGCTCTGTAATAAGAAAGGTTCATCCCTGTTAGTTGAATACACACATCACAAACAAGTTTCTGAGAATGCTTCTGTCTAGTTTTTATGGGAAGATATTTCCTTTTTCAACATAGGCCTCAAAGCGCTCCAAACGTCCACTTCCAGGTAGTGCAGAAAGAGTGTCTCAAACCTGGTATATAACAGGGAACATTCTACTCTGTGACTTGAATGAAAACATCACAAAGCAGTTTCTGAGAATGCTTCCGTCTAGATTTTATATGAAGATATTCCCGTTTCCAACGAAACCTTCAAAGCTATCCGAATATCCACCTGCAGATTCTACAAAAAGACTGTTTCCAAAATGCCGTATCAAAACAAAGGTTCAACTCTGTTAGTTGAGAACACACATGGCAAATAAGTTTCTGAGAATGCTTCTGTCTAGTTTTTACTTGAAGATATTTCCTTTCTCACCATAGGCCTGAAAGCGCTTGAAACGTCAGCTTGCAGATACTACAGAAAGAGTGTTTCAAACCTGCTCTATGAAAGGGAATGTTCAGTCCTGTGACTTGAAGGCAAACATCACAAAGAAGTTCCTGAGAATGCTTCTCTCTAGGTTTTATATGTAATCCCGTTTCCAACGAAATCCTCAAAGCTATCCAAATATCCACTTTCAGATTCCACAAAAAGAGTGTTTCAAAACTGCTCTGTAAAAAGAAAGGTTCATCTCTGTTAGTTGAATACACACATCACAAACAAGTTTCTGAGAATGCTTCTGTCTAGTTTTTATGGGAAGATATTTCCTTTTTCAACATAGGCCTCAAAGCGCTCCAAATGTCCACTTCCAGGTAGTGCAGAAAGAGTGTTTCAAACCTGCTCTATAAAAGGGAATATTCAACTCTGTGACTTGAATGCAAACATCACAAAGCACTTTCTGAGAATGCTTCCGTCTAGATTTTATATGAAGATATTCCCGTTTCCAAGGAAATCTTCCTAGCTATCTAAATATCAACTAGCAGATTCTACTAAAGGAATGTTTCCAAAATGCCGTATCCACACAAACGTTCAACTCTGTTAATTGAGGACATACAGCACAAAGAAGTTTCTGAGAATGCTTCTGTCTAGATTTTATATGAAGATATCCCGTGTCCAACGAAATCCTCAAAGGTATCAAAATATCCACTTGCAGATTCTACAAAAAGAGTGCTTCAAAACTGCTCTGTCAAAAGGAAGGTTCAACTCTGTTACTTGAGTACACACATCACAAGGAAGTTTCTGAGAATGCTTCTGTCTGGTTTTTAGGAGAAGATATTTCCTTTTTCAACATAGGCCTCAAAGCGCTGCAAATGTCCACTTCCAAATATTAGAAAAAGAGTGTTTCAAACCTGCTGTATGAAGGGAAGTGTTCAACTCTATGAGTTGAATGCAAACATCACAGAGAAGTTTCTGAGAATGCTTCTGTCTTGATTTCATATGAAGATATTCCCGTTTCCAACGAAACCTTCAAAGCTATCCAAATATCCACTTGCAGATTCTACAAAAAGAGTGTTTCCAAAATGTTGTATCAAAAGAAAGGTTCAACTCTGTTAGTTGAGGACACACATCGCAAATAAGTTTCTGAGAATGCTTCTGTCTAGTTTTTATTTGAAGATATTTCCTTTCTCACCACAGGCCTGAAAGCGCTTAAAACGTCCGCTTGCAGATACTACAGAAAGAGTGTTTCAAAACCTGCTCTATGAAAGGGAATGTTCAGTTCTGTGACTTGAATGCAAACATCACAAAGAAGTTCCTGAGAATGCTTCTCCCTAGATTTTATATGTAATCCCGTTTCCAACGAAATCCGCAAAGCTATCCAAATATCCACTTTCAGATTCCACAAAAAGAGTGTTTCAAAACTGCTCTGTAAAAAGAAAGGTTCATCTCTGTTAGTTGAATACACACATCACAAACAAGTTTCTGAGAATGCTTCTGTCTAGTTTTTATGGGAAGATATTTCCTTTTTCATCACAGGCCTCAAAGCGCTGCAAATGTCCACTTCCAAATATTACAAAAAGAGTGTTTCAAACCTGCTGTATGAAGGGAAGTGTTCAACTCTATGAGTTGAATGCAAACATCACAGAGAAGTTTCTGAGAATGCTTCTGTCTTGATTTTATATGAAGATATTCCCGTTTCCAACGAAACCTTCAAAGCTATTCAAATATCCACTTGCAGATTCTACAAAAAGAGTGGTTCCAAAATGTTGTATCAAAAGAAAGGTTCAACTCTGATAGTTGAGGACACACATCGCAAATAAGTTTCTGAGAATGCTTCTGTCTAGTTTTTATTTGAAGATATTTCCTTTCTCACCATAGGCCTGAAAGCGTTTGAAATGTCCGTTTGCAGATACTACAGAAAGAGTGTTTCAAACATGCTCTATGAAAGGGAATGTTCAGTTCTGTGACGTGAATGCAAACATCACAAAGAAGTTCCTGAGAATGCTTCTCTCTAGATTTTATATGTAATCCCGTTTCCAACGAAATCCTCAAAGCTATCCAAATATCCACTTTCAGATTCCACAAAAAGAGTGTTTCAAAACTGCTCTGTAAAAAGAAAGGTTCATCTCTGTTAGTTGAATACACACATCACAAACAAGTTTCTGAGAATGCTTCTGTCTAGTTTTTATGGGAAGATATTTCCTTTTTCATCATAGGCCTCAAAGCGCTGCAAATGTCCACTTCCAGGTAGTGCAGAAAGAGTGTCTCAAACCTGGTATATAACAGGGAACATTCTACTCTGTGACTTGAATGAAAACATCACAAAGCAGTTTCTGAGAATGCTTCCGTCTAGATTTTATATGAAGATATTCCCGTTTCCAACGAAACCTTCAAAGCTATCCGAATATCCACCTGCAGATTCTACAAAAAGAGTGTTTCCAAAATGCCATATCAAAACAAAGGTTCAACTCTGTTAGTTGAGAACACACATCGCAAATAAGTTTCTGAGAATGCTTCTGTCTAGTTTTTACTTGAAGATATTTCCTTTCTCACCATAGGCCTGAAAGCGCTTGAAACGTCAGCTTGCAGATACTACAGAAAGAGTGTTTCAAACCTGCTCTATGAAAGGGAATGTTCAGTTCTGTGACTTGAATGCAAACATCACAAAGAAGTTCCTGAGAATGCTTCTCTCTAGGTTTTATATGTAATCCCGTTTCCAACGAAATCCTCAAAGCTATCCAAATATCCACTTTCAGATTCCACAAAAAGAGTGTTTCAAAACTGCTCTGTAAAAAGAAAGGTTCATCTCTGTTAGTTGAATACACACATCACAAACAAGTTTCTGAGAATGCTTCTGTCTAGTTTTTATGGGAAGATATTACCTTTTTCATCATAGGCCTCAAAGCGCTGCAAATGTCCACTTCCAAATATTACAAAAAGAGTGTTTCAAACCTGCTGTATGAAGGGAAGTGTTCAACTCTATGAGTTGAATGCAAACATCACAGAGAAGTTTCTGAGAATGCTTCTGTCTTGATTTTATATGAAGATATTCCCGTTTCCAACGAAACCTTCAAAGCTATCCAAATATCCACTTGCAGATTCTACAAAAAGAGTGTTTCCAACATGTTGTATCAAAAGAAAGGTTCAACTCTGTTAGTTGAGGACACACATCGCAAATAAGTTTCTGAGAATGCTTCTGTCTAGTTTTTATTTGAAGATATTTCCTTTCTCACCATAGGCCTGAAAGCGTTTGAAATGTCCGTTTGCAGATACTACAGAAAGAGTGTTTCAAACATGCTCTATGAAAGGGAATGTTCAGTTCTGTGACTTGAATGCAAACATCACAATGAAGTTCCTGAGAATGCTTCTCTCTAGATTTTATATGTAATCCCGTTTCCAACGAAATCCTCAAAGCTATCCAAATATCCACTTTCAGATTCCACAAAAAGAGTGTTTCAAAACTGCTCTGTAAAAAGAAAGGTTCATCTCTGTTAGTTGAATACACACATCACAAACAAGTTTCTGAGAATGCTTCTGTCTAGTTTTTATGGGAAGATATTTCCTTTTTCAACATAGGCCTCAAAGCGCTCCAAACGTCCACTTCCAGGTAGTGCAGAAAGAGTGTCTCAAACCTGGTATATAACAGGGAACATTCTACTCTGTGACTTGAATGAAAACATCACAAAGCAGTTTCTGAGAATGCTTCCGTCTAGATTTTATATGAAGATATTCCCGTTTCCAACGAAACCTTCAAAGCTATCCGAATATCCACCTGCAGATTCTACAAAAAGAGTGTTTCCAAAATGCCGTATCAAAACAAAGGTTCAACTCTGTTAGTTGAGAACACACATGGCAAATAAGTTTCTGAGAATGCTTCTGTCTAGTTTTTACTTGAAGATATTTCCTTTCTCACCATAGGCCTGAAAGCGCTTGAAACGTCAGCTTGCAGATACTACAGAAAGAGTGTTTCAAACCTGCTCTATGAAAGGGAATGTTCAGTTCTGTGACTTGAATGCAAACATCACAAAGAAGTTCCTGAGAATGCTTCTCTCTAGGTTTTATATGTAATCCCGTTTCCAAAGAAATCCTCAAAGCTATCCAAATATCCACTTTCAGATTCCACAAAAAGAGTGTTTCAAAACTGCTCTGTAAAAAGAAAGGTTCATCTCTGTTAGTTGAATACACACATCACAAACAAGTTTCTGAGAATGCTTCTGTCTAGTTTTTATGGGAAGATATTTCCTTTTTCAACATAGGCCTCAAAGCGCTCCAAATGTCCACTTCCAGGTAGTGCAGAAAGAGTGTTTCAAACCTGCTCTATAAAAGGGAACATTCAACTCTGTGACTTGAATGCAAACATCACAAAGCACTTTCTGAGAATGCTTCCGTCTAGATTTTATATGAAGATATTCCCGTTTCCAAGGAACTCTTCCTAGCTATCTAAATATCAACTTGCAGATTCTACTAAAGGAATGTTTCCAAAATGCTGTATCCACACAAAGGTTCAACTCTGTTAATTGAGGACATACAGCACAAAGAAGTTTCTGAGAATGCTTCTGTCTAGATTTTATATGAAGATATCCCGTGTCCAACGAAATCCTCAATGGTATCAAAATATCCACTTGCAGATTCTACAAAAAGAGTGCTTCAAAACTGCTCTGTAAAAAGAAAGGTTCATCTCTGTTAGTTGAATACACACATCACAAACAAGTTTCTGAGAATGCTTCTGTCTGGTTTTTAGGAGAAGATATTTCCTTTTTCAACATAGGCCTCAAAGCGCTGCAAATGTCCACTTCCAAATATTACAAAAAGAGTGTTTCAAACCTGCTGTATGAAGGGAAGTGTTCAACTCTATGAGTTGAATGCAAACATCACAGAGAAGTTTCTGAGAATGCTTCTGTCTTGATTTCATATGAAGATATTCCCGTTTCCAACGAAACCTTCAAAGCTATCCAAATATCCACTTGCAGATTCTACAAAAAGAGTGTTTCCAAAATGTTGTATCAAAAGAAAGGTTCAACTCTGTTAGTTGAGGACACACATCGCAAATAAGTTTCTGAGAATGCTTCTGTCTAGTTTTTATTTGAAGATATTTCCTTTCTCACCACAGGCCTGAAAGCGCTTAAAACGTCCGCTTGCAGATACTACAGAAAGAGTGTTTCAAACATGCTCTATGAAAGGGAATGTTCAGTTCTGTGACTTGAATGCAAACATCACAAAG
The DNA here is from genome assembly GCF_000001405.40 of Homo sapiens. NCBI lineage: Eukaryota > Metazoa > Chordata > Mammalia > Primates > Hominidae > Homo > Homo sapiens. Next base: position 43,827,177 of record NC_000009.12, on the reverse strand, counting down.
AAGTTCCTGAGAATGCTTCTCCCTAGATTTTATATGTAATCCCGTTTCCAACGAAATCCGCAAAGCTATCCAAATATCCACTTTCAGATTCCACAAAAAGAGTGTTTCAAAACTGCTCTGTAAAAAGAAAGGTTCATCTCTGTTAGTTGAATACACACATCACAAACAAGTTTCTGAGAATGCTTCTGTCTAGTTTTTATGGGAAGATATTACCTTTTTCATCATAGGCCTCAAAGCGCTGCAAATGTCCACTTCCAAATATTACAAAAAGAGTGTTTCAAACCTGCTGTATGAAGGGAAGTGTTCAACTCTATGAGTTGAATGCAAACATCACAGAGAAGTTTCTGAGAATGCTTCCATCTAGATTTTATATGAAGATATTCCCGTTTCCAACGAAACCTTCAAAGCTATCCGAATATCCACCTGCAGATTCTACAAAAAGAGTGTTTCCAAAATGCCATATCAAAACAAAGGTTCAACTCTGTTAGTTGAGAACACACATCGCAAATAAGTTTCTGAGAATGCTTCTGTCTAGTTTTTACTTGAAGATATTTCCTTTCTCACCATAGGCCTGAAAGCGCTTGAAACGTCAGCTTGCAGATACTACAGAAAGAGTGTTTCAAACCTGCTCTATGAAAGGGAATGTTGAGTTCTGTGACTTGAATGCAAACATCACAAAGAAGTTCCTGAGAATGCTTCTCTCTAGGTTTTATATGTAATCCCGTTTCCAACGAAATCCTCAAAGCTATCCAAATATCCACTTTCAGATTCCACAAAAAGAGTGTTTCAAAACTGCTCTGTAAAAAGAAAGGTTCATCTCTGTTAGTTGAATACACACATCACAAACAAGTTTCTGAGAATGCTTCTGTCTAGTTTTTATGGGAAGATATTTCCTTTTTCAACATAGGCCTCAAAGCGCTCCAAACGTCCACTTCCAGGTAGTGCAGAAAGAGTGTCTCAAACCTGGTATATAACAGGGAACATTCTACTCTGTGACTTGAATGAAAACATCACAAAGCAGTTTCTGAGAATGCTTCTGTCTTGATTTTATATGAAGATATTCCCGTTTCCAACGAAACCTTCAAAGCTATCCAAATATCCACTTGCAGATTCTACAAAAAGAGTGTTTCCAAAATGCTGTATCCAAACAAAGGTTCAACTCTTTTAGTTGAGAACACACATCGCAAATAAGTTTCTGAGAATGCTTCTGTCTAGTTTTTATTTGAAGATATTTCCTTTCTCACCACAGGCCTGAAAGCGCTTAAAACGTCCGCTTGCAGATACTACAGAAAGAGTGTTTCAAACCTGCTCTATGAAAGGGAATGTTCAGTTCTGTGACTTGAATGCAAACATCACAAAGAAGTTCCTGAGAATGCTTCTCCCTAGATTTTATATGTAATCCCGTTTCCAACGAAATCCGCAAAGCTATCCAAATATCCACTTTCAGATTCCACAAAAAGAGTGTTTCAAAACTGCTCTGTAAAAAGAAAGGTTCATCTCTGTTAGTTGAATACACACATCACAAACAAGTTTCTGAGAATGCTTCTGTCTAGTTTTTATGGGAAGATATTACCTTTTTCATCACAGGCCTCAAAGCGCTGCAAATGTCCACTTCCAAATATTACAAAAAGAGTGTTTCAAACCTGCTGTATGAAGGGAAGTGTTCAACTCTATGAGTTGAATGCAAACATCACAGAGAAGTTTCTGAGAATGCTTCTGTCTTGATTTTATATGAAGATATTCCCGTTTCCAACGAAATCTTCAAAGCTATCCAAATATCCACTTGCAGATTCCACAAAAAGAGTGTTTCCAAAATGTTGTATCAAAAGAAAGGTTCAACTCTGTTAGTTGAGGACACACATCGCAAATAAGTTTCTGAGAATGCTTCTGTCTAGTTTTTATTTGAAGATATTTCCTTTCTCACCATAGGCCTGAAAGCGTTTGAAATGTCCGTTTGCAGATACTACAGAAAGAGTGTTTCAAACATGCTCTATGAAAGGGAATGTTCAGTTCTGTGACGTGAATGCAAACATCACAAAGAAGTTCCTGAGAATGCTTCTCTCTAGATTTTATATGTAATCCCGTTTCCAACGAAATCCTCAAAGCTATCCAAATATCCACTTTCAGATTCCACAAAAAGAGTGTTTCAAAACTGCTCTGTAAAAAGAAAGGTTCATCTCTGTTAGTTAAATACACACATCACAAACAAGTTTCTGAGAATGCTTCTGTCTAGTTTTTATGGGAAGATATTTCCTTTTTCAACATACGCCTCAAAGCGCTCCAAACGTCCACTTCCAGGTAGTGCAGAAAGAGTGTCTCAAACCTGGTATATAACAGGGAACAATCTACTCTGTGACTTGAATGAAAACATCACAAAGCAGTTTCTGAGAATGCTTCCGTCTAGATTTTATATGAAGATATTCCCGTTTCCAACGAAACCTTCAAAGCTATCCGAATATCCACCTGCAGATTCTACAAAAAGAGTGTTTCCAAAATGCCGTATCAAAACAAAGGTTCAACTCTGTTAGTTGAGAACACACATGGCAAATAAGTTTCTGAGAATGCTTCTGTCTAGTTTTTACTTGAAGATATTTCCTTTCTCACCATAGGCCTGAAAGCGCTTGAAACGTCCGCTTGCAGATACTACAGAAAGAGTGTTTCAAACATGCTCTATGAAAGGGAATGTTCAGTTCTGTGACTTGAATGTAAACATCACAAAGAAGTTCCTGAGAATGCTTCTCTCTAGGTTTTATATGTAATCCCGTTTCCAACGAAATCCTCAAAGCTATCCAAATATCCACTTTCAGATTCCACAAAAAGAGTGTTTCAAAACTGCTCTGTAAAAAGAAAGGTTCATCTCTGTTAGTTGAATACACACATCACAAACAAGTTTCTGAGAATGCTTCTGTCTAGTTTTTATGGGAAGATATTTCCTTTTTCAACATAGGCCTCAAAGCGCTCCAAATGTCCACTTCCAGGTAGTGCAGAAAGAGTGTTTCAAACCTGCTCTATAAAAGGGAATATTCAACTCTGTGACTTGAATGCAAACATCACAAAGCACTTTCTGAGAATGCTTCCGTCTAGATTTTATATGAAGATATTCCCGTTTCCAAGGAAATCTTCCTAGCTATCTAAATATCAACTTGCAGATTCTAATAAAGGAATGTTTCCAAAATGCTGTATCCACACAAAGGTTCAACTCTGTTAATTGAGGACATACAGCACAAAGAAGTTTCTGAGAATGCTTCTAGTCTAGATTTTATATGAAGATATCCCGTGTCCAACGAAATCCTCAAAGGTATCAAAATATCCACTTGCAGATTCTACAAAAAGAGTGCTTCAAAACTGCTCTGTCAAAAGGAAGGTTCAACTCTGTTACTTGAGTACACACATCACAAGGAAGTTTCTGAGAATGCTTCTGTCTGGTTTTTAGGAGAAGATATTTCCTTTTTCAACATAGGCCTCAAAGCGCTGCAAATGTCCACTTCCAAATATTACAAAAAGAGTGTTTCAAACCTGCTGTATGAAGGGAAGTGTTCAACTCTATGAGTTGAATGCAAACATCACAGAGAAGTTTCTGAGAATGCTTTTGTCTTGATTTCATATGAAGATATTCCCGTTTCCAACGAAACCTTCAAAGCTATCCAAATATCCACTTGCAGATTCTACAAAAAGAGTGTTTCCAAAATGTTGTATCAAAAGAAAGGTTCAACTCTGTTAGTTGAGGACACACATCGCAAATAAGTTTCTGAGAATGCTTCTGTCTAGTTTTTATTTGAAGATATTTCCTTTCTCACCACAGGCCTGAAAGCGCTTAAAACGTCCGCTTGCAGATACTACAGAAAGAGTGTTTCAAACCTGCTCTATGAAAGGGAATGTTCAGTTCTGTGACTTGAATGCAAACATCACAAAGAAGTTCCTGAGAATGCTTCTGTCTAGATTTTATATGAAGATATCCCGTTTCCAAAGAAATCCTCAAAGGTATCCAAATATCTACTTCCAGATTCTACAAAAAGACTGTTTCAAAACGGCTCTGTCAAAAGTAAGGTTCAACTCTGTTACCTGAGTACACACATCACAAGGAAGTTTCTGAGAATGCTTCTGTCTAGTTTTTATGGGAAGATATTTCCTTTTTCAACATAGGCCTCAAAGCGCTCCAAATGTCCACTTCCAGGTAGTGCAGAAAGAGTGTTTCAAACCTACTCTATAAAAGGGAATATTCAACTCTGTGACTTGAATGCAAACATCACAAAGCACTTTCTGAGAATGCTTCCGTCTAGATTTTATATGAAGATATTCCCGTTTCCAAGGAAATCTTCCTAGCTATCTAAATATCAACTTGCAGATTCTACTAAAGGAATGTTTCCAAAATGCTGTATCCACACAAAGGTTCAACTCTGTTAATTGAGGACATACAGCACAAAGAAGTTTCTGAGAATGCTTCTGTCTAGATTTTATATGAAGATATCCCGTGTCCAACGAAATCCTCAAAGGTATCAAAATATCCACTTGCAGATTCTACAAAAAGAGTGCTTCAAAACTGCTCTGTCAAAAGGAAGGTTCAACTCTGTTACTTGAGTACACACATCACAAGGAAGTTTCTGAGAATGCTTCTGTCTGGTTTTTAGGAGAAGATATTTCCTTTTTCAACATAGGCCTCAAAGCGCTGCAAATGTCCACTTCCAAATATTACAAAAAGAGTGTTTCAAACCTGCTGTATGAAGGGAAGTGTTCAACTCTATGAGTTGAATGCAAACATCACAGAGAAGTTTCTGAGAATGCTTCTGTCTTGATTTTATATGAAGATATTCCCGTTTCCAACGAAACCTTCAAAGCTATCCAAATATCCACTTGCAGATTCTACAAAAAGAGTGTTTCCAAAATGTTGTATCAAAAGAAAGGTTCAACTCTGTTAGTTGAGGACACACATCGCAAATAAGTTTCTGAGAATGCTTCTGTCTAGTTTTTATTTGAAGATATTTCCTTTCTCACCACAGGCCTGAAAGCGCTTAAAACGTCCGCTTGCAGATACTACAGAAAGAGTGTTTCAAACATGCTCTATGAAAGGGAATGTTCAGTTCTGTGACTTGAATGCAAACATCACAAAGAAGTTCCTGAGAATGCTTCTCTCTAGATTTTATATGTAATCCCGTTTCCAAGGAAATCCTCAAAGCTATCCAAATATCCACTTTCAGATTCCACAAAAAGAGTGTTTCAAAACTGCTCTGTAAAAAGAAAGGTTCATCTCTGTTAGTTGAATACACACATCAAAAACAAGTTTCTGAGAATGCTTCTGTCTAGTTTTTATGGGAAGATATTTCCTTTTTCATCATAGGCCTCAAAGCGCTGCAAATGTCCACTTCCAGGTAGTGCAGAAAGAGTGTCTCAAACCTGGTATATAACAGGGAACATTCTACTCTGTGACTTGAATGAAAACATCACAAAGCAGTTTCTGAGAATGCTTCCGTCTAGATTTTATATGAAGATATTCCCGTTTCCAACGAAACCTTCAAAGCTATCCGAATATCCACCTGCAGATTCCACAAAAAGAGTGTTTCCAAAATGCCATATCAAAACAAAGGTTCAACTCTGTTAGTTGAGAACACACATCGCAAATAAGTTTCTGAGAATGCTTCTGTCTAGTTTTTACTTGAAGATATTTCCTTTCTCACCATAGGCCTGAAAGCGCTTGAAACGTCAGCTTGCAGATACTACAGAAAGAGTGTTTCAAACCTGCTCTATGAAAGGGAATGTTCAGTTCTGTGACTTGAATGCAAACATCACAAAGAAGTTCCTGAGAATGCTTCTCTCTAGGTTTTATATGTAATCCCGTTTCCAACGAAATCCTCAAAGCTATCCAAATATCCACTTTCAGATTCCACAAAAAGAGTGTTTCAAAACTGCTCTGTAAAAAGAAAGGTTCATCTCTGTTAGTTGAATACACACATCACAAACAAGTTTCTGAGAATGCTTCTGTCTAGTTTTTATGGGAAGATATTTCCTTTTTCAACATAGGCCTCAAAGCGCTCCAAATGTCCACTTCCAGGTAGTGCAGAAAGAGTGTTTCAAACCTGCTCTATAAAAGGGAACATTCAACTCTGTGACTTGAATGCAAACATCACAAAGCACTTTCTGAGAATGCTTCCGTCTAGATTTTATATGAAGATATTCCCGTTTCCAAGGAACTCTTCCTAGCTATCTAAATGTCAACTTGCAGATTCTACTAAAGGAATGTTTCCAAAATGCTGTATCCACACAAAGGTTCAACTCTGTTAATTGAGGACATACAGCACAAAGAAGTTTCTGAGAATGCTTCTGTCTAGATTTTATATGAAGATATCCCGTGTCCAACGAAATCCTCAATGGTATCAAAATATCCACTTGCAGATTCTACAAAAAGAGTGCTTCAAAACTGCTCTGTCAAAAGGAAGGTTCAACTCTGTTACTTGAGTACACACATCACAAGGAAGTTTCTGAGAATGCTTCTGTCTAGTTTTTATGGGAAGATATTACGTTTTTCAACATAGGCCTCAAAGCGCTCCAAATGTCCACTTCCAGGTAGTGCAGAAAGAGTGTTTCAAACCTGCTCTATAAAAGGGAATATTCAACTCTGTGACTTGAATGCAAACATCACAAAGCACTTTCTGAGAATGCTTCCGTCTAGTATTTTATATGAAGATATTCCCGTTTCCAACGAAACCTTCAAAGCTATCCGAATATCCACCTGCAGATTCTACAAAAAGAGTGTTTCCAAAATGCCATATCAAAACAAAGGTTCTACCCTGTTAGTTGAGAACACACATCGCAAATAAGTTTCTGAGAATGCTTCTGTCTAGTTTTTACTTGAAGATATTTCCTTTCTCACCATAGGCCTGAAAGCGCTTGAAACGTCAGCTTGCAGATACTACAGAAAGAGTGTTTCAAACCTGCTCTATGAAAGGGAATGTTCAGTTCTGTGACTTGAATGCAAACATCACAAAGAAGTTCCTGAGAATGCTTCTCTCTAGGTTTTATATGTAATCCCGTTTCCAACGAAATCCTCAAAGCTATCCAAATATCCACTTTCAGATTCCACAAAAAGAGTGTTTCAAAACTGCTCTGTAAAAAGAAAGGTTCATCTCTGTTAGTTGAATACACACATCACAAACAAGTTTCTGAGAATGCTTCTGTCTAGTTTTTATGGGAAGATATTTCCTTTTTCAACATAGGCCTCAAAGCGCTCCAAACGTCCACTTCCAGGTAGTGCAGAAAGAGTGTCTCAAACCTGGTGTATAACAGGGAACATTCTACTCTGTGACTTGAATGAAAACATCACAAAGCAGTTTCTGAGAATGCTTCCGTCTAGATTTTATATGAAGATATTCCCGTTTCCAACGAAACCTTCAAAGCTATCCGAATATCCACCTGCAGATTCTACAAAAAGAGTGTTTCCAAAATGCCATATCAAAACAAAGGTTCAACTCTGTTAGTTGAGAACACACATCGCAAATAAGTTTCTGAGAATGCTTCTGTCTAGTTTTTATTTGAAGATATTTCCTTTCTCACCACAGGCCTGAAAGCGCTTAAAACGTCCGCTTGCAGATACTACAGAAAGAGTGTTTCAAACATGCTCTATGAAAGGGAATGTTCAGTTCTGTGACTTGAATGCAAACATCACAAAGAAGTTCCTGAGAATGCTTCTCTCTAGGTTTTATATGTAATCCCGTTTCCAACGAAATCCTCAAAGCTATCCAAATATCCACTTTCAGATTCCACAAAAAGAGTGTTTCAAAACTGCTCTGTAAAAAGAAAGGTTCATCTCTGTTAGTTGAATACACACATCACAAACAAGTTTCTGAGAATGCTTCTGTCTAGTTTTTATGGGAAGATATTACCTTTTTCATCATAGGCCTCAAAGCGCTGCAAATGTCCACTTCCAAATATTACAAAAAGAGTGTTTCAAACCTGCTGTATGAAGGGAAGTGTTCAACTCTATGAGTTGAATGCAAACATCACAGAGAAGTTTCTGAGAATGCTTCTGTCTTGATTTTATATGAAGATATTCCCGTTTCCAACGAAATCTTCAAAGCTATCCAAATATCCACTTGCAGATTCCACAAAAAGAGTGTTTCCAAAATGTTGTATCAAAAGAAAGGTTCAACTCTGTTAGTTGAGGACACACATCGTAAATAAGTTTCTGAGAATGCTTCTGTCTAGTTTTTATTTGAAGATATTTCCTTTCTCACCATAGGCCTGAAAGCGTTTGAAATGTCCGTTTGCAGATACTACAGAAAGAGTGTTTCAAACATGCTCTATGAAAGGGAATGTTCAGTTCTGTGACGTGAATGCAAACATCACAAAGAAGTTCCTGAGAATGCTTCTCTCTAGATTTTATATGTAATCCCGTTTCCAACGAAATCCTCAAAGCTATCAAAATATCCACTTTCAGATTCCACAAAAAGAGTGTTTCAAAACTGCTCTGTAAAAAGAAAGGTTCATCTCTGTTAGTTGAATACACACATCACAAACAAGTTTCTGAGAATGCTTCTGTCTAGTTTTTATGGGAAGATATTTCCTTTTTCATCATAGGCCTCAAAGCGCTGCAAATGTCCACTTCCAGGTAGTGCAGAAAGAGTGTCTCAAACCTGGTATATAACAGGGAACATTCTACTCTGTGACTTGAATGAAAACATCACAAAGCAGTTTCTGAGAATGCTTCCGTCTAGATTTTATATGAAGATATTCCCGTTTCCAACGAAACCTTCAAAGCTATCCGAATATCCACCTGCAGATTCTACAAAAAGAGTGTTTCCAAAATGCCATATCAAAACAAAGGTTCAACTCTGTTAGTTGACAACACACATCGCAAATAAGTTTCTGAGAATGCTTCTGTCTAGTTTTTACTTGAAGATATTTCCTTTCTCACCATAGGCCTGAAAGCGCTTGAAACGTCAGCTTGCAGATACTACAGAAAGAGTGTTTCAAACCTGCTCTATGAAAGGGAATGTTCAGTTCTGTGACTTGAATGCAAACATCACAAAGAAGTTCCTGAGAATGCTTCTCTCTAGGTTTTATATGTAATCCCGTTTCCAACGAAATCCTCAAAGCTATCCAAATATCCACTTTCAGATTCCACAAAAAGAGTGTTTCAAAACTGCTCTGTAAAAAGAAAGGTTCATCTCTGTTAGTTGAATACACACATCACAAACAAGTTTCTGAGAATGCTTCTGTCTAGTTTTTATGGGAAGATATTTCGTTTTTCAACATAGGCCTCAAAGCGCTCCAAATGTCCACTTCCAGGTAGTGCAGAAAGAGTGTTTCAAACCTGCTCTATAAAAGGGAACATTCTACTCTGTGACTTGAATGAAGACATCACAAAGCACTTTCTGAGAATGCTTCCGTCTAGATTTTATATGAAGATATTCCCGTTTCCAAGGAAATCTTCCTAGCTATCTAAATATCAACTTGCAGATTCTACTAAAGGAATGTTTCCAAAATGCTGTATCCACACAAAGGTTCAACTCTGTTAATTGAGGACATACAGCACAAAGAAGTTTCTGAGAATGCTTCTGTCTAGATTTTATATGAAGATATCCCGTGTCCAACGAAATCCTCAAAGGTATCAAAATATCCACTTGCAGATTCTACAAAAAGAGTGCTTCAAAACTGCTCTGTCAAAAGGAAGGTTCAACTCTGTAACTTGAGTACACACATCACAAGGGAAGTTTCTGAGAATGCTTCTGTCTGGTTTTTAGGAGAAGATATTTCCTTTTTCAACATAGGCCTCAAAGCGCTGCAAATGTCCACTTCCAAATATTAGAAAAAGAGTGTTTCAAACCTACTGTATGAAGGGAAGTGTTCAACTCTATGAGTTGAATGCAAACATCACAGAGAAGTTTCTGAGAATGCTTCTGTCTTGATTTCATATGAAGATATTCCCGTTTCCAACGAAACCTTCAAAGTTATCCAAATATCCACTTGCAGATTCTACAAAAAGAGTGTTTCCAAAATGTTGTATCAAAAGAAAGGTTCAACTCTGTTAGTTGAGGACACACATCGCAAATAAGTCTCTGAGAATGCTTCTGTCTAGTTTTTATTTGAAGATATTTCCTTTCTCACCACAGGCCTGAAAGCGCTTAAAACGTCCGCTTGCAGATACTACAGAAAGAGTGTTTCAAACCTGCTCTATGAAAGGGAATGTTCAGTTCTGTGACTTGAATGCAAACATCACAAAGAAGTTCCTGAGAATGCTTCTCCCTAGATTTTATATGTAATCCCGTTTCCAACGAAATCCGCAAAGCTATCCAAATATCCACTTTCAGATTCCACAAAAAGAGTGTTTCAAAACTGCTCTGTAAAAAGAAAGTTTCATCTCTGTTAGTTGAATACACACATCACAAACAAGTTTCTGAGAATGCTTCTGTCTAGTTTTTATGGGAAGATATTTCCTTTTTCATCATAGGCCTCAAAGCGCTGCAAATGTCCACTTCCAAATATTACAAAAAGAGTGTTTCAAACCTGCTGTATGAAGGGAAGTGTTCAACTCTATGAGTTGAATGCAAACATCACAGAGAAGTTTCTGAGAATGCTTCTGTCTTGATTTTATATGAAGATATTCCCGTTTCCAACGAAACCTTCAAAGCTATTCAAATATCCACTTGCTGATTCTACAAAAAGAGTGTTTCCAAAATGTTGTATCAAAAGAAAGGTTCAACTCTGTTAGTTGAGGACACACATCGCAAATAAGTTTCTGAGAATGCTTCTGTCTAGTTTTTACTTGAAGATATTTCCTTTCTCACCATAGTCCTGAAAGCGCTTGAAACGTCAGCTTGCAGATACTACAGAAAGAGTGTTTCAAACCTGCTCTATGAAAGGGAATGTTCAGTCCTGTGACTTGAAGGCAAACATCACAAAGGAGTTCCTGAGAATGCTTCTGTCTAGATTTTATATGAAGATATCCCGCGTCCAACGAAATCCTCAAAGGTATCAAAATATCCACTTGCAGATTCTACAAAAAGAGTGCTTCAAAACTGCTCTGTCAAAAGGAAGGTTCAACTCTGTTACTTGAGTACACACATCACAAGGAAGTTTCTGAGAATGCTTCTGTCTGGTTTTTAGGAGAAGATATTTCCTTTTTCAACATAGGCCTCAAAGCGCTGCAAATGTCCACTTCCAAATATTACAAAAAGAGTGTTTCAAACCTGCTGTATGAAGGGAAGTGTTCAACTCTATGAGTTGAATGCAAACATCACAGAGAAGTTTCTGAGAATGCTTCTGTCTTGATTTCATATGAAGATATTCCCGTTTCCAACGAAACCTTCAAAGCTATCCAAATATCCACTTGCAGATTCTACAAAAAGAGTGTTTCCAAAATGTTGTATCAAAAGAAAGGTTCAACTCTGTTAGTTGAGGACACACATCGCAAATAAGTTTCTGAGAATGCTTCTGTCTAGTTTTTATTTGAAGATATTTCCTTTCTCACCACAGGCCTGAAAGCGCTTAAAACGTCCGCTTGCAGATACTACAGAAAGAGTGTTTCAAACCTGCTCTATGAAAGGGAATGTTCAGTTCTGTGACTTGAATGCAAACATCACAAAGAAGTTCCTGAGAATGCTTCCCCCTAGATTTTATATGTAATCCCGTTTCCAACGAAATCCGCAAAGCTATCCAAATATCCACTTTCAGATTCCACAAAAAGAGTGTTTCAAAACTGCTCTGTAAAAAGAAAGGTTCATCTCTGTTAGTTGAATACACACATCACAAACAAGTTTCTGAGAATGCTTCTGTCTAGTTTTTATGGGAAGATATTTCCTTTTTCATCATAGGCCTCAAAGCGCTCCAAATGTCCACTTCCAGGTAGTGCAGAAAGAGTGTTTCAAACCTGCTCTATAAAAGGGAATATTCAACTCTGTGACTTGAATGCAAACATCACAAAGCACTTTCTGAGAATGCTTCCGTCTAGATTTTATATGAAGATATTCCCGTTTCCAAGGAAATCTTCCTAGCTATCTAAATATCAACTTGCAGATTCTACTAAAGGAATGTTTCCAAAATGCTGTATCCACACAAAGGTTCAACTCTGTTAATTGAGGACATACAGCACAAAGAAGTTTCTGAGAATGCTTCTGTCTAGATTTTATATGAAGATATCCAGTGTCTAACGAAATCCTCAAAGGTATCAAAATATCCACTTGCAGATTCTACAAAAAGAGTGCTTCAAAACTGCTCTGTCAAAATGAAGGTTCAACTCTGTTACTTGAGTACACACATCACAAGAAAGATTCTGAGAATGCTTCTGTCTGGTTTTTAGGAGAAGATATCTCCTTTTTCACCATAGGCTTCAAAGCGCTGCCAATGTCCACTTCCAAATATTACAAAAAGAGTATTTCAAACCAGCTCTATGAAAGGAAGGGTTCAACTCTATGAGTTGAATGCAAACATCACAGAGAAGTTTCTGAGAATGCTTCTGTCTAGATTTTATATGAAGATATCCCGTGTCCAACGAAATCCTCAAAGGTATCAAAATATCCACTTGTAGATTCTACAAAAAGAGTGCTTCAAAACTGCTCTGTCAAAATGAAGGTTCAACTCTGTTACTTGAGTACACACATCACAAGAAAGATTCTGAGAATGCTTCTGTCTGGTTTTTAGGGGAAGATATCTCCTTTTTCGCCATAGGCTTCAAAGCGCTGCCAATGTCCACTTCCAAATATTACAAAAAGAGTATTTCAAACCAGCTCTATGAAAGGAAGTGTTCAACTCTATGAGTTGAATGCCAACATCACAGAGAAGTTTCTGAGAATGCTTCTGTGTTGATTTTATATGAAGATATTCCCGTTTCCAACGAAACCTTCAAATCTATCCAAATATCCACCTGCAGATCCTACAAAAAGAGTGTTTCCAAAATGCTGTATCAAAACAAAGGTTCAACTCTGTTAGTTGAGAACACACATCGCAAATAAGTTTCTGAGAATGCTTCTGTCTAGTTTTTATTTGAAGATATTTCCCTTTTCACCACAGGCCTGAAAGCGCTTGAAACGTCCGCTTGGAGATACTACAGAAAGAGTGTTTCAAAGCTGCTCAATGAAAGGGAATGTTCAGTTCTGTGACTTGAATGCAAACATCACAAAGAAGTTCCTGAGAATGCTTCTCCCTAGATTTTATATGTAATCCCGTTTCCAACGAAATCCTCAAATCTATGCAAATATCCACTTTCAGATTCCACAAAAAGAGTGTTTCAAAACTGCTCTGTAAAAAGAAAGGTTCATCTCTGTTAGTTGAATACACACATCACAAACAAGTTTCTGAGAATGCTTCTGTCTAGTTTTTATGGGGAGATATTTCCTTTTTCAACATAGGCCTCAAAGCGCTCCACATGTCCACTTCCAGGTAGTGCAGAAAGAGTGTTTCAAACCTGCCCTATAAAAGGGAATATTCAACTCTGTGACTTGAATGCAAACATCACAAAGCACTTTCTGAGAATGCTTCCGTCTAGATTTTATATGAAGATATTCCCGTTTCCAAGGAAATCTTCCTAGCTATCTAAGTATCAACCTGCAGATTCTACTAAAGGAATGTTTCCAAAATGCTGTATCCACACAAAGGTTCAACTCTGTTAATTGAGGACATACAGCACAAAGAAGTTTCTGAGAATGCTTCTGTCTAGATTTTATATGAAGATATCCCGTTTCCAAAGAAATCCTCAAAGGTGTCCAAATATCTACTTCCAGATTCTACAAAAAGACTGTTTCAAAACGGCTCTGTCAAAAGTAAGGTTCAACTCTGTTACTTGAGTACACACATCACAAGGAAGTTTCTGAGAATGCTTCTGTCTGGTTTTTAGGAGAAGATATTTCCTTTTTCAACATAGGCCTCAAAGCGCTGCAAATGTCCACTTCCAAATATTACAAAAAGAGTGTTTCAAACCTGCTCTATGAAGGGAAGTGTTCACCTCTATGAGTTGAATGCAAACATCACAGAGAAGTTTCTGAGAATGCTTCTGTCTTGATTTTATATGAAGATATTCCCGTTTCCAACGAAACCTTCAAAGCTATCCAAATATCCACTTGCAGATTCTACAAAAAGAGTGTTTCCAAAATGTTGTATCAAAACAAAGGTTGAACTCTGTTAGTTGAGGACACACATCGCAAATAAGTTTCTGAGAATGCTTCTGTCTAGTTTTTATTTGAAGATATTTCCTTTCTTACCATAGGCCTGAAAGCGCTTGAAATGTCCGTTTGCAGATACTACAGAAAGAGTGTTTCAAACATGCTCTATGAAAGGGAATGTTCAGTTCTGTGACGTGAATGCAAACATCACAAAGAAGTTCCTGAGAATGCTTCTCTCTAGATTTTATATGTAATCCCGTTTCCAACGAAATCCTCAAAGCTATCCAAATATGCACTTTCAGATTCCACAAAAAGAGTGTTTCAAAACTGCTCTGTAAAAAGAAAGGTTCATCTCTGTTAGTTGAATACACACATCACAACCAAGTTTCTGAGAATGCTTCTGTCTAGTTTTTATGGGAAGATATTTCCTTTTTCATCATAGGCCTCAAAGCGCTCCAAATGTCCACTTCCAGATAGTGCAGAAAGAGTGTCTCAAACCTGGTATATAAAAGAGAACATTCTACTCTGTGACTTGAATGAAAACATCACAAAGCAGTTTCTGAGAATGCTTCCGTCTAGATTTTATATGAAGATATTCCCGTTTCCAACGAAACCTTCAAAGCTATCCGAATATCCACCTGCAGATTCTACAAAAAGAGTGTTTCCAAAATGCCGTATCAAAACAAAGGTTCAACTCTGTTAGTTGAGAACACACATGGCAAATAAGTTTCTGAGAATGCTTCTGTCTAGTTTTTACTTGAAGATATTTCCTTTCTCACCATAGGCCTGAAAGCGCTTGAAACGTCCGCTTGCAGATACTACAGAAAGAGTGTTTCAAACATGCTCTATGAAAGGGAATGTTCAGTTCTGTGACTTGAATGCAAACATCACAAAGAAGTTCCTGAGAATGCTTCTCTCTAGATTTTATATGTAATCCCGTTTCCAACGAAATCCTCAAAGCTATCCAAATATCCACTTTCAGATTCCACAAAAAGAGTGTTTCAAAACTGCTCTGTAAAAAGAAAGGTTCATCTCTGTTAGTTGAATACACACATCACAAACAAGTTTCTGAGAATGCTTCTGTCTAGTTTTTATGGGAAGATATTTCCTTTTTCAACATAGGCCTCAAAGCGCTCCAAATGTCCACTTCCAGGTAGTGCAGAAAGAGTGTTTCAAACCTGCTCTATAAAAGGGAACATTCAACTCTGTGACTTGAATGCAAACATCACAAAGCACTTTCTGAGAATGCTTCCGTCTAGATTTTATATGAAGATATTCCCGTTTCCAAGGAAATCTTCCTAGCTATCTAAATATCAACTTGCAGATTCTACTAAAGGAATGTTTCCAAAATGCTGTATCCACACAAAGGTTCAACTCTGTTAATTGAGGACATACAGCACAAAGAAGTTTCTGAGAATGCTTCTGTCTAGATTTTATATGAAGATATCCCGTGTCCAACGAAATCCTCAAAAGTATCAAAATATCCACTTGCAGATTCTACAAAAAGAGTGCTTCAAAACTGCTCTGTCAAAAGGAAGGTTCAACTCTGTTACTTGAGTACACACATCACAAGGAAGTTTCTGAGAATGCTTCTGTCTGGTTTTTAGGAGAAGATATTTCCTTTTTCAACATAGGCCTCAAAGCGCTGCAAATGTCCACTTCCAAATGTTACAAAAAGAGTGTTTCAAACCTGCTGTATGAAGGGAAGTGTTCAACTCTATGAGTTGAATGCAAACATCACAGAGAAGTTTCTGAGAATGCTTCTGTCTTGATTTTATATGAAGATATTCCCGTTTCCAACGAAACCTTCAAAGCTATTCAAATATCCACTTGCAGATTCTACAAAAAGAGTGTTTCCAAAATGTTGTATCAAAAGAAAGGTTCAACTTTGTTAGTTGAGGACACACATCGCAAATAAGTTTCTGAGAATGCTTCTGTCTAGTTTTTATTTGAAGATATTTCCTTTCTCACCATAGGCCTGAAAGCGTTTGAAATGTCCGTTTGTAGATACTACAGAAAGAGTGTTTCAAACATGCTCTATGAAAGGGAATGTTCAGTTCTGTGACGTGAATGCAAACATCACAAAGAAGTTCCTGAGAATGCTTCTCTCTAGATTTTATATGTAATCCCGTTTCCAACGAAATCCTCAAAGCTATCCAAATATCCACTTTCAGATTCCACAAAAAGAGTGTTTCAAAACTGCTCTGTAAAAAGAAAGGTTCATCTCTGTTAGTTGAATACACACATCACAAACAAGTTTCTGAGAATGCTTCTGTCTAGTTTTTATGGGAAGATATTTCCTTTTTCATCATAGGCCTCAAAGCGCTGCAAATGTCCACTTCCAGGTAGTGCAGAAAGAGTGTCTGAAACCTGGTATATAACAGGGAAGATTCTACTCTGTGACTTGAATGAAAACATCACAAAGCAGTTTCTGAGAATGCTTCCGTCTAGATTTTATATGAAGATATTCCCGTTTCCAACGAAACCTTCAAAGCTATCCGAATATCCACCTGCAGATTCTACAAAAAGAGTGTTTCCAAAATGCCGTATCAAAACAAAGGTTCAACTCTGTTAGTTGAGGACACACATCGCAAATAAGTTTCTGAGAATGCTTCTGTCTAGTTTTTACTTGAAGATATTTCCTTTCTCACCATAGGCCTGAAAGCGCTTGAAACGTCAGCTTGCAGATACTACAGAAAGAGTGTTTCAAACCTGCTCTATGAAAGGGAATGTTCAGTCCTGTGACTTGAAGGCAAACATCACAAAGAAGTTCCTGAGAATGCTTCTCTCTAGGTTTTATATGTAATCCCGTTTCCAACGAAATCCTCAAAGCTATCCAAATATCCACTTTCAGATTCCACAAAAAGAGTGTTTCAAAACTGCTCTGTAAAAAGAAAGGTTCATCTCTGTTAGTTGAATACACACATCACAAACAAGTTTCTGAGAATGCTTCTGTCTAGTTTTTATGGGAAGATATTTCCTTTTTCATCATAGGCCTCAAAGCGCTCCAAATGTCCACTTCCAGGTAGTGCAGAAATAGTGTCTCAAACCTGGTATATAACAGGGAACATTCTACTCTGTGACTTGAATGAAAACATCACAAAGCAGTTTCTGAGAATGCTTCCGTCTAGATTTTATATGAAGATATTCCCGTTTCCAACGAAACCTTCAAAGCTATCCGAATATCCACCTGCAGATTCTACAAAAAGAGTGTTTCCAAAATGCCGTATCAAAACAAACGTTCAACTCTGTTAGTTGAGAACACACATCGCAAATAAGTTTCTGAGAATGCTTCTGTCTAGTTTTTACTTGAAGATATTTCCTTTCTCACCATAGGCCTGAAAGCGCTTGAAACGTCAGCTTGCAGATACTACAGAAAGAGTGTTTCAAACCTGCTCTATGAAAGGGAATGTTCAGTTCTGTGACTTGAATGCAAACATCACAAAGAAGTTCCTGAGAATGCTTCTCTCTAGGTTTTATATGTAATCCCGTTTCCAACGAAATCCTCAAAGCTATCCAAATATCCACTTTCAGATTCCACAAAAAGAGTGTTTCAAAACTGCTCTGTAAAAAGAAAGGTTCATCTCTGTTAGTTGAATACACACATCACAAGTTTCTGAGAATGCTTCTGTCTAGTTTTTATGGGAAGATATTTCCTTTTTCAACATAGGCCTCAAAGCGCTCCAAACGTCCACTTCCAGGTAGTGCAGAAAGAGTGTCTCAAACCTGGTATATAACAGGGAACATTCTACTCTGTGACTTGAATGAAAACATCCCAAAGCAGTTTCTGAGAATGCTTCCGTCTAGATTTTATATGAAGATATTCCCGTTTCCAACGAAACCTTCAAAGCTATCCGAATATCCACCTGCAGATTCTACACAAAGAGTGTTTCCAAAATGCCGTATCAAAACAAAGGTTCAACTCTGTTAGTTGAGAACACACATGGCAAATAAGTTTCTGAGAATGCTTCTGTCTAGTTTTTACTTGAAGATATTTCCTTTCTCACCATAGGCCTGAAAGCGCTTGAAACGTCAGCTTGCAGATACTACAGAAAGAGTGTTTCAAACCTGCTCTATGAAAGGGAATGTTCAGTCCTGTGACTTGAAGGCAAACATCACAAAGAAGTTCCTGAGAATGCTTCTCTCTAGGTTTTATATGTAATCCCGTTTCCAACGAAATCCTCAAAGCTATCCAAATATCCACTTTCAGATTCCACAAAAAGAGTGTTTCAAAACTGCTCTGTAAAAAGAAAGGTTCATCTCTGTTAGTTGAATACACACATCACAAACAAGTTTCTGAGAATGCTTCTGTCTAGTTTTTATGGGAAGATATTTCCTTTTTCAACATAGGCCTCAAAGCGCTCCAAATGTCCACTTCCAGGTAGTGCAGAAAGAGTGTTTCAAACCTGCTCTATAAAAGGGAATATTCAACTCTGTGACTTGAATGCAAACATCACAAAGCACTTTCTGAGAATGCTTCCGTCTAGATTTTATATGAAGATATTCCCGTTTCCAAGGAAATCTTCCTAGCTATCTAAATATCAACTTGCAGATTCTACTAAAGGAATGTTTCCAAAATGCTGTATCCACACAAAGGTTCAACTCTGTTAATTGAGGACATACAGCACAAAGAAGTTTCTGAGAATGCTTCTGTCTAGATTTTATATGAAGATATCCCGTGTCCAACGAAATCCTCAAAGGTATCAAAATATCCACTTGCAGATTCTACAAAAAGAGTGCTTCAAAACTGCTCTGTCAAAAGGAAGGTTCAACTCTGTTACTTGAGTACACACATCACAAGGAAGTTTCTGAGAATGCTTCTGTCTGGTTTTTAGGAGAAGATATTTCCTTTTTCAACATAGGCCTCAAAGCGCTGCAAATGTCCACTTCCAAATATTAGAAAAAGAGTGTTTCAAACCTGCTGTATGAAGGGAAGTGTTCAACTCTATGAGTTGAATGCAAACATCACAGAGAAGTTTCTGAGAATGCTTCTGTCTTGATTTCATATGAAGATATTCCCGTTTCCAACGAAACCTTCAAAGCTATCCAAATATCCACTTGCAGATTCTACAAAAAGAGTGTTTCCAAAATGTTGTATCAAAAGAAAGGTTCAACTCTGTTAGTTGAGGACACACATCGCAAATAAGTTTCTGAGAATGCTTCTGTCTAGTTTTTATTTGAAGATATTTCCTTTCTCACCACAGGCCTGAAAGCGCTTAAAACGTCCGCTTGCAGATACTACAGAAAGAGTGTTTCAAACCTGATCTATGAAAGGGAATGTTCAGTTCTGTGACTTGAATGCAAACATCACAAAGAATTTCCTGAGAATGCTTCTCCCTAGATTTTATATGTAATCCCGTTTCCAACGAAATCCGCAAAGCTATCCAAATATCCACTTTCAGATTCCACAAAAAGAGTGTTTCAAAACTGCTCTGTAAAAACAAAGGTTCATCTCTCTTAGTTGAATACACACATCACAAACAAGTTTCTGAGAATGCTTCTGTCTAGTTTTTATGAGAAGATATTACCTTTTTCATCATAGGCCTCAAAACGCTGCAAATGTCCACTTCCAAATATTACAAAAAGAGTGTTTCAAACCTGCTGTATGAAGGGAAGTGTTCAACTACTATGAGTTGAATGCAAACATCACAGAGAAGTTTCTGAGAATGCTTTCTGTCTTGATTTTATATGAAGATATTCCCGTTTCCAACGAAACCTTCAAAGCTATTCAAATATCCACTTGCAGATTCTACAAAAAGAGTGTTTCCAAAATGTTGTATCAAAAGAAAGGTTCAACTCTGTTAGTTGAGGACACACATCGCAAATAAGTTTCTGAGAATGCTTCTGTCTAGTTTTTATTTGAAGATATTTCCTTTCTCACCATAGGCCTGAAAGCGTTTGAAATGTCCGTTTGCAGATACTACAGAAAGAGTGTTTCAAACATGCTCTATGAAAGGGAATGTTCAGTTCTGTGACGTGAATGCAAACATCACAAAGAAGTTCCTGAGAATGCTTCTCTCTAGATTTTATATGTAATCCCGTTTCCAACGAAATCCTCAAAGCTATCCAAATATCCACTTTCAGATTCCACAAAAAGAGTGTTTCAAAACTGCTCTGTAAAAAGAAAGGTTCATCTCTGTTAGTTGAATACACACATCATAAACAAGTTTCTGAGAATGCTTCCTGTCTAGTTTTTATGGGAAGATATTTCCTTTTTCATCATAGGCCTCAAAGCGCTGCAAATGTCCACTTCCAAATATTACAAAAAGAGTGTTTCAAACCTGCTGTATGAAGGGAAGTGTTCAACTCTATGAGTTGAATGCAAACATCACAGAGAAGTTTCTGAGAATGCTTCTGTCTTGATTTTATATGAAGATATTCCCGTTTCCAACGAAACCTTCAAAGCTATTCAAATATCCACTTGCAGATTCTACAAAAAGAGTGTTTCCAAAATGTTGTATCAAAAGAAAGGTTCAACTCTGTTAGTTGAGGACACACATCGCAAATAAGTTTCTGAGAATGCTTCTGTCTAGTTTTTATTTGAAGATATTTCCTTTCTCACCATAGGCCTGAAAGCGTTTGAAATGTCCGTTTGCAGATACTACAGAAAGAGTGTTTCAAACATGCTCTATGAAAGGGAATGTTCAGTTCTGTGACGTGAATGCAAACATCACAAAGAAGTTCCTGAGAATGCTTCTCTCTAGATTTTATATGTAATCCCGTTTCCAACGAAATCCTCAAAGCTATCCAAATATCCACTTTCAGATTCCACAAAAAGAGTGTTTCAAAACTGCTCTGTAGAAAGAAAGGTTCATCTCTGTTAGTTAAATACACACATCACAAACAAGTTTCTGAGAATGCTTCTGTCTAGTTTTTATGGGAAGATATTTCCTTTTTCATCATAGGCCTCAAAGCGCTGCAAATGTCCACTTCCAGGTAGTGCAGAAAGAGTGTCTCAAACCTGGTATATAACAGGGAACATTCTACTCTGTGACTTGAATGAAAACATCACAAAGCAGTTTCTGAGAATGCTTCTGTCTTGATTTCATATGAAGATATTCCCGTTTCCAACGAAACCTTCAAAGCTATCCAAATATCCACTTGCAGATTCTACAAAAAGAGTGTTTCCAAAATGTTGTATCAAAAGAAAGGTTCAACTCTGTTAGTTGAGGACACACATCGCAAGTAAGTTTCTGAGAATGCTTCTGTCTAGTTTTTATTTGAAGATATTTCCTTTCTCACCACAGGCCTGAAAGCGCTTAAAACGTCCGCTTGCAGATACTACAGAAAGAGTGTTTCAAACCTGCTCTATGAAAGGGAATGTTCAGTTCTGTGACTTGAATGCAAACATCACAAAGAAGTTCCTGAGAATGCTTCTCCCTAGATTTTATATGTAATCCCGTTTCCAACGAAATCCGCAAAGCTATCCAAATATCCACTTTCAGATTCCACAAAAAGAGTGTTTCAAAACTGCTCTGTAAAAAGAAAGGTTCATCTCTGTTAGTTGAATACACACATCACAAACAAGTTTCTGAGAATGCTTCTGTCTAGTTTTTATGGGAAGATATTACCTTTTTCATCATAGGCCTCAAAGCGCTGCAAATGTCCACTTCCAAATATTACAAAAAGAGTGTTTCAAACCTGCTGTATGAAGGGAAGTGTTCAACTCTATGAGTTGAATGCAAACATCACAGAGAAGTTTCTGAGAATGCTTCCGTCTAGATTTTATATGAAGATATTCCCGTTTCCAACGAAACCTTCAAAGCTATCCGAATATCCACCTGCAGTTTCTACAAAAAGAGTGTTTCCAAAATGCCGTATCAAAACAAAGGTTCAACTCTGTTAGTTGAGAACACACATGGCAAATAAGTTTCTGAGAAAGCTTCTGTCTAGTTTTTACTTGAAGATATTTCCTTTCTCACCATAGGCCTGAAAGCGCTTGAAACGTCAGCTTGCAGATACTACAGAAAGAGTGTTTCAAACCTGCTCTATGAAAGGGAATGTTCAGTCCTGTGACTTGAAGGCAAACATCACAAAGAAGTTCCTGAGAATGCTTCTCTCTAGGTTTTATATGTAATCCCGTTTCCAACGAAATCCTCAAAGCTATCCAAATATCCACTTTCAGATTCCACAAAAAGAGTGTTTCAAAACTGCTCTGTAAAAAGAAAGGTTCATCTCTGTTAGTTGAATACACACATCACAAACAAGTTTCTGAGAATGCTTCTGTCAAGTTTTTATGGGAAGATATTTCCTTTTTCAACATAGGCCTCAAAGCGCTCCAAATGTCCACTTCCAGGTAGTGCAGAAAGAGTGTTTCAAACCTGCTCTATAAAAGGGAATATTCAACTCTGTGACTTGAATGCAAACATCACAAAGCACTTTCTGAGAATGCTTCCGTCTAGATTTTATATGAAGATATTCCCGTTTCCAAGGAAATCTTCCTAGCTATCTAAATATCAACTTGCAGATTCTACTAAAGGAATGTTTCCAAAATGCTGTATCCACACAAAGGTTCAACTCTGTTAATTGAGGACATACAGCACAAAGAAGTTTCTGAGAATGCTTCTGTCTAGATTTTATATGAAGATATCCCGTGTCTAACGAAATCCTCAAAGGTATCAAAATATCCACTTGCAGATTCTACAAAAAGAGTGCTTCAAAACTGCTCTGTCAAAATGAAGGTTCAACTCTGTTACTTGAGTACACACATCACAAGAAAGATTCTGAGAATGCTTCTGTCTGGTTTTTAGGAGAAGATATCTCCTTTTTCACCATAGGCTTCAAACCGCTGCCAATGTCCACTTCCAAATATTACAAAAAGAGTATTTCAAACCAGCTCTATGAAAGGAAGTGTTCAACTCTATGAGTTGAATGCAAACAGAACAGAAAAGTTTCTGAGAATGCTTCTGTCTTGATTTTATATGAAGATATTCCCGTTTCCAAAGAAACCTTCACAGCTATCCAAATATCCACCTGCAGATCCTACAAAAAGAGTGTTTCCAAAATGCTGTATCAAAACAAAGGTTCAACTCTGTTAGCTGAGAACACACATCGCAAATAAGTTTCTGAGAATGCTTCTGTCTAGTTTTTATTTGAAGATATTTCCTTTTTCACCACAGGCCTGAAAGCGCTTGAAACGTCCACTTGCAGATACTACAGAAAGAGTGTTTCAAACCTGCTCTATGAAAGGGAATGTTCAGTTCTGTGACTTGAATGCAAACATCACAAAGAAGTTCCTGAGAATGCTTCTCCCTAGATTTTATATGTAATCCCGTTTCCAACGAAATCCTCAAAGCTATCCAAATATCCACTTTCAGATTCCACAAAAAGAGTGTTTCAAAACTGCTCTGTAAAAAGAAAGGTTCATCTCTGTTAGTTGAATACACACATCACAAACAAGTTTCTGAGAATGCTTCTGTCTAGTTTTTATGGGAAGATATTTCCTTTTTCAACATAGGCCTCAAAGCGCTCCAAACCTCCACTTCCAGGTAGTGCAGAAAGAGTGTCTCAAACCTGGTATATAACAGGGAACATTCTACTCTGTGACTTGAATGAAAACATCACAAAGCAGTTTCTGAGAATGCTTCTGTCTTGATTTCATATGAAGATATTCCCGTTTCCAACGAAACCTTCAAAGCTATCCAAATATCCACTTGCAGATTCTACAAAAAGAGTGTTTCCAAAATGTTGTATCAAAAGAAAGGTTCAACTCTGTTAGTTGAGGACACACATCGCAAATAAGTTTCTGAGAATGCTTCTGTCTAGTTTTTATTTGAAGATATTTCCTTTCTCACCACAGGCCTGAAAGCGCTTAAAACGTCCGCTTGCAGATACTACAGAAAGAGTGTTTCAAACATGCTCTATGAAAGGGAATG
Source organism: Homo sapiens (assembly GCF_000001405.40). Taxonomy (NCBI): domain Eukaryota; kingdom Metazoa; phylum Chordata; class Mammalia; order Primates; family Hominidae; genus Homo; species Homo sapiens. Next base: position 43,803,215 of record NC_000009.12, on the reverse strand, counting down.
TTCAGTTCTGTGACTTGAATGCAAACATCACAAAGAAGTTCCTGAGAATGCTTCTGTCTAGATTTTATATGAAGATATCCGGTTTCCAAAGAAATCCTCAAAGGTGTCCAAATATCTACTTCCAGATTCTACAAAAAGACTGTTTCAAAACGGCTCTGTCAAAAGTAAGGTTCAACTCTGTTACTTGAGTACACACATCACAAGGAAGTTTCTGAGAATGCTTCTGTCTGGTTTTTAGGAGAAGATATTTCCTTTTTCAACATAGGCCTCAAAGCGCTGCAAATGTCCACTTCCAAATATTACAAAAAGAGTGTTTCAAACCTGCTCTATGAAGGGAAGTGTTCAACTCTATGAGTTGAATGCAAACATCACAGAGAAGTTTCTGAGAATGCTTCCGTGTAGATTTTATATGAAGATATTCCCGTTTCCAAGGAAATCTTCCTAGCTATCTAAATATCAACTTGCAGATTCTACTAAAGGAATGTTTCCAAAATGCTGTATCCACACAAAGGTTCAACTCTGTTAATTGAGGACATACAGCACAAAGAAGTTTCTGAGAATGCTTCTGTCTAGATTTTATATGAAGATATCCCGTGTCCAACGAAATCCTCAAAGGTATCAAAATATCCACTTGCAGATTCTACAAAAAGAGTGCTTCAAAACTGCTCTGTCAAAAGGAAGGTTCAACTCTGTTACTTGAGTACACACATCACAAGGAAGTTTCTGAGAATGCTTCTGTCTGGTTTTTAGGAGAAGATATTTCCTTTTTCAACATAGGCCTCAAAGCGCTGCAAATGTCCACTTCCAAATATTACAAAAAGAGTGTTTCAAACCTGCTGTATGAAGGGAAGTGTTCAACTCTATGAGTTGAATGCAAACATCACAGAGAAGTTTCTGAGAATGCTTCTGTCTTGATTTTATATGAAGATATTCCCGTTTCCAACGAATCCTTCAAAGCTATCCAAATATCCACTTGCAGATTCTACAAAAAGAGTGTTTGCAAAATGCTGTATCCAAACAAAGGTTCAACTCTTTTAGTTGAGAACACACATCTCAAATAAGTTTCTGAGAATGCTTCTGTCTAGTTTTTATTTGAAGATATTTCCTTTTTCACCACAGGCCTGAAAGCGCTTGAAACGTCCGCTTGCAGATACTACAGAAAGAGTGTTTCAAACCTGCTCTATGAAAGGGAATGTTCAGTTCTGTGACTTGAATGCAAACATCACAAAGAAGTTCCTGAGAATGCTTCTCTCTAGATTTTATATGTAATCCCGTTTCCAACGAAATCCTCAAAGCTATCCAAATATCCACTTTCAGATTCCACAAAAAGAGTGTTTCAAAACTGCTCTGTAAAAAGAAAGGTTCATCTCTGTTAGTTGAATACACACATCACAAACAAGTTTCTGAGAATGCTTCTGTCTAGTTTTTATGGGAAGATATTTCCTTTTTCAACATAGGCCTCAAAGCGCTCCAAACGTCCACTTCCAGGTAGTGCAGAAAGAGTGTCTCAAACCTGGTATATAACAGGGAACATTCTACTCTGTGACTTGAATGAAAACATCACAAAGCAGTTTCTGAGAATGCTTCCGTGTAGATTTTATATGAAGATATTCCCGTTTCCAACGAAACCTTCAAAGCTATCCGAATATCCACCTGCAGATTCTACAAAAAGAGTGTTTCCAAAATGCCGTATCAAAACAAAGGTTCAACTCTGTTAGTTGAGAACACACATGGCAAATAAGTTTCTGAGAATGCTTCTGTCTAGTTTTTACTTGAAGATATTTCCTTTCTCACCATAGGCCTGAAAGCGCTTGAAACGTCAGCTTGCAGATACTACAGAAAGAGAGTTTCAAACCTGCTCTATGAAAGGGAATGTTCAGTCCTGTGACTTGAATGCAAACATCACAAAGAAGTTCCTGAGAATGCTTCTGTCTAGATTTTATATGAAGATATCCCGTGTCCAACGAAATCCTCAAAGGTATCAAAATATCCACTTGCAGATTCTACAAAAAGAGTGCTTCAAAACTGCTCTGTCAAAATGAAGGTTCAACTCTGTTACTTGAGTACACACATCACAAGGAAGTTTCTGAGAATGCTTCTGTCTGGTTTTTAGGAGAAGATATTTCCTTTTTCAACATAGGCCTCAAAGCGCTGCAAATGTCCACTTCCAAATATTACAAAAAGAGTGTTTCAAACCTGCTGTATGAAGGGAAGTGTTCAACTCTATGAGTTGAATGCAAACATCACAGAGAAGTTTCTGAGAATGCTTCTGTCTTGATTTCATATGAAGATATTCCCGTTTCCAACGAAACCTTCAAAGCTATCCAAATATCCACTTGCAGATTCTACAAAAAGAGTGTTTCCAAAATGTTGTATCAAAAGAAAGGTTCAACTCTGTTAGTTGAGGACACACATCGCAAATAAGTTTCTGAGAATGCTTCTGTCTAGTTTTTATTTGAAGATATTTCCTTTCTCACCACAGGCTTGAAAGCGCTTAAAACGTGCGCTTGCAGATACTACAGAAAGAGTGTTTCAAACCTGCTCTATGAAAGGGAATGTTCAGTTCTGTGACTTGAATGCAAACATCACAAAGAAGTTCCTGAGAATGCTTCTCTCTAGATTTTATATGTAATCCCGTTTCCAACGAAATCCTCAAAGCTATCCAAATATTCACTTTCAGATTCCACAAAAAGAGTGTTTCAAAACTGCTCTGTATAAAGAAAGGTTCATCTCTGTTAGTTGAATACACACATCACAAACAAATTTCTGAGAATGCTTCTGTCTAGTTTTTATGGGAAGATATTTCCTTTTTCATCATAGGCCTCAAAGCGCTGCAAATGTCCACTTCCAGGTAGTGCAGAAAGAGTGTCTCAAACCTCGTATATAACAGGGAACATTCTACTCTGTGACTTGAATGAAAACATCACAAAGCAGTTTCTGAGAATGCTTTCGTCTAGATTTTATATGAAGATATTCCCGTTTCCAACGAAACCTTCAAAGCTATCCGAATATCCACCTGCAGATTCTACAAAAAGAGTGTTTCCAAAATGCCGTATCAAAACAAAGGTTCAACTCTGTTAGTTGAGAACACACATCGCAAATAAGTTTGCTGAGAATGCTTCTGTCTAGTTTTTATTTGAAGATATTTCCTTTCTTACCATAGGCCTGAAAGCGCTTGAAATGTCCGTTTGCAGATACTACAGAAAGAGTGTTTCAAACATGCTCTATGAAAGGGAATGTTCAGTTCTGTGACATGAATGCAAACATCACAAAGAAGTTCCTGAGAATGCTTCTCTCTAGATTTTATATGTAATCTCGTTTCCAACGAAATCCTCAAAGCTATCCAAATATCCACTTTCAGATTCCACAAAAAGAGTGTTTCAAAACTGCTCTGTAAAAAGAAAGGTTCATCTCTGTTAGTTGAATACACACATCACAAACAAGTTTCTGAGAATGCTTCTGTCTAGTTGTTATGGGAAGATATTTCCTTTTTCATCATAGGCCTCAAAGCGCTCCAAAAGTCCACTTCCAGGTAGTGCAGAAAGAGTGTCTCAAACCTGGTATATAAAAGGGAACATTCTACTCTGTGACTTGAATGAAAACATCACAAAGCAGTTTCTGAGAATGCTTCCGTCTAGATTTTATATGAAGATATTCCCGTTTCCAACGAAACCTTCAAAGCTATCCGAATATCCACCTGCAGATTCTACAAAAAGAGTGTTTCCAAAATGCCGTATCAAAACAAAGGTTCAACTCTGTTAGTTGAGAACACACATGGCAAATAAGTTTCTGAGAATGCTTCTGTCTAGTTTTTATTTGAAGATATTTCCTTTCTCACCATAGGCCTGAAAGCGTTTGAAATGTCCGTTTGCAGATACTACAGAAAGAGTGTTTCAAACATGTTCTATGAAAGGGAATGTTCAGTTCTGTGACGTGAATGCAAACATCACAAAGAAGTTCCTGAGAATGCTTCTCTCTAGATTTTATATGTAATCCCGTTTCCAACGAAATCCTCAAAGCTATCCAAATATCCACTTTCAGATTCCACAAAAAGAGTGTTTCAAAACTGCTCTGTAAAAAGAAAGGTTCATCTCTCTTAGTTGAATACACACATCACAAACAAGTTTCTGAGAATGCTTCTGTCTAGTTTTTATGGGAAGATATTTCCTTTTTCATCATAGGCCTCAAAGCGCTGCAAATGTCCACTTCCAGGTAGTGCAGAAAGAGTGTCTCAAACCTGGTATATAACAGGGAACATTCTACTCTGTGACTTGAATGAAAACATCACAAAGCAGTTTCTGAGAATGCTTCCGTCTAGATTTTATATGAAGATATTCCCGTTTCCAACGAAACCTTCAAAGCTATCCGAATATCCACCTGCAGATTCTACAAAAAGAGTGTTTCCAAAATGCCATATCAAAACAAAGGTTCAACTCTGTTAGTTGAGAACACACATCGCAAATAAGTTTCTGAGAATGCTTCTGTCTAGTTTTTACTTGAAGATATTTCCTTTCTCACCATAGGCCTGAAAGCGCTTGAAACGTCAGCTTGCAGATACTACAGAAAGAGTGTTTCAAACCTGCTCTATGAAAGGGAATGTTCAGTCCTGTGACTTCAAGGCAAACATCACAAAGAAGTTCCTGAGAATGCTTCTGTCTAGATTTTATATGAAGATATCCCGTGTCCAACGAAATCCTCAAAGGTATCAAAATATCCACTTGCAGATTCTACAAAAAAAATGCTTCAAAACTGCTCTGTCAAAAGGAAGGTTCAACTCTGTTACTTGAGTACACACATCACAAGGAAGTTTCTGAGAATGCTTCCTGTCTGGTTTTTAGGAGAAGATATTTCCTTTTTCAACATAGGCCTCAAAGCGCTGCAAATGTCCACTTCCAAATATTAGAAAAAGAGTGTTTCAAACCTGCTGTATGAAGGGAAGTGTTCAACTCTATGAGTTGAATGCAAACATCACAGAGAAGTTTCTGAGAATGCTTCTGTCTTGATTTCATATGAAGATATTCCCGTTTCCAACGAAACCTTCAAAGCTATCCAAATATCCACTTGCAGATTCTACAAAAAGAGTGTTTCCAAAATGTTGTATCAAAAGAAAGGTTCAACTCTGTTAGTTGAGGACACACATCGCAAATAAGTTTCTGAGAATGCTTCTGTCTAGTTTTTATTTCAAGATATTTCCTTTCTCACCACAGGCCTGAAAGCGCTTAAAACGTCCGCTTGCAGATACTACAGAAAGAGTGTTTCAAACCTGCTCTATGAAAGGGAACGTTCAGTCCTGTGACTTGAATGCAAACATCACAAAGAACTTCCTGAGAATGCTTCTCTCTAGATTTTATATGTAATCCCGTTTCCAAAGAAATCCGCAAAGCTATCCAAATATCCACTTTCAGATTCCACAAAAAGAGTGTTTCAAAACTGCTCTGTAAAAAGAAAGGTTCATCTCTGTTAGTTGAATACACACATCACAAACAAGTTTCTGAGAATGCTTCTGTCCAGTTTTTATGGGAAGATATTACCTTTTTCATCATAGGCCTCAAAGCGCTGCAAATGTCCACTTCCAAATATTACAAAAAGAGTGTTTCAAACCTGCTGTATGAAGGGAAGTGTTCAACTCTATGAGTTGAATGCAAACATCACAGAGAAGTTTCTGAGAATGCTTCTGTCTTGATTTTATATGAAGATATTCCCGTTTCCAACGAAACCTTCAAAGCTATTCAAATATCCACTTGCAGATTCTACAAAAAGAGTGTTTCCAAAATGTTGTATCAAAAGAAAGGTTCAACTCTGTTAGTTGAGGACACACATCGCAAATAAGTTTCTGAGAATGCTTCTGTCTAGTTTTTACTTGAAGATATTTCCTTTCTCACCATAGGCCTGAAAGCGTTTGAAATGTCCGTTTGCAGATACTACAGAAAGAGTGTTTCAAACATGCTCTATGAGAGGGAATGTTCAGTTCTGTGACGTGAATGCAAACATCACAAAGAAGTTGCCTGAGAATGCTTTCTCTCTAGATTTTATATGTAATCCCGTTTCCAACGAAATCCTCAAAGCTATCCAAATATCCACTTTCAGATTCCACAAAAAGAGTGTTTCAAAACTGCTCTGTAAAAAGAAAGGTTCATCTCTGTTAGTTGAATACACACATCACAAACAAGTTTCTGAGAATGCTTCTGTCTAGTTTTTATGGGAAGATATTTCCTTTTTCATCATAGGCCTCAAAGCGCTGCAAATGTCCACTTCCAGGTAGTGCAGAAAGAGTGTCTCAAACCTGGTATATAACAGGGAACATTCTACTCTGTGACTTGAATGAAAACATCACAAAGCAGTTTCTGAGAATGCTTCCGTCTAGATTTTATATGAAGATATTCCCGTTTCCAAGGAAACCTTCAAAGCTTTCCGAATATCCACCTGCAGATTCTACAAAAAGAGTGTTTCCAAAATGCCATATCAAAACAAAGGTTCAACTCTGTTAGTTGAGAACACACATCGCAAATAAGTTTCTGAGAATGCTTCTGTCTAGTTTTTACTTGAAGATATTTCCTTTCTCACCATAGGCCTGAAAGCGCTTGAAACGTCAGCTTGCAGATACTACAGAAAGAGTGTTTCAAACCTGCTCTATGAAAGGGAATGTTCAGTTCTGTGACTTGAATGCAAACATCACAAAGAAGTTCCTGAGAATGCTTCTCTCTAGGTTTTATATGTAATCCCGTTTCCAACGAAATCCTCAAAGCTATCCAAATATCCACTTTCAGATTCCACAAAAAGAGTGTTTCAAAACTGCTCTGTAAAAAGAAAGGTTCATCTCTGTTAGTTGAATACACACATCACAAACAAGTTTCTGAGAATGCTTCTGTCTAATTTTTATGGGAAGATATTTCCTTTTTCAACATACGCCTCAAAGCGCTCCAAACGTCCACTTCCAGGTAGTGCAGAAAGAGTGTCTCAAACCTGGTATATAACAGGGAACATTCTACTCTGTGACTTGAATGAAAACATCACAAAGCAGTTTCTGAGAATGCTTCCGTCTAGATTTTATATGAAGATATTCCCGTTTCCAACGAAACCTTCAAAGCTATCCGAATATCCACCTGCAGATTCTACAAAAAGAGTGTTTCCAAAATGCCGTATCAAAACAAAGGTTCAACTCTGTTAGTTGAGAACACACATGGCAAATAAGTTTCTGACAATGCTTCTGTCTAGTTTTTACTTGAAGATATTTCCTTTCTCACCATAGGCCTGAAAGCGCATGAAACGTCAGCTTGCAGATACTACAGAAAGAGTTTTTCAAACCTGCTCTATGAAAGGGAATGTTCAGTCCTGTGACTTGAAGGCAAACATCACAAAGAAGTTCCTGAGAATGCTTCTCCCTAGATTTTATATGTAATCCCGTTTCCAACGAAATCCGCAAAGCTATCCAAATATCCACTTTCAGATTACACAAAAAGAGTGTTTCAAAACTGCTCTGTAAAAAGAAAGGTTCATCTCTGTTAGTTGAATACACACATCACAAACAAGTTTCTGAGAATGCTTCTGTCTAGTTTTTATGGGAAGATATTACCTTTTTCATCATAGGCCTCAAAGCGCTGCAAATGTCCACTTCCAAATATTACAAAAAGAGTGTTTCAAACCTGCTGTATGAAGGGAAGTGTTCAACTCTATGAGTTGAATGCAAACATCACAGAGAAGTTTCTGAGAATGCTTCTGTCTTGATTTTATATGAAGATATTCCCGTTTCCAACGAAATCTTCAAAGCTATCCAAATATCCACTTGCAGATTCCACAAAAAGAGTGTTTCCAAAATGTTGTATCAAAAGAAAGGTTCAACTCTGTTAGTTGAGGACACACATCGCAAATAAGTTTCTGAGAATGCTTCTGTCTAGTTTTTATTTGAAGATATTTCCTTTCTCACCATAGGCCTGAAAGCATTTGAAATGTCCGTTTGCAGATACTACAGAAAGAGTGTTTCAAACATGCTCTATGAAAGGGAATGTTCAGTTCTGTGACGTGAATGCAAACATCACAAAGAAGTTCCTGAGAATGCTTCTCTCTAGATTTTATATGTAATCCCGTTTCCAACGAAATCCTCAAAGCTATCCAAATATCCACTTTCAGATTCCACAAAAAGAGTGTTTCAAAACTGCTCTGTAAAAAGAAAGGTTCATCTCTGTTAGTTGAATACACACATCACAAACAAGTTTCTGAGAATGCTTCTGTCTAGTTTTTATGGGAAGATATTTCCTTTTTCATCATAGGCCTCAAAGCGCTCCAAATGTCCACTTCCAGATAGTGCAGAAAGTGTGTCTCAAACCTGGTATATAAAAGGGAACATTCTACTCTGTGACTTCAATGAAAACATCACAAAGCAGTTTCTGAGAATGCTTCCGTCTAGATTTTATATGAATATATTCCCGTTTCCAACGAAACATTCAAAGCTATCCGAATATCCACCTGCAGATTCTACAAAAAGAGTGTTTCCAAAATGCCGTATCAAAACAAAGGTTCAACTCTGTTAGTTGAGAACACACATGGCAAATAAGTTTCTGAGAATGCTTCTGTCTAGTTTTTATTTGAAGATATTTCCTTTCTCACCACAGGCCTGAAAGCGCTTAAAACGTCCGCTTGCAGATACTACAGAAAGAGTGTTTCAAACCTGCTCTATGAAAGGGAATGTTCAGTCCTGTGACTTGAAGGCAAACATCACAAAGAAGTTCCTGAGAGTGCTTCTGTCTAGATTTTATATGAAGATATCCCGTGTCCAACGAAATCCTCAAAGGTATCAAAATTTCCACTTGCAGATTCTACAAAAAGAGTGCTTCAAAACTGCTCTGTCAAAAGGAAGGTTCAACTCTGTTACTTGAGTACACACATCACAAGGAAGTTTCTGAGAATGCTTCTGTCTGGTTTTTAGGAGAAGATATATCCTTTTTCAACATAGGCCTCAAAGCGCTGCAAATGTCCACTTCCAAATATTAGAAAAAGAGTGTTTCAAACCTGCTGTATGAAGGGAAGTGTTCAACTCTATGAGTTGAATGCAAACATCACAGAGAAGTTTCTGAGAATGCTTCTGTCTTGATTTCATATGAAGATATTCCCGTTTCCAACGAAACCTTCAAAGCTATCCAAATATCCACTTGCAGATTCTACAAAAAGAGTGTTTCCAAAATGTTGTATCAAAAGAAAGGTTCAACTCTGTTAGTTGAGGACACACATCGCAAATAAGTTTCTGAGAATGCTTCTGTCTAGTTTTTATTTGAAGATATTTCCTTTCTCACCACAGGCCTGAAAGCGCTTAAAACGTCCGCTTGCAGATACTACAGAAAGAGTGTTTCAAACCTGCTCTATGAAAGGGAATGTTCAGTTCTGTGACTTGAATGCAAACATCACAAAGAAGTTCCTGAGAATGCTTCTCCCTAGATTTTATATGTAATCCCGTTTCCAACGAAATCCGCAAAGCTATCCAAATATCCACTATCAGATTCCACAAAAAGAGTGTTTCAAAACTGCTCTGTAAAAGGAAAGGTTCATCTCTGTTAGTTGAATACACACATCACAAACAAGTTTCTGAGAATGCTTCTGTCTAGTTTTTATGGGAAGATATTACCTTTTTCATCATAGGCCTCAAAGCGCTGCAAATGTCCACTTCCAAATATTACAAAAAGAGTGTTTCAAACCTGCTGTATGAAGGGAAGTGTTCAACTCTATGAGTTGAATGCAAACATCACAGAGAAGTTTCTGAGAATGCTTCTGTCTTGATTTTATATGAAGATATTCCCGTTTCCAAAGAAACCTTCAAAGCTATCCAAATATCCACTTGCAGATTCTACAAAAAGAGTGTTTCCAAAATGTTGTATCAAAAGAAAGGTTCAACTCTGTTAGTTGAGGAAACACATCGCAAACAAGTTTCTGAGAATGCTTCTGTCTACTTTTTATTTGAAGATATTTCCTTTCTCACCATAGGCCTGAAAGCGTTTGAAATGTCCGTTTGCAGATACTACAGAAAGAGTGTTTCAAACATGCTCTATGATAGGGAATGTTCAGTTCTGTCACTTGAATGCAAACATCACAAAGAAGTTCCTGAGAATGCTTCTCTCTAGGTTTTATATGTAATCCCGTTTCCAACGAAATCCTCAAAGCTATCCAAATATCCACTTTCAGATTCCACAAAAAGAGTGTTTCAAAACTGCTCTGTAAAAAGAAAGGTTCATCTCTGTTAGTTGAATACACACATCACAAACAAGTTTCTGAGAATGCTTCTGTCTAGTTTTTATGGGAAGATATTTCCTTTTTCAACATAGGCCTCAAAGCGCTCCAAACGTCCACTTCCAGGTAGTGCAGAAAGAGTGTCTCAAACCTGGTATATAACAGGGAACATTCTACTCTGTGACTTGAATGAAAACATCACAAAGCAGTTTCTGAGAATGCTTCCGTCTAGATTTTATATGAAGATATTCCCGTTTCCAAGGAAATCTTCCTAGCTATCTAAATATCAACTTGCATATCCTACTAAAGGAGTGTTTCCAAAATGCTGTATCCACACAAACGTTCAACTCTGTTAATTGAGGACATACAGCACAAAGAAGTTTCTGAGAATGCTTCTGTATAGTTTTTATTTGAAGATATTTCCCTTCTCACCATAGGCCTGAAAGCGTTTGAAATGTCCGTTTGCAGATACTACAGAAAGAGTGTTTCAAACATGCTCTATGAAAGGGAATGTTCAGTTCTGTGACGTGAATGCAAACATCACAAAGAAGTTCCTGAGAATGCTTCTCTCTAGATTTTATATGTAATCCCGTTTCCAACGAAATCCACAAAGCTATCCAAATATCCACTTTCAGATTCCACAAAAAGAGTGTTTCAAAACTGCTCTGTAAAAAGAAAGGTTCATCTCTGTTAGTTGAATACACACATCACAAACAAGTTTCTGAGAATGCTTCTGTCTAGTTTTTATGGGAAGATATTTCCTTTTTCATCATAGGCCTCAAAGCGCTCCAAATGTCCACTTCCAGATAGTGCAGAAAGAGTGTCTCAAACCTGGTATATAAAAGGGAACATTCTACTCTGTGACTTGAATAAAAACATCACAAAGCAGTTTCTGAGAATGCTTCCGTCTAGATTTTATATGAAGATATTCCCGTTTCCAACGAAACCTTCAAAGCTATCCGAATATCCACCTGCAGATTCTACAAAAAGAGTGTTTCCAAAATGCCGCATCAAAACAAAGGTTCAACTCTGTTAGTTGAGAACACACATGGCAAATAAGTTTCTGAGAATGCTTCTGTCTAGTTTTTACTTGAAGATATTTCCTTTCTCACCATAGGCCTGAAAGCGCTTGAAACGTCAGCTTGCAGATACTACAGAAAGAGTGTTTCAAACCTGCTCTATGAAAGGGAATGTTCAGTCCTGTGACTTGAAGGCAAACATCACAAAGAAGTTCCTGAGAATGCTTCTCTCTAGGTTTTATATGTAATCCCGTTTCCAACGAAATCCTCAAAGCTATCCAAATATCCACTTTCAGATTCCACAAAAAGAGTGTTTCAAAACTGCTCTGTAAAAAGAAAGGTTCATCTCTGTTAGTTGAATACACACATCACAAACAAGTTTCTGAGAATGCTTCTGTCTAGTTTTTATGGGAAGATATTTCCTTTTTCAACATAGGCCTCAAAGCGCTCCAAATGTCCACTTCCAGGTAGTGCAGAAAGAGTGTTTCAAACCTGCTCTATAAAAGGGAATATTCAACTCTGTGACTTGAATGCAAACATCACAAAGCACTTTCTGCGAATGCTTCCGTCTAGATTTTATATGAAGATATTCCCGTTTCCAAGGAAATCTTCCTAGCTATCTAAATATCAACTTGCAGATTCTACTAAAGGAATGTTTCCAAAATGCTGTATCCACACAAAGGTTCAACTCTGTTAATTGAGGACATACAGCACAAAGAAGTTTCTGAGAATGCTTCTGTCTAGATTTTATATGAAGATATCCCGTGTCCAACGAAATCCTCAAAGGTATCAAAATATCCACTTGCAGATTCTACAAAAAGAGTGCTTCAAAACTGCTCTGTCAAAAGGAAGGTTCAACTCTGTTACTTGAGTACACACATCACAAGGAAGTTTCTGAGAATGCTTCTGTCTGGTTTTTAGGAGAAGATATTTCCTTTTTCAACATAGGCCTCAAAGCGCTGCAAATGTCCACTTCCAAATATTAGAAAAAGAGGGTTTCAAACCTGCTGTATGAAGGGAAGTGTTCAACTCTATGAGTTGAATGCAAACATCACAGAGAAGTTTCTGAGAATGCTTCTGTCTTGATTTCATATGAAGATATTCCCGTTTCCAACGAAACCTTCAAAGCTATCCAAATATCCACTTGCAGATTCTACAAAAAGAGTGTTTCCAAAATGTTGTATCAAAAGAAAGGTTCAACTCTGTTAGTTGAGGACACACATCGCAAATAAGTTTCTGAGAATGCTTCTGTCTAGTTTTTATTTGAAGATATTTCCTTTCTCACCACAGGCCTGAAAGCGCTTAAAACGTCCGCTTGCAGATACTACAGAAAGAGTGTTTCAAACCTGCTCTATGAAAGGGAATGTTCAGTTCTGTGACTTGAATGCAAACATCACAAAGAAGTTCCTGAGAATGCTTCTCTCTAGAGTTTATATGTAATCCCGTTTCCAACGAAATCCTCAAAGCCATCCAAATATCCACTTTCAGATTCCACAAAAAGAGTGTTTCAAAACTGCTCTGTAAAAAGAAAGGTTCATCTCTGTTAGTTGAATACACACATCACAAACAAGTTTCTGAGAATGCTTCTGTCTAGTTTTTATGGGAAGATATTTCCTTTTTCAACATAGGCCTCAAAGCGCTCCAAACGTCCACTTCCGGGTAGTGCAGAAAGAGTGTCTCAAACCTGGTATATAACAGGGAACATTCTACTCTGTGACTTGAATGAAAACATCACAAAGCAGTTTCTGAGAATGCTTCCGTCTAGATTTTATATGAAGATATTCCCGTTTCCAACGAAACCTTCAAAGCTATCCGAATATCCACCTGCAGATTCTACAAAAAGAGTGTTTCCAAAATGCCGTATCAAAACAAAGGTTCAACTCTGTTAGTTGAGAACACACATGGCAAATAAGTTTCTGAGAATGCTTCTGTCTAGTTTTTACTTGAAGATATTTCCTTTCTCACCATAGGCCTGAAAGCGCTTGAAACGTCAGCTTGCAGATACTACAGAAGGAGTGTTTCAAACCTGCTCTATGAAAGGGAATGTTCAGTCCTGTGACTTGAAGGCAAACATCACAAAGAAGTTCCTGAGAATGCTTCTCTCTAGGTTTTATATGTAATCCCGTTTCCAAAGAAATCCTCAAAGCTATCCAAATATCCACTTTCAGATTCCACAAAAAGAGTGTTTCAAAACTGCTCTGTAAAAAGAAAGGTTCATCTCTGTTAGTTGAATACACACATCACAAACAAGTTTCTGTGAATGCTTCTGTCTAGTTTTTATGGGAAGATATTTCGTTTTTCAACATAGGCCTCAAAGCGCTCCAAATGTCCACTTCCAGGTAGTGCAGAAAGAGTGTTTCAAACCTGCTCTATAAAAGGGAATATTCAACTCTGTGACTTGAATGCAAACATCACAAAGCACTTTCTGAGAATGCTTCCGTCTAGATTTTATATGAAGATATTCCCGTTTCCAAGGAAATCTTCCTAGCTATCTAAATATCAACTTGCAGATTCTTCTAAAGGAATGTTTCCAAAATGCTGTATCCACACAAAGGTTCAACTCTGTTAATTGAGGACATACAGCACAAAGAAGTTTCTGAGAATGCTTCTGTCTAGATTTTATATGAAGATATCCCGTGTCCAACGAAATCCTCAAAGGTATCAAAATATCCACTTGCAGATTCTACAAAAAGAGTGCTTCAAAACTGCTCTGTCAAAAGGAAGGTTCAACTCTGTTACTTGAGTACACACATCACAAGGAAGTTTCTGAGAATGCTTCTGTCTGGTTTTTAGGAGAAGATATTTCCTTTTTCAACATAGGCCTCAAAGCGCTGCAAATGTCCACTTCCAAATATTACAAAAAGAGTGTTTCAAACCTGCTGTATGAAGGGAAGTGTTCAACTCTATGAGTTGAATGCAAACATCACAGAGAAGTTTCTGAGAATGCTTCTGTCTTGATTTCATATGAAGATATTCCCGTTTCCAACGAAACCTTCAAAGCTATCCAAATATCCACTTGCAGATTCTACAAAAAGAGTGTTTCCAAAATGTTGTATCAAAAGAAAGGTTCAACTCTGTTAGTTGAGGACACACATCGCAAATAAGTTTCTGAGAATGCTTCTGTCTAGTTTTTATTTGAAGATATTTCCTTTCTCACCACAGGCCTGAAAGCGCTTAAAACGTCCGCTTGCAGATACTACAGAAAGAGTGTTTCAAACATGCTCTATGAAAGGGAATGTTCAGTTCTGTGACTTGAATGCAAACATCACAAAGAAGTTCCTGAGAATGCTTCTCCCTAGATTTTATATGTAATCCCGTTTCCAACGAAATCCGCAAAGCTATCCAAATATCCACTTTCAGATTCCACAAAAAGAGTGTTTCAAAACTGCTCTGTAAAAAGAAAGGTTCATCTCTGTTAGTTGAATACACACATCACAAACAAGTTTCTGAGAATCCTTCTGTCTAGTTTTTATGGGAAGATATTTCCTTTTTCATCATAGGCCTCAAAGCGCTGCAAATGTCCACTTCCAAATATTACAAAAAGAGTGTTTCAAACCTGCTGTATGAAGGGAAGTGTTCAACTCTATGAGTTGAATGCAAACATCACAGAGAAGTTTCTGAGAATGCTTCTGTCTTGATTTTATATGAAGATATTCCCGTTTCCAACGAAACCTTCAAAGCTATCCAAATATCCACTTGCAGATTCTTCAAAAAGAGTGTTTCCAAAATGTTGTATCAAAAGAAAGGTTCAACTCTGTTAGTTGAGGACACACATCGCAAATAAGTTTCTGAGAATGCTTCTGTCTAGTTTTTATTTGAAGATATTTCCTTTCTCACCATAGGCCTGAAAGCGTTTGAAATGTCCGTTTGCAGATACTACAGAAAGAGTGTTTCAAACATGCTCTATGAAAGGGAATGTTCAGTTCTGTGACGTGAATGCAAACATCACAAAGAAGTTCCTGAGAATGCTTCTCTCTAGATTTTATATGTAATCCCGTTTCCAACGAAATCCTCAAAGCTATCCAAATATCCACTTTCAGATTCCACAAAAAGAGTGTTTCAAAACTGCTCTGTAAAAAGAAAGGTTCATCTCTGTTAGTTGAATACACACATCACAAACAAGTTTCTGAGAATGCTTCTGTCTAGTTTTTATGGGAAGATATTTCCTTTTTCAACATAGGCCTCAAAGCGCTCCAAACGTCCACTTCCAGGTAGTGCAGAAAGAGTGTCTCAAACCTGGTATATAACAGGGAACATTCTACTCTGTGACTTGAATGAAAACATCACAAAGCAGTTTCTGAGAATGCTTCCGTCTAGATTTTATATGAAGATATTCCCGTTTCCAACGAAACCTTCAAAGCTATCCGAATATCCACCTGCAGATTCTACAAAAAGAGTGTTTCCAAAATGCCGTATCAAAACAAAGGTTCAACTCTGTTAGTTGAGAACACACATGGCAAATAAGTTTCTGAGAATGCTTCTGTCTAGTTTTTACTTGAAGATATTTCCTTTCTCACCATAGGCCTGAAAGCGCTTGAAACGTCAGCTTGCAGATACTACAGAAAGATTGTTTCAAACCTGCTCTATGAAAGGGAATGTTCAGTCCTGTGACTTGAAGGCAAACATCACAAAGAAGTTCCTGAGAATGTTTCTCTCTAGGTTTTATATGTAATCCCGTTTCCAACGAAATCCTCAAAGCTATCCAAATATCCACTTTCAGATTCCACAAAAAGAGTGTTTCAAAACTGCTCTGTAAAAAGAAAGGTTCATCTCTGTTAGTTGAATACACACATCACAAACAAGTTTCTGAGAATGCTTCTGTCTAGTTTTTATGGGAAGATATTTCGTTTTTCAACATAGGCCTCAAAGCGCTCCAAATGTCCACTTCCAGGTAGTGCAGAAAGAGTGTTTCAAACCTGCTCTATAAAAGGGAATATTCAACTCTGTGACTTGAATGCAAACATCACAAAGCACTTTCTGAGAATGCTTCCGTCTAGATTTTATATGAAGATATTCCCGTTTCCAAGGAAATCTTCCTAGCTATCTAAATATCAACTTGCAGATTCTACTAAAGGAATGTTTCCAAAATGCTGTATCCACACAAAGGTTCAACTCTGTTAATTGAGGACATACAGCACAAAGAAGTTTCTGAGAATGCTTCTGTCTAGATTTTATATGAAGATATCCCGTGTCCAACGAAATCCTCAAAGGTATCAAAATATCCACTTGCAGATTCTACAAAAAGAGTGCTTCAAAACTGCTCTGTCAAAAGGAAGGTTCAACTCTGTTACTTGAGTACACACATCACAAGGAAGTTTCTGAGAATGCTTCTGTCTGGTTTTTAGGAGAAGATATTTCCTTTTTCAACATAGGCCTCAAAGCGCTGCAAATGTCCACTTCCAAATGTTACAAAAAGAGTGTTTCAAACCTGCTGTATGAAGGGAAGTGTTCAACTCTATGAGTTAAATGCAAACATCACAGAGAAGTTTCTGAGAATGCTTCTGTCTTGATTTTATATGAAGATATTCCCGTTTCCAACGAAACCTTCAAAGCTATTCAAATATCCACTTGCAGATTCTACAAAAAGAGTGTTTCCAAAATGTTGTATCAAAAGAAAGGTTCAACTCTGTTAGTTGAGGACACACATCGCAAATAAGTTTCTGAGAATGCTTCTGTCTAGTTTTTATTTGAAGATATTTCCTTTCTCACCATAGGCCTGAAAGCGTTTGAAATGTCCGTTTGTAGATACTACAGAAAGAGTGTTTCAAACATGCTCTATGAAAGGGAATGTTCAGTTCTGTGACGTGAATGCAAACATCACAAAGAAGTTCCTGAGAATGCTTCTCTCTAGATTTTATATGTAATCCCGTTTCCAACGAAATCCTCAAAGCTATCCAAATATCCACTTTCAGATTCCACAAAAAGAGTGTTTCAAAACTGCTCTGTAAAAAGAAAGGTTCATCTCTGTTAGTTGAATACACACATCACAAACAAGTTTCTGAGAATGCTTCTGTCTAGTTTTTATGGGAAGATATTTCCTTTTTCATCATAGGCCTCAAAGCGCTGCAAATGTCCACTTCCAGGTAGTGCAGAAAGAGTGTCTCAAACCTGGTATATAACAGGGAACATTCTACTCTGTGACTTGAATGAAAACATCACAAAGCAGTTTCTGAGAATGCTTCCGTCTAGATTTTATATGAAGATATTCCCGTTTCCAACGAAACCTTCAAAGCTATCCGAATATCCACCTGCAGATTCTACAAAAAGAGTGTTTCCAAAATGCCATATCAAAACAAAGGTTCAACTCTGTTAGTTGAGAACACACATCGCAAATAAGTTTCTGAGAATGCTTCTGTCTAGTTTTTACTTGAAGATATTTCCTTTCTCACCATAGGCCTGAAAGCGCTTGAAACGTCAGCTTGCAGATACTACAGAAAGAGTGTTTCAAACCTGCTCTATGAAAGGGAATGTTCAGTTCTGTGACTTGAATGAAAACATCACAAAGAAGTTCCTGAGAATGCTTCTCTCTAGGTTTTATATGTAATCCCGTTTCCAACGAAATCCTCAAAGCTATCCAAATATCCACTTTCAGATTCCACAAAAAGAGTGTTTCAAAACTGCTCTGTAAAAAGAAAGGTTCATCTCTGTTAGTTGAATACACACATCACAAACAAGTTTCTGAGAATGCTTCTGTCTAGTTTTTATAGGAAGATATTTCCTTTTTCAACATAGGCCTCAAAGCGCTCCAAACGTCCACTTCCAGGTAGTGCAGAAAGAGTGTCTCAAACCTGGTATATAACAGGGAACATTCTACTCTGTGACTTGAATGAAAACATCCCAAAGCAGTTTCTGAGAATGCTTCCGTCTAGATTTTATATGAAGATATTCCCGTTTCCAACGAAACCTTCAATGCTATCCGAATATCCACCTGCAGATTCTACAAAAAGAGTGTTTCCAAAATGCCGTATCAAAACAAAGGTTCAACTCTGTTAGTTGAGAACACACATGGCAAATAAGTTTCTGAGAATGCTTCTGTCTAGTTTTTACTTGAAGATATTTCCTTTCTCACCATAGGCCTGAAAGCGCTTGAAACGTCAGCTTGCAGATACTACAGAAAGAGTGTTTCAAACCTGCTCTATGAAAGGGAATGTTCAGTCCTGTGACTTGAAGGCAAACATCACAAAGAAGTTCCTGAGAATGCTTCTCTCTAGGTTTTATATGTAATCCCGTTTCCAACGAAATCCTCAAAGCTATCTAAATATCCACTTTCAGATTCCACAAAAAGAGTGTTTCAAAACTGCTCTGTAAAAAGAAAGGTTCATCTCTGTTAGTTGAATACACACATCACAAACAAGTTTCTGAGAATGCTTCTGTCTAGTTTTTATGGGAAGATATTTCCTTTTTCAACATAGGTCTCAAAGCGCTCCAAATGTCCACTTCCAGGTAGTGCAGAAAGAGTGTTTCAAACCTGCTCTATAAAAGGGAACATTCTACTCTGTGACTTGAATGAAGACATCACAAAGCACTTTCTGAGAATGCTTCCGTCTAGATTTTATATGAAGATATTCCCGTTTCCAAGGAAATCTTCCTAGCTATCTAAATATCAACTTGCAGATTCTACTAAAGGAATGTTTCCAAAATGCTGTATCCACACAAAGGTTCAACTCTGTTAATTGAGGACATACAGCACAAAGAAGTTTCTGAGAATGCTTCTGTCTAGATTTTATATGAAGATATCCCGTGTCCAACGAAATCCTCAAAGGTATCAAAATATCCACTTGCAGATTCTACAAAAAGAGTGCTTCAAAACTGCTCTGTCAAAAGGAAGGTTCAACTCTGTTACTTGAGTACACACATCACAAGGAAGTTTCTGAGAATGCTTCTGTCTGGTTTTTAGGAGAAGATATTTCCTTTTTCAACATAGGCCTCAAAGCGCTGCAAATGTCCACTTCCAAATATTAGAAAAAGAGTGTTTCAAACCTGCTGTATGAAGGGAAGTGTTCAACTCTATGAGTTGAATGCAAACATCACAGAGAAGTTTCTGAGAATGCTTCTGTCTTGATTTCATATGAAGATATTCCCGTTTCCAACGAAACCTTCAAAGCTATCCAAATATCCCCTTGCAGATTCTACAAAAAGAGTGTTTCCAAAATGTTGTATCAAAAGAAAGGTTCAACTCTGTTAGTTGAGGACACACATCGCAAATAAGTTTCTGAGAATGCTTCTGTCTAGTTTTTATTTGAAGATATTTCCTTTCTCACCACAGGCCTGAAAGCGCTTAAAACGTCCGCTTGCAGATACTACAGAAAGAGTGTTTCAAACCTGCTCTATGAAAGGGAATGTTCAGTTCTGTGACTTGAATGCAAACATCACAAAGAAGTTCCTGAGAATGCTTCTCCCTAGATTTTATATGTAATCCCGTTTCCAACGAAATCCGCAAAGCTATCCAAATATCCACTTTCAGATTCCACAAAAAGAGTGTTTCAAAACTGCTCTGTAAAAAGAAAGGTTCATCTCTGTTAGTTGAATACACACATCACAAACAAGTTTCTGAGAATGCTTCTTTCTAGTTTTTATGGGAAGATATTACCTTTTTCATCATAGGCTTCAAAGCGCTGCAAAAGTCCACTTCCAAATATTAGAAAAAGAGTGTTTCAAACCTGCTGTATGAAGGGAAGTGTTCAACTCTATGAGTTGAATGCAAACATCACAGAGAAGTTTCTGAGAATGCTTCTGTCTTGATTTTATATGAAGATATTCCCGTTTCCAACGAAACCTTCAAAGCTATCCAAATATCCACTTGCAGATTCCACAAAAAGAGTGTTTCCAAAATGTTGTATCAAAAGAAAGGTTCAACTCTGTTAGTTGAGGACACACATCGCAAATAAGTTTCTGAGAATGCTTCTGTCTAGTTTTTATTTGAAGATATTTCCTTTCTCACCATAGGCCTGAAAGCGTTTGAAATGTCCGTTTGCAGATACTACAGAAAGAGTGTTTCAAACATGCTCTATGAAAGGGAATGTTCAGTTCTGTGACGTGAATGCAAACATCACAAAGAAGTTCCTGAGAATGCTTCTCTCTAGATTTTATATGTAATCCCGTTTCCAAGGAAATCCTCAAAGCTATCCAAATATCCACTTTCAGATTCCACAAAAAGAGTGTTTCAAAACTGCTCTGTAAAAAGAAAGGTTCATCTCTGTTAGTTGAATACACACATCAAAAACAAGTTTCTGAGAATGCTTCTGTCTAGTTTTTATGGGAAGATATTTCCTTTTTCATCATAGGCCTCAAAGCGCTGCAAATGTCCACTTCCAGGTAGTGCAGAAAGAGTGTCTCAAACCTGGTATATAACAGGGAACATTCTACTCTGTGACTTGAATGAAAACATCACAAAGCAGTTTCTGAGAATGCTTCCGTCTAGATTTTATATGAAGATATTCCCGTTTCCAACGAAACCTTCAAAGCTATCCGAATATCCACCTGCAGATTCTACAAAAAGAGTGTTTCCAAAATGCCATATCAAAACAAAGGTTCAACTCTGTTAGTTGAGAACACACATCGCAAATAAGTTTCTGAGAATGCTTCTGTCTAGTTTTTACTTGAAGAAATTTCCTTTCTCACCATAGGCCTGAAAGCGCTTGAAACGTCAGCTTGCAGATACTACAGAAAGAGTGTTTCAAACCTGCTCTATGAAAGGGAATGTTCAGTTCTGTGACTTGAATGCAAACATCGCAAAGAAGTTCCTGAGAATGCTTCTCTCTAGGTTTTATATGTAATCCCGTTTCCAACGAAATCCGCAAAGCTATCCAAATATCCACTTTCAGATTCCACAAAAAGAGTGTTTCAAAACTGCTCTGTAAAAAGAAAGGTTCATCTCTGTTAGTTGAATACACACATCACAAACAAGTTTCTGAGAATGCTTCTGTCTAGTTTTTACGGGAAGATATTACCTTTTTCATCATAGGCCTCAAAGAGCTGCAAATGTCCACTTCCAAATATTACAAAAAGAGTGTTTCAAACCTGCTGTATGAAGGGAAGTGTTCAACTCTATGAGTTGAATGCAAACATCACAGAGAAGTTTCTGAGAATGCTTCTGTCTTGATTTTATATGAAGATATTCCCGTTTCCAACGAAACCTTCAAAGCTATTCAAATATCCACTTGCAGATTCTACAAAAAGAGTGTTTCCAAAATGTTGTATCAAAAGAAAGGTTCAACTCTGTTAGTTGAGGACACACATCGCAAATAAGTTTCTGAGAATGCTTCTGTCTAGTTTTTATTTGAAGATATTTCCTTTCTCACCACAGGCCTGAAAGCGTTTGAAATGTCCGTTTGCAGATACTACAGAAAGAGTGTTTCAAACATGCTCTATGAAAGGGAATGTTCAGTTCTGTGACGTGAATGCAAACATCACAAAGAAGTTCCTGAGAATGCTTCTCTCTAGATTTTATATGTAATCCCGTTTCCAACGAAATCCTCAAAGCTATCCAAATATCCACTTTCAGATTCCACAAAAAGAGTGTTTCAAAACTGCTCTGTAAAAAGAAAGGTTCATCTCTGTTAGTTGAATACACACATCACAAACAAGTTTCTGAGAATGCTTCTGTCTAGTTTTTATGGGAAGATATTTCCTTTTTCATCATAGGCCTCAAAGCGCTGCAAATGTCCACTTCCAGGTAGTGCAGAAAGAGTGTCTCAAACCTGGTATATAACAGGGAACATTCTACTCTGTGACTTGAATGAAAACATCACAAAGCAGTTTCTGAGAATGCTTCCGTCTAGATTTTATATGAAGATATTCCCGTTTCCAACGAAACCTTCAAAGCTATCCGAATATCCACCTGCAGATTCTACAAAAAGAGTGTTTCCAAAATGCCATATCAAAACAAAGGTTCAACTCTGTTAGTTGAGAACACACATCGCAAATAAGTTTCTGAGAATGCTTCTGTCTAGTTTTTACTTGAAGATATTTCCTTTCTCACCATAGGCCTGAAAGCGCTTGAAACGTCAGCTTGCAGATACTACAGAAAGAGTGTTTCAAACCTGCTCTATGAAAGGGAATGTTCAGTTCTGTGACTTGAATGCAAACATCACAAAGAAGTTCCTGAGAATGCTTCTCTCTAGGTTTTATCTGTAATCCCGTTTCCAACGAAATCCTCAAAGCTATCCAAATATCCACTTTCAGATTCCACAAAAAGAGTGTTTCAAAACTGCTCTGTAAAAAGAAAGGTTCATCTCTGTTAGTTGAATACACACATCACAAACAAGTTTCTGAGAATGCTTCTGTCTAGTTTTTATGGGAAGATATTTCCTTTTTCAACATAGGCCTCAAAGCGCTCCAAACGTCCACTTCCAGGTAGTGCAGAAAGAGTGTCTCAAACCTGGTATATAACAGGGAACATTCTACTCTGTGACTTGAATGAAAACATCACAAAGCAGTTTCTGAGAATGCTTCCGTCTAGATTTTATATGAAGATATTCCCGTTTCCAACGAAACCTTCAAAGCTATCCGAATATCCACCTGCAGATTCTACAAAAAGAGTGTTTCCAAAATGCCGTATCAAAACAAAGGTTCAACTCTGTTAGTTGAGAACACACATGGCAAATAAGTTTCTGAGAATGCTTCTGTCTAGTTTTTACTTGAAGATATTTCCTTTCTCACCATAGGCCTGAAAGCGCTTGAAACGTCAGCTTGCAGATACTACAGAAAGAGTGTTTCAAACATGCTCTATGAAAGGGAATGTTCAGTTCTGTGACTTGAATGCAAATATCACAAAGAAGTTCCTGAGAATGCTTCTGTCTAGATTTTATATGAAGATATCCCGTGTCCAACGAAATCCTCAAAGGTATCAAAATATCCACTTGCAGATTCTACAAAAAGAGTGCTTCAAAACTGCTCTGTCAAAAGGAAGGTTCAACTCTGTTACTGGAGTACACACATCACAAGGAAGTTTCTGAGAATGCTTCTGTCTGGTTTTTAGGAGAAGATATTTCCTTTTTCAACATAGGCCTCAAAGCGCTGCAAATGTCCACTTCCAAATGTTACAAAAAGAGTGTTTCAAACCTGCTGTATGAAGGGAAGTGTTCAACTCTATGAGTTGAATGCAAACATCACAGAGAAGTTTCTGAGAATGCTTCTGTCTTGATTTTATATGAAGATATTCCCGTTTCCAACGAAACCTTCAAAGCTATTCAAATATCCACTTGCAGATTCTACAAAAAGAGTGTTTCCAAAATGTTGTATCAAAAGAAAGGTTCAACTCTGTTAGTTGAGGACACACATCGCAAATAAGTTTCTGAGAATGCTTCTGTCTAGTTTTTATTTGAAGATATTTCCTTTCTCACCATAGGCCTGAAAGCGTTTGAAATGTCCGTTTGCAGCTACTACAGAAAGAGTGTTTCAAACATGCTCTATGAAAGGGAATGTTCAGTTCTGTGACGTGAATGCAAACATCACAAAGAAGTTCCTGAGAATGCTTCTCTCTAGATTTTATATGTAATCCCGTTTCCAACGAAATCCTCAAAGCTATCCAAATATCCACTTTCAGATTCCACAAAAAGAGTGTTTCAAAACTGCTCTGTAAAAAGAAAGGTTCATCTCTGTTAGTTGAATACACACATCACAAACAAGTTTCTGAGAATGCTTCTGTCTAGTTTTTTATGGGAAGATATTTCCTTTTTCATCATAGGCCTCAAAGCGCTGCAAATGTCCACTTCCAGGTAGTGCAGAAAGAGTGTCTCAAACCTGGTATATAACAGGGAACATTCTACTCTGTGACTTGAATGAAAACATCACAAAGCAGTTTCTGAGAATGCTTCCGTCTAGATTTTATATGAAGATATTCCCGTTTCCAACGAAACCTTCAAAGCTATCCGAATATCCACCTGCAGATTCTACAAAAAGAGTGTTTCCAAAATGCCATATCAAAACAAAGGTTCAACTCTGTTAGTTGAGAACACACATCGCAAAGAAGTTTCTGAGAATGCTTCTGTCTAGTTTTTACTTGAAGATATTTCCTTTCTCACCATAGGCCTGAAAGCGCTTGAAACGTCAGCTTGCAGATACTACAGAAAGAGTGTTTCAAACCTGCTCTATGAAAGGGAATGTTCAGTTCTGTGACTTGAATGAAAACATCACAAAGAAGTTCCTGAGAATGCTTCTCTCTAGGTTTTATATGTAATCCCGTTTCCAACGAAATCCTCAAAGCTATCCAAATATCCACTTTCAGATTCCACAAAAAGAGTGTTTCAAAACTGCTCTGTAAAAAGAAAGGTTCATCTCTGTTAGTTGAATACACACATCACAAACAAGTTTCTGAGAATGCTTCTGTCTAGTTTTTATGGGAAGATATTTCCTTTTTCAACATAGGCCTCAAAGCGCTCCAAACGTCCACTTCCAGGTAGTGCAGAAAGAGTGTCTCAAACCTGGTATATAACAGGGAACATTCTACTCTGTGACTTGAATGAAAACATCACAAAGCAGTTTCTGAGAATGCTTCCGTCTAGATTTTATATGAAGATATTCCCGTTTCCAACGAAACCTTCAAAGCTATCCGAATATCCACCTGCAGATTCTACAAAAAGAGTGTTTCCAAAATGCCATATCAAAACAAAGGTTCAACTCTGTTAGTTGAGAACACACATCGCAAATAAGTTTCTGAGAATGCTTCTGTCTAGTTTTTACTTGAAGATATTTCCTTTCTCACCATAGGCCTGAAAGCGCTTGAAACGTCAGCTTGCAGATACTACAGAAAGAGTGTTTCAAACCTGCTCTATGAAAGGGAATGTTCAGTTCTGTGACTTGAATGCAAACATCACAAAGAAGTTCCTGAGAATGCTTCTCTTTAGGTTTTATATGTAATCCCGTTTCCAACGAAATCCTCAAAGCTATCCAAATATCCACTTTCAGATTCCACAAAAAGAGTGTTTCAAAACTGCTCTGTAAAAAGAAAGGTTCATCTCTGTTAGTTGAATACACACATCACAAACAAGTTTCTGAGAATGCTTCTGTCTAGTTTTTATGGGAAGATATTTCCTTTTTCAACATAGGCCTCAAAGCGCTCCAAATGTCCACTTCCAGGTAGTGCAGAAAGAGTGTTTCAAACCTGCTCTATAAAAGGGAACATTCAACTCTGTGACTTGAATGCAAACATCACAAAGCACTTTCTGAGAATGCTTCCGTCTAGATTTTATATGAAGATATTCCCGTTTCCAAGGAACTCTTCCTAGCTATCTAAATATCAACTTGCAGATTCTACTAAAGGAATGTTTCCAAAATGCTGTATCCACACAAAGGTTCAACTCTGTTAATTGAGGACATACAGCACAAAGAAGTTTCTGAGAATGCTTCTGTCTAGATTTTATATGAAGATATCCCGTGTCCAACGAAATCCTCAATGGTATCAAAATATCCACTTGCAGATTCTACAAAAAGAGTGCTTCAAAACTGCTCTGTCAAAAGGAAGGTTCAACTCTGTTACTTGAGTACACACATCACAAGGAAGTTTCTGAGAATGCTTCTGTCTGGTTTTTAGGAGAAGATATTTCCTTTTTCAACATAGGCCTCAAAGCGCTGCAAATGTCCACTTCCAAATATTAGAAAAAGAGTGTTTCAAACCTGCTGTATGAAGGGAAGTGTTCAACTCTATGAGTTGAATGCAAACATCACAGAGAAGTTTCTGAGAATGCTTCTGTCTTGATTTCATATGAAGATATTCCCGTTTCCAACGAAACCTTCAAAGCTTTCCAAATATCCACTTGCAGATTCTACAAAAAGAGTGTTTCCAAAATGTTGTATCAAAAGAAAGGTTCAACTCTGTTAGTTGAGGACACACATCGCAAATAAGTTTCTGAGAATGCTTCTGTCTAGTTTTTATTTGAAGATATTTCCTTTCTCACCACAGGCCTGAAAGCGCTTAAAACGTCCGCTTGCAGATACTACAGAAAGAGTGTTTCAAACCTGCTCTATGAAAGGGAATGTTCAGTTCTGTGACTTGAATGCAAACATCACAAAGAAGTTCCTGAGAATGCTTCTCCCTAGATTTTATATGTAATCCTGTTTCCAACGAAATCCGCAAAGCTATCCAAATATCCACTTTCAGATTCCACAAAAAGAGTGTTTCAAAACTGCTCTGTAAAAAGAAAGGTTCATCTCTGTTAGTTGAATACACACATCACAAACAAGTTTCTGAGAATGCTTCTGTCTAGTTTTTATGGGAAGATATTTCCTTTTTCATCATAGGCCTCAAAGCGCTGCAAATGTCCACTTCCAAATATTACAAAAAGAGTGTTTCAAACCTGCTGTATGAAGGGAAGTGTTCAACTCTATGAGTTGAATGCAAACATCACAGAGAAGTTTCTGAGAATGCTTCTGTCTTGATTTTATATGAAGATATTCCCGTTTCCAACGAAACCTTCAAAGCTATCCAAATATCCACATGCAGATTCTACAAAAAGAGTGGTTCCAAAATGTTGTATCAAAAGAAAGGTTCAACTCTGTTAGTTGAGGACACACATCGCAAATAAGTTTCTGAGAATGCTTCTGTCTAGTTTTTATTTGAAGATATTTCCTTTCTCACCATAGGCCTGAAAGCTTTTGAAATGTCCGTTTGCAGATACTGCAGAAAGAGTGTTTCAAACATGCTCTATGAAAGGGAATGTTCAGTTCTGTGACGTGAATGCAAACATCACAAAGAAGTTCCTGAGAATGCTTCTCTCTAGATTTTATATGTAATCCCGTTTCCAACGAAATCCGCAAAGCTATCCAAATATCCACTTTCAGATTCCACAAAAAGAGTGTTTCAAAACTGCTCTGTAAAAAGAAAGGTTCATCTCTGTTAGTTGAATACACACATCACAAACAAGTTTCTGAGAATGCTTCTGTCTAGTTTTTATGGGAAGATATTTCCTTCTTCATCATAGGCCTCAAAGCGCTCCAAATGTCCACTTCCAGGTAGTGCAGAAAGAGTGTCTCAAACCTGGTATATAACGGGGAACATTCTACTCTGTGACTTGAATGAAAACATCACAAAGCAGTTTCTGAGAATGCTTCCGTCTAGATTTTATATGAAGATATTCCCGTTTCCAACGAAACGTTCAAAGCTATCCGAATATCCACCTGCAGATTCTACAAAAAGAGTGTTTCCAAAATGCCATATCAAAACAAAGGTTCAACTCTGTTAGTTGAGAACACACATCGCAAATAAGTTTCTGAGAATGCTTCTGTCTAGTTTTTACTTGAAGATATTTCCTTTCTCACCATAGGCCTGAAAGCGCTTGAAACGTCAGCTTGCAGATACTACAGAAAGAGTGTTTCAAACCTGCTCTATGAAAGGGAATGTTCAGTTCTGTGACTTGAATGCAAACATCACAAAGAAGTTCCTGAGAATGCTTCTCTCTAGGTTTTATATGTAATCCCGTTTCCAACAAAATCCTCAAAGCCATCCAAATATCCACTTTCAGAATCCACAAAAAGAGTGTTTCAAAACTGCTCTGTAAAAAGAAAGGTTCATCTCTGTTAGTTGAATACACACATCACAAACAAATTTCTGAGAATGCTTCTGTCTAGTTTTTATGGGAAGATATTTCCTTTTTCAACATAGGCCTCAAAGCGCTCCAAATGTCCACTTCCAGGTAGTGCAGAAAGAGTGTTTCAAACCTGCTCTATAAAAGGGAATATTCAACTCTGTGACTTGAATGCAAACATCACAAAGCACTTTCTGAGAATGCTTCCGTCTAGATTTTATATGAAGATATTCCCGTTTCCAAGGAAATCTTCCTAGCTATCTAAATATCAACTTGCAGATTCTACTAAAGGAGTGTTTCCAAAATGCTGTATCCACACAAAGGTTCAACTCTCTTAATTGAGGACATACAGCACAAAGAAGTTTCTGAGAATGCTTCTGTCTAGATTTTATATGAAGATATCCCGTGTCCAACGAAATCCTCAAAGGTATCAAAATATCCACTTGCAGATTCTACAAAAAGAGTGCTTCAAAACTGCTCTGTCAAAATGAAGGTTCAACTCTGTTACTTGAGTACACACATCACAAGGAAGTTTCTGAGAATGCTTCTGTCTGGTTTTTAGGAGAAGATATTTCCTTTTTCAACATAGGCCTCAAAGCGCTGCAAATGTCCACTTCCAAATATTACAAAAAGAGTGTTTCAAACCTGCTGTATGAAGGGAAGTGTTCAACTCTATGAGTTGAATGCAAACATCACAGAGAAGTTTCTGAGAATGCTTCTGTCTTGATTTCATATGAAGATATTCCCGTTTCCAACGAAACCTTCAAAGCTATCCAAATATCCACTTGCAGATTCTACAAAAAGAGTGTTTCCAAAATGTTGTATCAAAAGAAAGGTTCAACTCTGTTAGTTGAGGACACACATCGCAAATAAGTTTCTGAGAATGCTTCTGTCTAGTTTTTATTTGAAGATATTTCCTTTCTCACCATAGGCCTGAAAGCGTTTGAAATGTCCGTTTGCAGATACTACAGAAAGAGTGTTTCAAACAGGCTCTATGAAAGGGAATGTTCAGTTCTGTGACGTGAATGCAAACATCACAAAGAAGTTCCTGAGAATGCTTCTCCCTAGATTTTATATGTAATCCCGTTTCCAACGAAATCTGCAAAGCTATCCAAATATCCACTTTCAGATTCCACAAAAAGAGTGTTTCAAAACTGCTCTGTCAAAAGGAAGGTTCAACTCTGTTACTTGAGTACACACATCACAAGGAAGTTTCTGAGAATGCTTCTGTCTGGTTTTTAGGAGAAGATATTTCCTTTTTCAACATAGGCCTCAAAGCGCTACAAATGTCCTCTTCCAAATATTACAAAAAGAGTGTTTCAAACCTGCTGTATGAAGGGAAGTGTTCAACTCTATGAGTTGAATGCAAACATCACAGAGAAGTTTCTGAGAATGCTTCTGTCTTGATTTTATATGAAGATATTCCCGTTTCCAACGAAACCTTCAAAGCTATTCAAATATCCACTTGCAGATTCTACAAAAAGAGTGTTTCCAAAATGTTGTATCAAAAGAAAGGTTCAACTCTGTTAGTTGAGGACACACATCGCAAATAAGTTTCTGAGAATGCTTCTGTCTAGTTTTTATTTGAAGATATTTCCTTTCTCACCATAGGCCTGAAAGCGTTTGAAATGTCCGTTTGCAGATACTACAGAAAGAGTGTTTCAAACATGCTCTATGAAAGGGAATGTTCAGTTCTGTGACGTGAATGCAAACATCACAAAGAAGTTCCTGAGAATGCTTCTCTCTAGATTTTATATTTAATCCCGTTTCCAACGAAATCCTCAAAGCTATCCAAATATCCACTTTCAGATTCCACAAAAAGAGTGTTTCAAAACTGCTCTGTAAAAAGAAAGGTTCATCTCTGTTAGTTGAATACACACATCAAAAACAAGTTTCTGAGAATGCTTCTGTCTAGTTTTTATGGGAAGATATTTCCTTTTTCATCATAGGCCTCAAAGCGCTGCAAATGTCCACTTCCAGGTAGTGCAGAAAGAGTGTCTCAAACCTGGTATATAACAGGGAACATTCTACTGTGTGACTTGAATGAAAACATCACAAAGCAGTTTCTGAGAATGCTTCCGTCTAGATTTTATATGAAGATATTCCCGTTTCCAACGAAACCTTCAAAGCTATCCGAATATCCACCTGCAGATTCTACAAAAAGAGTGTTTCCAAAATGCCATATCAAAACAAAGGTTCAACTCTGTTAGTTGAGAACACACATCGCAGATAAGTTTCTGAGAATGCTTCTGTCTAGTTTTTACTTGAAGATATTTCCTTTGTCACCATAGGCCTGAAAGCGCTTGAAACGTCAGCTTGCAGATACTACAGAAAGAGTGTTTCAAACCTGCTCTATGAAAGGGAATGTTCAGTTCTGTGACTTGAATGCAAACATCACAAAGAAGTTCCTGAGAATGCTTCTCTCTAGGTTTTATATGTAATCCCGGTTTCCAACGAAATCCTCAAAGCTATCCAAATATCCACTTTCAGATTCCACAAAAAGAGTGTTTCAAAACTGCTCTGTAAAAAGAAAGGTTCATCTCTGTTAGTTGAATACACACATCACAAACAAGTTTCTGAGAATGCTTCTGTCTAGTTTTTATGGGAAGATATTTCCTTTTTCAACATAGGCCTCAAAGCGCTCCAAACGTCCACTTCCAGGTAGTGCAGAAAGAGTGTCTCAAACCTGGTATATAACAGGGAACATTCTACTCTGTGACTTGAATGAAAACATCACAAAGCACTTTCTGAGAATGCTTCCGTCTAGATTTTATATGAAGATATTCCCGTTTCCAACGAAACCTTCAAAGATATCCGAATATCCACCTGCAGATTCTACAAAAAGAGTGTTTCCAAAATGCCATATCAAAACAAAGGTTCAACTCTGTTAGTTGAGAACACACATCGCAAATAAGTTTCTGAGAATGCTTCTGTCTAGTTTTTACTTGAAGATATTTCCTTTGTCACCATAGGCCTGAAAGCGCTTGAAACGTCAGCTTGCAGATACTACAGAAAGAGTGTTTCAAACATGCTCTATGAAAGGGAATGTTCAGTCCTGTGACTTGAAGGCAAACATCACAAAGAAGTTCCTGAGAATGCTTCTCTCTAGGTTTTATATGTAATCCCGTTTCCAACGAAATCCTCAAAGCTATCCAAATATCCACTTTCAGATTCCACAAAAAGAGTGTTTCAAAACTGCTCTGTAAAAAGAAAGGTTCATCTCTGTTAGTTGAATACACACATCACAAACAAGTTTCTGAGAATGCTTCTGTCTAGTTCTTATGGGAAGATATTTCCTTTTTCATCATAGGCCTCAAAGCGCTGCAAATGTCCAATTCCAGGTAGTGCAGAAAGAGTGTCTCAAACCTGGTATATAACAGGGAACATTCTACTCTGTGACTTGAATGAAAACATCACAAAGCAGTTTCTGAGAATGCTTCCGTCTAGTATTTTATATGAAGATATTCCCGTTTCCAACGAAACCTTCAAAGCTATCCGAATATCCACCTGCAGATTCTACAAAAAGAGTGTTTCCAAAATGCCATATCAAAACAAAGGTTCAACTCTGTTAGTTGAGAACACACATCGCAAATAAGTTTCTGAGAATGCTTCTGTCTAGTTTTTACTTGAAGATATTTCCTTTCTCACCATAGGCCTGAAAGCGCTTGAAACGTCAGCTTGCAGATACTACAGAAAGAGTGTTTCAAACCTGCTCTATGAAAGGGAATGTTCAGTTCTGTGACTTGAATGAAAACATCACAAAGAAGTTCCTGAGAATGCTTCTCTCTAGGTTTTATATGTAATCCCGTTTCCAACGAAATCCTCAAAGCTATCCAAATATCCACTTTCAGATTCCACAAAAAGAGTGTTTCAAAACTGCTCTGTAAAAAGAAAGGTTCATCTCTGTTAGTTGAATACACACATCACAAACAAGTTTCTGAGAATGCTTCTGTCTAGTTTTTATGGGAAGATATTTCCTTTTTCATCATAGGCCTCAAAGCGCTCCAAACGTCCACTTCCAGGTAGTGCAGAAAGAGTGTCTCAAACCTGGTATATAACAGGGAACATTCTACTCTGTGACTTGAATGAAAACATCACAAAGCAGTTTCTGAGAATGCTTCCGTCTAGATTTTATATGAAGATATTCCCGATTCCAACGAAACCTTCAAAGCTATCCGAATATCCACCTGCAGATTCTACAAAAAGTGTGTTTCCAAAATGCCGTATCAAAACAAAGGTTCAACTCTGTTAGTTGAGAACACACATCGCAAATAAGTTTCTGAGAATGCTTCTGTCTAGTTTTTACTTGAAGATATTTCCTTTCTCACCATAGGCCTGAAAGCGCTTGAAACGTCAGCTTGCAGATACTACAGAAAGAGTGTTTCAAACCTGCTCTATGAAAGGGAATGTTCAGTTCTGTGACTTGAATGCAAACATCACAAAGAAGTTCCTGAGAATGCTTCTCTCTAGGTTTTATATGTAATCCCGTTTCCAACGAAATCCTCAAAGCTATCCAAATATCCACTTTCAGATTCCACAAAAAGAGTGTTTCAAAACTGCTCTGTAAAAAGAAAGGTTCATCTCTGTTAGTTGAATACACACATCACAAACAAGTTTCTGAGAATGCTTCTGTCTAGTTTTTATGGGAAGATATTTCCTTTTTCAACATAGGCCTCAAAGCGCTCCAAACGTCCACTTCCAGGTAGTGCAGAAAGAGTGTCTCAAACCTGGTATATAACAGGGAACATTCTACTCTGTGACTTGAATGAAAACATCCCAAAGCAGTTTCTGAGAATGCTTCCGTCTAGATTTTATATGAAGATATTCCCGTTTCCAACGAAACCTTCAATGCTATCCGAATATCCACCTGCAGATTCTACAAAAAGAGTGTTTCCAAAATGCCGTATCAAAACAAAGGTTCAACTCTGTTAGTTGAGAACACACATGGCAAATAAGTTTCTGAGAATGCTTCTGTCTAGTTTTTACTTGAAGATATTTCCTTTCTCACCATAGGCCTGAAAGCGCTTGAAACGTCAGCTTGCAGATACTACAGAAAGAGTGTTTCAAACCTGCTCTATGAAAGGGAATGTTCAGTCCTGTGACTTGAAGGCAAACATCACAAAGAAGTTCCTGAGAATGCTTCTCTCTAGGTTTTATATGTAATCCCGTTTCCAACGAAATCCTCAAAGCTATCCAAATATCCACTTTCAGATTCCACAAAAAGAGTGTTTCAAAACTGCTCTGTAAAAAGAAAGGTTCATCTCTGTTAGTTGAATACACACATCACAAACAAGTTTCTGAGAATGCTTCTGTCTAGTTTTTATGGGAAGATATTTCCTTTTTCAACATAGGCCTCAAAGCGCTCCAAATGTCCACTTCCAGGTAGTGCAGAAAGAGTGTTTCAAACCTGCTCTATAAAAGGGAATATTCAACTCTGTGACTTGAATGCAAACATCACAAAGCACTTTCTGAGAATGCTTCCGTCTAGATTTTATATGAAGATATTCCCGTTTCCAAGGAAATCTTCCTAGCTATCTAAATATCAACTTGCAGATTCTACTAAAGGAATGTTTCCAAAATGCTGTATCCACACAAAGGTTCAACTCTGTTAATTGAGGACATACAGCACAAAGAAGTTTCTGAGAATGCTTCTGTCTAGATTTTATATGAAGATATCCTGTGTCCAACGAAATCCTCAAAGGTATCAAAATATCCACTTGCAGATTCTACAAAAAGAGTGCTTCAAAACTGCTCTGTCAAAAGGAAGGTTCAACTCTGTTACTTGAGTACACACATCACAAGGAAGTTTCTGAGAATGCTTCTGTCTGGTTTTTAGGAGAAGATATTTCCTTTTTCAACATAGGCCTCAAAGCGCTGCAAATGTCCACTTCCAAATATTACAAAAAGAGTGTTTCAAACCTGCTGTATGAAGGGAAGTGTTCAACTCTATGAGTTGAATGCAAACATCACAGAGAAGTTTCTGAGAATGCTTCTGTCTTGATTTCATATGAAGATATTCCCGTTTCCAACGAAACCTTCAAAGCTATCCAAATATCCACTTGCAGATTCTACAAAAAGAGTGTTTCCAAAATGTTGTATCAAAAGAAAGGTTCAACTCTGTTAGTTGAGGACACACATCGCAAATAAGTTTCTGAGAATGCTTCTGTCTAGTTTTTATTTGAAGATATTTCCTTTCTCACCACAGGCCTGAAAGCGCTTAAAACGTCCGCTTGCAGATACTACAGAAAGAGTGTTTCAAACCTGCTCTATGAAAGGGAATGTTCAGTTCTGTGACTTGAATGCAAACATCACAAAGAAGTTCCTGAGAATGCTTCTCCCTAGATTTTATATGTAATCCCGTTTCCAACGAAATCCGCAAAGCTATCCAAATATCCACTTTCAGATTCCACAAAAAGAGTGTTTCAAAACTGCTCTGTAAAAAGAAAGGTTCATCTCTGTTAGTTGAATACACACATCACAAACAAGTTTCTGAGAACGCTTCTGTCTAGTTTTTATGGGAAGATATTACCTTTTTCATCATAGGCCTCAAAGCGCTGCAAATGTCCACTTCCAAATATTACAAAAAGAGTGTTTCAAACCTGCTGTATGAAGGGAAGCGTTCAACTCTATGAGTTGAATGCAAACATCACAGAGAAGTTTCTGAGAATGCTTCTGTCTTGATTTTATATGAAGATATTCCCGTTTCCAACGAAACCTTCAAAGCTATTCAAATATCCACTTGCAGATTCTACAAAAAGAGTGTTTCCAAAATGTTGTATCAAAAGAATGGTTCAACTCTGTTAGTTGAGGACACACATCGCAAATAAGTTTCTGAGAATGCTTCTGTCTAGTTTTTATTTGAAGATATTTCCTTTCTCACCATAGGCCTGAAAGCGTTTGAAATGTCCGTTTGCAGATACTACAGAAAGAGTGTTTCAAACATGCTCTATGAAAGGGAATGTTCAGTTCTGTGACGTGAATGCAAACATCACAAAGAAGTTCCTGAGAATGCTTCTCTCTAGATTTTATATGTAATCCCGTTTCCAACGAAATCCTCAAAGCTATCCAAATATCCACTTTCAGATTCCACAAAAAGAGTGTTTCAAAACTGCTCTGTAAAAAGAAAGGTTCATCTCTGTTAGTTGAATACACACATCACAAACAAGTTTCTGAGAATGCTTCTGTCTAGTTTTTATGGGAAGATATTTCCTTTTTCAACATAGGCCTCAAAGCGCTCCAAACGTCCACTTCCGGGTAGTGCAGAAAGAGTGTCTCAAACCTGGTATATAACAGGGAACATTCTACTCTGTGACTTGAATGAAAACATCACAAAGCAGTTTCTGAGAATGCTTCCGTCTAGATTTTATATGAAGATATTCCCGTTTCCAACGAAACCTTCAAAGCTATCCGAATATCCACCTGCAGATTCTACAAAAAGAGTGTTTCCAAAATGCCGTATCAAAACAAAGGTTCAACTCTGTTAGTTGAGAACACACATGGCAAAGAAGTTTCTCAGAATGCTTCTGTCTAGTTTTTACTTGAAGATATTTCCTTTCTCACCATAGGCCTGAAAGCGCTTGAAACGTCAGCTTGCAGATACTACAGAAAGAGTGTTTCAAACCTGCTCTATGAAAGGGAATGTTCAGTCCTGTGACTTGAAGGCAAACATCACAAAGAAGTTCCTGAGAATGCTTCTCTCTAGGTTTTATATGTAATCCCGTTTCCAACGAAATCCTCAAAGCTATCCAAATATCCACTTTCAGATTCCACAAAAAGAGTGTTTCAAAACTGCTCTGTAAAAAGAAAGGTTCATCTCTGTTAGTTGAATACACACATCACAAACAAGTTTCTGAGAATGCTTCTGTCTAGTTTTTATGGGAAGATATTTCCTTTTTCAACATAGGCCTCAAAGCGCTCCAAATGTCCACTTCCAGGTAGTGCAGAAAGAGTGTTTCAAACCTGCTCTATAAAAGGGAACATTCAACTCTGTGACTTGAATGCAAACATCACAAAGCACTTTCTGAGAATGCTTCCGTCTAGATTTTATATGAAGATATTCCCGTTTCCAAGGAACTCTTCCTAGCTATCTAAATATCAACTTGCAGATTCTACTAAAGGAATGTTTCCAAAATGCTGTATCCACACAAAGGTTCAACTCTGTTAATTGAGGACATACAGCACAAAGAAGTTTCTGAGAATGCTTCTGTCTAGATTTTATATGAAGATATCCCGTGT
This sequence comes from Homo sapiens, assembly GCF_000001405.40. NCBI lineage: Eukaryota > Metazoa > Chordata > Mammalia > Primates > Hominidae > Homo > Homo sapiens. The sequence goes on along the minus strand of NC_000009.12, from coordinate 43,767,223 downwards.
CCAACGAAATCCTCAAAGGTATCAAAATATCCACTTGCAGATTCTACAAAAAGAGTGCTTCAAAACTGCTCTGTCAAAAGGAAGGTTCAACTCTGTTACTTGAGTACACACATCACAAGGAAGTTTCTGAGAATGCTTCTGTCTGGTTTTTAGGAGAAGATATTTCCTTTTTCAACATAGGCCTCAAAGCGCTGCAAATGTCCACTTCCAAATATTACAAAAAGAGTGTTTCAAACCTGCTGTATGAAGGGAAGTGTTCAACTCTATGAGTTGAATGCAAACATCACAGAGAAGTTTCTGAGAATGCTTCTGTCTTGATTTCATATGAAGATATTCCCGTTTCCAACGAAACCTTCAAAGCTATCCAAATATCCACTTGCAGATTCTACAAAAAGAGTGTTTCCAAAATGTTGTATCAAAAGAAAGGTTCAACTCTGTTAGTTGAGGACACACATCGCAAATAAGTCTCTGAGAATGCTTCTGTCTAGTTTTTATTTGAAGATATTTCCTTTCTCACCACAGGCCTGAAAGCGCTTAAAACGTCCGCTTGCAGATACTACAGAAAGAGTGTTTCAAACCTGCTCTATGAAAGGGAATGTTCAGTTCTGTGACTTGAATGCAAACATCACAAAGAAGTTCCTGAGAATGCTTCTCCCTAGATTTTATATGTAATCCCGTTTCCAACGAAATCCGCAAAGCTATCCAAATATCTACTTTCAGATTCCACAAAAAGAGTGTTTCAAAACTGCTCTGTAAAAAGAAAGGTTCATCTCTGTTAGTTGAATACACACATCACAAACAAGTTTCTGAGAATGCTTCTGTCTAGTTTTTCTGGGAAGATATTACCTTTTTCATCATAGGCCTCAAAGCGCTGCAAATGTCCACTTCCAAATATTACAAAAAGAGTGTTTCAAACCTGCTGTATGAAGGGAAGTGTTCAACTCTATGAGTTGAATGCAAACATCACAGAGAAGTTTCTGAGAATGCTTCTGTCTTGATTTTATATGAAGATATTCCCGTTTCCAACGAAACCTTCAAAGCTATCCAAATATCCACTTGCAGATTCTACAAAAAGAGTGTTTCCAAAATGTTGTATCAAAAGAAAGGTTCAACTCTGTTAGTTGAGGACACACATCGCAAATAAGTTTCTGAGAATGCTTCTGTCTAGTTTTTATTTGAAGATATTTCCTTTCTCACCATAGGCCTGAAAGCGTTTGAAATGTCCCTTTGCAGATACTACAGAAAGAGTGTTTCAAACATGCTCTATGAAAGGGAATGTTCAGTTCTGTGACGTGAATGCAAACATCACAAAGAAGTTCCTGAGAATGCTTCTCTCTAGATTTTATATTTAATCCCGTTTCCAACGAAATCCTCAAAGCTATCCAAATATCCACTTTCAGATTCCACAAAAAGAGTGTTTCAAAACTGCTCTGTAAAAAGAAAGGTTCATCTATGTTAGTTGAATACACACATCAAAAACAAGTTTCTGAGAATGCTTCTGTCTAGTTTTTATGGGAAGATATTTCCTTTTTCAACATAGGCCTCAAAGCGCTCCAAACGTCCACTTCCGGGTAGTGCAGAAAGAGTGTCTCAAACCTGGTATATAACAGGGAAACATTCTACTCTGTGACTTGAATGAAAACATCACAAAGCAGTTTCTGAGAATGCTTCCGTCTAGATTTTATATGAAGATATTCCCGTTTCCAACGAAACCTTCAAAGCTATCCGAATATCCACCTGCAGATTCTACAAAAAGAGTGTTTCCAAAATGCCGTATCAAAACAAAGGTTCAACTCTGTTAGTTGAGAACACACATGGCAAATAAGTTTCTGAGAATGCTTCTGTCTAGTTTTTACTTGAAGATATTTCCTTTCTCACCATAGGCCTGAAAGCGCTTGAAACGTCAGCTTGCAGATACTACAGAAAGAGTGTTTCAAACCTGCTCTATGAAAGGGAATGTTCAGTCCTGTGACTTGAAGGCAAACATCACAAAGAAGTTCCTGAGAATGCTTCTCTCTAGGTTTTATATGTAATCCCGTTTCCAACGAAATCCTCAAAGCTATCCAAATATCCACTTTCAGATTCCACAAAAGGAGTGTTTCAAAATTGCTCTGTAAAAAGAAAGGTTCATCTCTGTTAGTTGAATACACACATCACAAACAAGCTTCTGAGAATGCTTCTGTCTAGTTTTTATGGGAAGATATTTCCTTTTTCAACATAGGCCTCAAAGCGCTCCAAATGTCCACTTCCAGGTAGTGCAGAAAGAGTGTTTCAAACCTGCTCTATAAAAGGGAATATTCAACTCTGTGACTTGAATGCAAACATCACAAAGCACTTTCTGAGAATGCTTCCGTCTAGATTTTATATGAAGATATTCCCGTTTCCAAGGAAATCTTCCTAGCTATCTAAATATCAACTTGCAGATTCTACTAAAGGAATGTTTCCAAAATGCTGTATCCACACAAAGGTTCAACTCTGTTAATTGAGGACATACAGCACAAAGAATTTTCTGAGAATGCTTCTGTCTAGATTTTATATGAAGATATCCCGTGTCCAACGAAATCCTCAAAGGTATCAAAATATCCACTTGCAGATTCTACAAAAAGAGTGCTTCAAAACTGCTCTGTCAAAAGGAAGGTTCAACTCTGTTACTTGAGTACACACATCACAAGGAAGTTTCTGAGAATGCTTCTGTCTGGTTTTTAGGAGAAGATATTTCCTTTTTCAACATAGGCCTCAAAGCGCTGCAAATGTCCACTTCCAAATATTAGAAAAAGAGTGTTTCAAACCTGCTGTATGAAGGGAACTGTTCAACTCTATGAGTTGAATGCAAACATCACAGAGAAGTTTCTGAGAATGCTTCTGTCTTGATTTCATATGAAGATATTCCCGTTTCCAACGAAACCTTCAAAGCTATCCAAATATCCACTTGCAGATTCTACAAAAAGAGTGTTTCCAAAATGTTGTATCAAAAGAAAGGTTCAACTCTGTTAGTTGAGGACACACATCGCAAATAAGTTTCTGAGAATGCTTCTGTCTAGTTTTTATTTGAAGATATTTCCTTTCTCACCACAGGCCTGAAAGCGCTTAAAACGTCCGCTTGCAGATACTACAGAAAGAGTGTTTCAAACCTGCTCTATGAAAGGGAATGTTCAGTTCTGTGACTTGAATGCAAACATCACAAAGAAGTTCCTGAGAATGCTTCTCCCTAGATTTTATATGTAATCCCGTTTCCAACGAAATCCGCAAAGCTATCCAAATATCCACTTTCAGATTCCACAAAAAGAGTGTTTCAAAACTGCTCTGTAATAAGAAAGGTTCATCCCTGTTAGTTGAATACACACATCACAAACAAGTTTCTGAGAATGCTTCTGTCTAGTTTTTATGGGAAGATATTTCCTTTTTCAACATAGGCCTCAAAGCGCTCCAAACGTCCACTTCCAGGTAGTGCAGAAAGAGTGTCTCAAACCTGGTGTATAACAGGGAACATTCTACTCTGTGACTTGAATGAAAACATCACAAAGCAGTTTCTGAGAATGCTTCCGTCTAGATTTTATATGAAGATATTCCCGTTTCCAACGAAACCTTCAAAGCTATCCGAATATCCACCTGCAGATTCTACAAAAAGAGTGTTTCCAAAATGCCGTATCAAAACAAAGGTTCAACTCTGTTAGTTGAGAACACACATGGCAAATAAGTTTCTGAGAATGCTTCTGTCTAGTTTTTATTTGAAGATATTTCCTTTCTCACCACAGGCCTGAAAGCGCTTAAAACGTCCGCTTGCAGATACTACAGAAAGAGTGTTTCAAACCTGCTCTATGAAAGGGAATGTTCAGTTCTGTGACTTGAATGCAAACATCACAAAGAAGTTCCTGAGAATGCTTCTCTCTAGGTTTTATATGTAATCCCGTTTCCAACGAAATCCTCAAAGCTATCCAAATATCCACTTTCAGATTCCACAAAAAGAGTGTTTCAAAACTGCTCTGTAAAAAGAAAGGTTCATCTCTGTTAGTTGAATACACACATCACAAACAAGTTTCTGAGAATGCTTCTGTCTAGTTTTTATGGGAAGATATTACCTTTTTCATCATAGGCCTCAAAGCGCTGCAAATGTCCACTTCCAAATATTACAAAAAGAGTGTTTCAAACCTGCTGTATGAAGGGAAGTGTTCAACTCTATGAGTTGAATGCAAACATCACAGAGAAGTTTCTGAGAATGCTTCTGTCTTGATTTTATATGAAGATATTCCCGTTTCCAACGAAACCTTCAAAGCTATCCAAATATCCACTTGCAGATTCCACAAAAAGAGTGTTTCCAAAATGTTGTATCAAAAGAAAGGTTCAACTCTGTTAGTTGAGGACACACATCGCAAATAAGTTTCTGAGAATGCTTCTGTCTAGTTTTTATTTGAAGATATTTCCTTTCTCACCATAGGCCTGAAAGCGTTTGAAATGTCCGTTTGCAGATACTACAGAAAGAGTGTTTCAAACATGCTCTATGAAAGGGAATGTTCAGTTCTGTGACGTGAATGCAAACATCACAAAGAAGTTCCTGAGAATGCTTCTCTCTAGATTTTATATGTAATCCCGTTTCCAATGAAATCCTCAAAGCTATCCAAATATCCACTTTCAGATTCCACAAAAAGAGTGATTCAAAACTGCTCTGTAAAAAGAAAGGTTCATCTCTGTTAGTTGAATACACACATCACAAACGAGTTTCTGAGAATGCTTCTGTCTAGTTTTTATGGGAAGATATTTCCTTTTTCATCATAGGCCTCAAAGCGCTGCAAATGTCCACTTCCAGGTAGTGCAGAAAGAGTGTCTCAAACCTGGTATATAACAGGGAACATTCTACTCTGTGACTTGAATGAAAACATCACAAAGCAGTTTCTGAGAATGCTTCCGTCTAGATTTTATATGAAGATATTCCCGTTTCCAACGAAACCTTCAAAGCTATCCGAATATCCACCTGCAGATCCTACAAAAAGAGTGTTTCCAAAATGCCGTATCAAAACAAATGTTCAACTCTGTTAGTTGAGAACACACATGGCAAATAAGTTTCTGACAATGCTTCTGTCTAGTTTTTACTTGAAGATATTTCCTTTCTCACCATAGGCCTGAAAGCGCTTGAAACGTCAGCTTGCAGATACTACAGAAAGAGTGTTTCAAACCTGCTCTATGAAAGGGAATGTTCAGTTCTGTGACTTGAATGCAAACATCACAAAGAAGTTCCTGAGAATGCTTCTCTCTAGGTTTTATATGTAATCCCGTTTCCAACGAAATCCTCAAAGCTATCCAAATATCCACTTTCAGATTCCACAAAAAGAGTGTTTCAAAACTGCTCTGTAAAAAGAAAGGTTCATCTCTGTTAGTTGAATACACACATCACAAACAAGTTTCTGAGAATGCTTCTGTCTAGTTTTTATGGGAAGATATTTCCTTTTTCATCATAGGCCTCAAAGCGCTCCAAATGTCCACTTCCAGATAGTGCAGAAAGAGTGTCTCAAACCTGGTATATAAAAGGGAACATTCTACTCTGTGACTTCAATGAAAACATCACAAAGCAGTTTCTGAGAATGCTTCCGTCAAGATTTTATATGAAGATATTCCCGTTTCCAACGAAACCTTCAGAGCTATCCGAATATCCACCTGCAGATTCTACAAAAAGAGTGTTTCCAAAATGCCGTATCAAAACAAAGGTTCAACTCTGTTAGTTGAGAACACACATGGCAAATAAGTTTCTGAGAATGCTTCTGTCTAGTTTTTACTTGAAGATATTTCCTTTCTCACCATAGGCCTGAAAGCGCTTGAAACGTCAGCTTGCAGATACTACAGAAAGAGTGTTTCAAACCTGCTCTATGAAAGGGAATGTTCAGTCCTGTGACTTGAAGGCAAACATCACAAAGAAGTTCCTGAGAATGCTTCTCTCTAGGTTTTATATGTAATCCCGTTTCCAACGAAATCCTCAAAGCTATCCAAATATCCACTTTCAGATTCCACAAAAAGAGTGTTTCAAAACTGCTCTGTAAAAAGAAAGGTTCATCTCTGTTAGTTGAATACACACATCACAAACAAGTTTCTGAGAATGCTTCTGTCTAGTTTTTATGGGAAGATATTTCCTTTTTCATCATAGGCCTCAAAGCGCTGCAAATGTCCACTTCCAAATATTACAAAAAGAGTGTTTCAAACCTGCTGTATGAAGGGAAGTGTTCAACTCTATGAGTTGAATGCAAACATCACAGAGAAGTTTCTGAGAATGCTTCTGTCTTGATTTTATATGAAGATATTCCCGTTTCCAACGAAACCTTCAAAGCTATCCAAATATCCACTTGCAGATTCTACAAAAAGAGTGGTTCCAAAATGTTGTATCAAAAGAAAGGTTCAACTCTGTTAGTTGAGGACACACATCGCAAATAAGTTTCTGAGAATGCTTCTGTCTAGTTTTTATTTGAAGATATTTCCTTTCTCACCATAGGCCTGAAAGCGTTTGAAATGTCCGTTTGCAGATACTACAGAAAGAGTGTTTCAAACATGCTCTATGAAAGGGAATGTTCAGTTCTGTGACGTGAATGCAAACATCACAAAGAAGTTCCTGAGAATGCTTCTCCCTAGATTTTATATGTAATCCCGTTTCCAACGAAATCCGCAAAGCTATCCAAATATCCTCTTTCAGATTCCACAAAAAGAGTGTTTCAAAACTGCTCTGTAAAAAGAAAGGTTCATCTCTGTTAGTTGAATACACACATCACAAACAAGTTTCTGAGAATGCTTCTGTCTAGTTTTTATGGGAAGATATTTCCTTTTTCATCATAGGCCTCAAAGCGCTCCAAATGTCCACTTCCAGGTAGTGCAGAAAGCGTGTCTCAAACCTGGTATATAACAGGGAACATTCTACTCTGTGACTTGAATGAAAACATCACAAATCAGTTTCTCAGAATGCTTCCGTCTAGATTTTATATGAAGATATTCCCGTTTCCAACGAAACCTTCAAAGCTATCCGAATATCCACCTGCAGATTCTACAAAAAGAGTGTTTCCAAAATGCCATATCAAAACAAAGGTTCAACTCTGTTAGTTGAGAACACACATCGCAAATAAGTTTCTGAGAATGCTTCTGTCTAGTTTTTACTTGAAGATATTTCCTTTCTCACCATAGGCCTGAAAGCGCTTGAAACGTCAGCTTGCAGATACTACAGAAAGAGTGTTTCAAACCTGCTCTATGAAAGGGAATGTTCAGTTCTGTGACTTGAATGCAAACATCACAAAGAAGTTCCTGAGAATGCTTCTCTCTAGATTTTATATGTAATCCCGTTTCCAACGAAATCCTCAAAGCTATCCAAATATCCACTTTCAGATTCCACAAAAAGAGTGTTTCAAAACTGCTCTGTAAAAAGAAAGGTTCATCTCTGTTAGTTGAATACACACATCACAAACAAGTTTCTGAGAATGCTTCTGTCTAGTTTTTATGGGAAGATATTTCCTTTTTCAACATAGGCCTCAAAGCGCTCCAAATGTCCACTTCCAGGTAGTGCAGAAAGAGTGTTTCAAACCTGCTCTATAAAAGGGAATATTCAACTCTGTGACTTGAATGCAAACATCACAAAGCACTTTCTGAGAATGCTTCCGTCTAGATTTTATATGAAGATATTCCCGTTTCCAAGGAAATCTTCCTAGCTATCTAAATATCAACTTGCAGATTCTACTAAAGGAATGTCTCCAAAATGCTGTATCCACACAAAGGTTCAACTCTGTTAATTGAGGACATACAGCACAAAGAAGTTTCTGAGAATGCTTCTGTCTAGATTTTATATGAAGATATCCCGTGTCCAACGAAATCCTCAAAGGTATCAAAATATCCACTTGCAGATTCTACAAAAAGAGTGCTTAAAAACTGCTCTGTCAAAAGGAAGGTTCAACTCTGTTACTTGAGTACACACATCACAAGGAAGTTTCTGAGAATGCTTCTGTCTGGTTTTTAGGAGAAGATATTTCCTTTTTCAACATAGGCCTCAAAGCGCTGCAAATGTCCACTTCCAAATATTAGAAAAAGAGTGTTTCAAACCTGCTGTATGAAGGGAAGTGTTCAACTCTATGAGTTGAATGCAAACATCACAGAGAAGTTTCTGAGAATGCTTCTGTCTTGATTTCATATGAAGATATTCCCGTTTCCAACGAAACCTTCAAAGCTATCCAAATATCCACTTGCAGATTCTACAAAAAGAGTGTTTCCAAAATGTTGTATCAAAAGAAAGGTTCAACTCTGTTAGTTGAGGACACACATCGCAAATAAGTTTCTGAGAATGCTTCTGTCTAGTTTTTATTTGAAGATATTTCCTTTCTCACCACAGGCCTGAAAGCGCTTAAAACGTCCGCTTGCAGATACTACAGAAAGAGTGTTTCAAACCTGCTCTATGAAAGGGAATGTTCAGTTCTGTGACTTGAATGAAAACATCACAAAGAAGTTCCTGAGAATGCTTCTCCCTAGATTTTATATGTAATCCCGTTTCCAACGAAATCCGCAAAGCTATCCAAATATCCACTTTCAGATTCCACAAAAAGAGTGTTTCAAAACTGCTCTGTAAAAAGAAAGGTTCATCTCTGTTAGTTGAATACACACATCACAAACAAGTTTCTGAGAATGCTTCTGTCTAGTTTTTATGGGAAGATATTACCTTTTTCATCATAGGCCTCAAAGCGCTGCAAATGTCCACTTCCAAATATTACAAAAAGAGTGTTTCAAACCTGCTGTATGAAGGGAAGTGTTCAACTCTATGAGTTGAATGCAAACATCACAGAGAAGTTTCTGAGAATGCTTCTGTCTTGATTTTATATGAAGATATTCCCGTTTCCAACGAAACCTTCAAAGCTATCCAAATATCCACTTGCAGATTCTTCAAAAAGAGTGTTTCCAAAATGTTGTATCAAAAGAAAGGTTCAACTCTGTTAGTTGAGGACACACATCGCAAATAAGTTTCTGAGAATGCTTCTGTCTAGTTTTTATTTGAAGATATTTCCTTTCTCACCATAGGCCTGAAAGCGTTTGAAATGTCCGTTTGCAGATACTACAGAAAGAGTGTTTCAAACATGCTCTATGAAAGGGAATGTTCAGTTCTGTGACGTGAATGCAAACATCACAAAGAAGTTCCTGAGAATGCTTCTCTCTAGATTTTATATGTAATCCCGTTTCCAACGAAATCCTCAAAGCTATCCAAATATCCACTTTCAGATTCCACAAAAAGAGTGTTTCAAAACTGCTCTGTAAAAAGAAAGGTTCATCTCTGTTAGTTGAATACACACATCACAAACAAGTTTCTGAGAATGCTTCTGTCTAGTTTTTATGGGAAGATATTTCCTTTTTCAACATAGGCCTCAAAGCGCTCCAAATGTCCACTTCCAGGTAGTGCAGAAAGAGTGTTTCAAACCTGCTCTATAAAAGGGAATATTCAACTCTGTGACATGAATGCAAACATCACAAAGCACTTTCTGAGAATGCTTCTGTCTAGATTTTATATGAAGATATTCCCGTTTCCAAGGAAATCTTCCTAGCTATCTAAATATCAACTTGCAGATTCTACTAAAGAAATATTTCCAAAATGCTGTATCCACACAAAGGTTCAACTCTGTTAATTGAGGACATACAGCACAAAGAAGTTTCTGAGAATGCTTCTGTCTAGATTTTATATGAAGATATCCCGTGTCCAACGAAATCCTCAAAGGTATCAAACTATCCACTTGCAGATTCTACAAAAAGAGTGCTTCAAAACTGCTCTGTCAAAAGGAAGGTTCAACTCTGTTACTTGAGTACACACATCACAAGGAAGTTTCTGAGAATGCTTCTGTCTGGTTTTTAGGAGAAGATATTTCCTTTTTCAACATAGGCCTCAAAGCGCTGCAAATGTCCACTTCCAAATATTACAAAAAGAGTGTTTCAAACCTGCTGTATGAAGGGAAGGGTTCAACTCTATGAGCTGATGCAAACATCACAGAGAAGTTTCTGAGAATGCTTCTGTCTTGATTTCATATGAAGATATTCCCGTTTCCAACGAAACCTTCAAAGCTATCCAAATATCCACTTGCAGATTCTACAAAAAGAGTGTTTCCAAAATGTTGTACCCAAACAAAGGTTCAACTCTGTTAGTTGAGATCATACATCGCAAATATGTTTCTGAGAATGCTTCTGTCTAGTTTTTATTTGAAGATATTTCCTTTTTCACCACAGGCCTGAAAGCGCTTGAAACGTCCGCTTGCAGATACCACAGAACGAGGGTTTCAAACCTGCTCTATGAAAGGGAATGTTCAGTTCTGTGACTTGAATGCAAACATCACAAAGTAGTTCCTGAGAATGCTTCTCCCTAGATTTTATATGTAATCCCGTTTCCAACGAAATCCTCAAAGCTATCCAAATATCCACTTTCAGATTCCACAAAAAGAGTGTTTCAAAACTGCTCTGTAAAAAGAAAGGTTCATCTCTGTTAGTTGAATACACACATCACAAACAAGTTTCTGAGAATGCTTCTGTCTAGTTTTTATGGGAAGATATTTCCTTTTTCAACATAGGCCTCAAAGCGCTCCAAACGTCCACTTCCAGGTAGTGCAGAAAGAGTGTCTCAAACCTGGTATATAACAGGGAACATTCTACTCTGTGACTTGAATGAAAACATCACACAGCAGTTTCTGAGAATGCTTCCGTCTAGATTTTATATGAAGATATTCCCGTTTCCAAGGAAATCTTCCTAGCTATCTAAATATCAACTTGCAGATTCTACTAAAGGAATGTTTCCAAAATGCTGTATCCACACAATGGTTCAACTCTGTTAATTGAGGACATACAGCACAAAGAAGTTTCTGAGAATGCTTCTGTCTAGATTTTATATGAAGATATCCCGTGTCCAACGAAATCCTCAAAGGTATCAAAATATCCACTTGCAGATTCTACAAAAAGAGTGCTTCAAAACTGCTCTGTCAAAAGGAAGGTTCAACTCTGTTACTTGAGTACACACATCACAAGGAAGTTTCTGAGAATGCTTCTGTCTGGTTTTTAGGAGAAGATATTTCCTTTTTCAACATAGGCCTCAAAGCGCTGCAAATGTCCACTTCCAAATATTAGAAAAAGAGTGTTTCAAACCTGCTGTATGAAGGGAAGTGTTCAACTCTATGAGTTGAATGCAAACATCACAGAGAAGTTTCTGAGAATGCTTCTGTCTTGATTTCATATGAAGATATTCCCGTTTCCAACGAAACCTTCAAAGCTATCCAAATATCCACTTGCAGATTCTACAAAAAGAGTGTTTCCAAAATGTTGTATCAAAAGAAAGGTTCAACTCTGTTAGTTGAGGACACACATCGCAAATAAGTTTCTGAGAATGCTTCTGTCTAGTTTTTATTTGAAGATATTTCCTTTCTCACCACAGGCCTGAAAGCGCTTAAAACGTCCGCTTGCAGATACTACAGAAAGAGTGTTTCAAACATGCTCTATGAAAGGGAATGTTCAGTTCTGTGACTTGAATGCAAACATCACAAAGAAGTTCCTGAGAATGCTTCTCTCTAGATTTTATATGTAATCCCGTTTCCAACGAAATCCTCAAAGCTATCCAAATATCCACTTTCAGATTCCACAAAAAGAGTGTTTCAAAACTGCTCTGTAAAAAGAAAGGTTCATCTCTGTTAGTTGAATACACACATCACAAACAAGTTTCTGAGAATGCTTCTGTCTAGTTTTTATGGGAAGATATTACCTTTTTCATCATAGGCCTCAAAGCGCTGCAAATGTCCACTTCCAAATATTACAAAAAGAGTGTTTCAAACCTGCTGTATGAAGGGAAGTGTTCAACTCTATGAGTTGAATGCAAACATCACAGAGAAGTTTCTGAGAATGCTTCTGTCTTGATTTTATATGAAGATATTCCCGTTTCCAACGAAACCTTCAAAGCTATTCAAATATCCACTTGCAGATTCTACAAAAAGAGTGTTTCCAAAATGTTGTATCAAAAGAAAGGTTCAACTCTGTTAGTTGAGGACACACATCGCAAATAAGTTTCTGAGAATGCTTCTGTCTAGTTTTTATTTGAAGATATTTCCTTTCTCACCATAGGCCTGAAAGCGTTTGAAATGTCCGTTTGCAGATACTACAGAAAGAGTGTTTCAAACATGCTGCTATGAAAGGGAATGTTCAGTTCTGTG